>NC_000008.11:35920708-36223738 GCF_000001405.40 Homo sapiens
TCGGGAGGCGAAGCTTGCAGTGAGCTCAGATTGCGCCACTGCACTCCAACCTGGCGACAGAGCAAAGACTCCGTCTCAAAAACAAACAAACAAACAAAAACTAGTGTCTCCAGGCCAGGTGCGGTGACTCACACCTGTAATCCCAGCACTTTGGGAGGCTGAGGTGGGCGAATCACGAGGTCAGGAGTTCAAGACCAGCTTGGCCAACATGGTGAAACCCCGTCTCTACTAGAAATACAACAGATTAACTGGACCTAGCGGTGGGCACCTGTAATCCCAGCTACTTGGAGGGCTGAGGCAGGAGAATTGCTTGAACCTGGGAGGCAGAGGTTGCAGTGAGCTGAGACCACGCCACTGTACTCCAGCCCAGGTGACAGAGTGAGACTCCATCTCATAAAAAGAAAAGAAAAGAAAAGAAAATATAGTGTCTTCCTCTGGAGCAAAAGGCAGTTTTCATCAAAGCCTTGGAAGGTAAAGAGTGTTTCCTTCCACAGCAAAGGGTAAATACATTTATTACCATTATAAAAGATTGGGTTCCCAAAGCACCAGGTATCTCTCCTGGAAGATAATCCATTGCATAAGAAGATATCATCTGTTTCTTTTCATATTACCAGGTAGCAATTAAGACTGCTAGGGCTATTAAGGGAACTAGAACAAATATTGTTACTCTGAACACTTACTAGGGCTATTGCTGTAACACGCTGCTCTTTGTCTCTAATGTAGTGGTCCCATGCCTTCTGCCAGCATCCATGAAAATGCAGCAAGCTACCTTGTTAGCTGATAAGTAAAGCAAAGTTTCAGAGCTTTCACAGTTAGAGAGATGTGCATCTACACAATCATGAATGCAGTGAAATTCACAGCCACTATGGTCAGAATCCAGGCAAATTGTCAGAACGTTGGCTGATTACTTGGGAGGGAAAGGGCAGGCCATGTTATCTGTGTGAAGGAACAAAGATGGCAGCTGGGTCATCTTATCACTCATCCCTTCCTGCAGTCTTATGCAAACCTTAGATCCATTTGAAGATGATAATAAAAGATCTCAGAGTATTTGGCTGTAGGATTTGGCAGCTATAAGGCAGTTCAGTCTCCTTGGGTAAATTTCCTTGAGAGAGATAAAATCCCATGGAAAACCAGAGATAATGCACTGAGTATGCAGAATGAGTTTCAGTGCTGATGAAGTGACCCACTGGAGAATGATAAACTGTCTCAAATAAATTTATATATAAATGCCTGTGATTAGCTCAATTGTCCTAGAAAACTCTCTTATTCCTTATCTTGGAAGAAAGCAAGAATTTATGAGGTTTTACCATGACAATGGAGAGCAAATGCTCAGGATTAAAGTGAACTCCTTCAAAACAAGGTGCTACCGAACAAAAGAATAGACACCATCGATCAACAGAACAGAATCAGGAGACCAGAAATAAAGTCTTACATTTATGGTCAGTTGATATTCAACACAGATACCAAGACAATTAACTGAAGGAAAGAATGGCCCTTTCAACAGGTCCTGGGACAACTGGTACCAACCTGCAAAAAAATGGAGTTGGGCCCTTTCCTTACACATTAAGAAAAATTAACTCAAAATGGTTTATCAATTGAAATGTAAGAGCTATAATTTTGAAACTCTTAAAAAGAAATCATAGTAGTAAATCTTTGTGACTTTGGGTTTGGCATCCTAGATAATGATATCAAAATCAAAAGCAGAAAAAAAGATGAATTGGATTTCATCAAAATTAAAATCTTTTGTGCTTCAAAGGAGACCATCAAGAAAGTGAAAAGATAACCCACATAAAGGATAAAATATCTGCAAATCATATATCAGGTAAAGGAATTGCATCTAGAATACATAAATAATAATAAAAGACCAATACTCTAATTAAAAATTGGGCAAAGTATAGATAGACATATCTCCGAAGAAGATATGTAAGCACACTAATAGGCATATGAAATGATGCTCGATATTAATACTCAAAAAATCCAAATCAAAACCACAATGAGACACCACTTCATAACCTCTAGGACTGCTGTAACAAAAATAACAGATAATAATAAGATTGATGAGGACATGGAGAAATTAGAACTTTCATACATTGCTGCTAGGAATGTAAAATCATGCAGCATATTTGGCAAACAGTTTGGGAGCTCCTATAAAAGCAAAGCATTAAGTTATCATATGACATAGCAATTTCACACCTAGCTATAAGCCTATCTTAGTTTGTTCATGCTGCTATAATGAAATGCGACAGGCTGAGTAATTTATAAAAAATATAAATTTATTTCTTACAGTTCTGGAATCTGGGAAGTCCAAGATTAAGGCACCAGCATTTTGGTGTCTGGTGAGGACTGTTCTCTCTGCTTCCAAGATGGTACTTTGTTGCTGTGTCCTTACACAGCCAGAAGGGGCAAGTGGGACGGGATGTATTCTCACAAGGTGGAAGAAACAGAAGAGCAAAAAGGACCGAACGCTGTGTCCTCACCTAGTGGAAGGGACAAAGGGGCAAAAAGGGGCTGGATGCCACGTGAAGCCTCTTGGCTTTAGTCCCACTTATAAAGGTTCCACTTCTATCATTTAATTAACTCCCAAAGGCCTCACTGTTTAATACTATCACATTGGCAATTAAGTTTCAACATATGAATTTTATGGAACATTCAGATTATAGCAATACCCAAGAGAACTGAAAACACATGTCCACACAAAAACATATACATGAATGTTTATAGCAGCATGATTCATAATAGCTAAAAACTAGGAACAACCAAAATGTCCATCATTTGATGAATGGGTAAACAAATTATGGTATTCATATAATGGAACATTTGGCCATAAAAAGGAATGAAGTACTTTAATGTGATATAACATAGATGAATCTTGCCAGGGGATGGTGGGGAGTGAAGAATTGGGAGTTACTGATAACAAGTACATGGTTTCTCTTTGGGGCGATGGAAATGTTCTGGAATTTGATAGTAGTGATGAATGTACAACATTGTGAACACACTAAAAACCACTGAGTCATACACTTTGAAATGGCAGATTTTATGTTGTGTGAATTATAGCTTGACAATAGAAATTACAAAAAATACATGGATAAACCTTGAAATCATTATGCTAAGTGAAAGAAACCAGACTCAAAATGCCGTATATAGTGTACATCTGTTTATATGAAATGTCCAGCATAGGCAAATCCATACAGACAGAAAGTAGATTAGTGATTACCAGGGGCTGGGTATTGGTGAGGGGTGTGGATGAATGGGTAGTGACTGATAATGTGTATGAAGATTCATTGGAGGGGTGAAAAAATGTTTTAAAATTGATTGTGGTGATGGCTGCACAACTCTGAATATATGAAAAAGGATTTGAATTGTAGAGTTTAAAAGATCAATTAATTGCATGTTAATTATATCTCAATAAAACTGTTACAGAAGGACAATTATATCTATGTGAGAAGTAGACAGTTATGTGGTACTCATAGATACTAACATTATTTAATAAATCTGTATATCTTATCTACAAAAAAAGATGCTAATGTGAAAGTCAAGTTCAAGGTCACCCAAACATGACAATCCTGAGTGTTCTAGCTAGAAAGTAATGTGGAGGACGCCAAACGTACAATTTCCTGCTGAGTCAAAGGGTTCCCACAGCTAAAATTGGCTTTGGATGGATGAAGACACACTGGAATTTCATTTGGTTGAGTGATAAACAGCCACCATATTGCTAAAAACTGAAACCAAACATCCTTGCTGTTGGTGCCACCGGATCCCTCTCTCCCCCTTTTTTCCAACCTCAGCTTCTTTAAGGAAAAGATGATTTGCAGTAGGGCTGAGGTCTCCCTGTCCCAAGGAGTACCAAAGGTTGTATACTCACCAGTCTGAGAATGCTGGGGAACTTCCGGACGGGGAAGGACTTAAACTTGTATAGTTCCATTGAATACAAGCATGCAAGACACCACCTTACCAAATCCTGTGGAGGGAGAGGGGACCTGAATTCAACTTGTAGGTTTTGAGCAAGGTTGGTGGGAAAGAAAAACTAACATGGCCTTGTTGGTAAAACCTTCTGGGCCAATTCAATGTAATGCTGTTATTGTTTCTACACCTGAATGTGTGGGAGGAATTGATATCTTACGCGCTTTTACTTCTCTGTCCTATAAATGCCAAAGGGGATTATTCCAATCAGGAAGAGTTACATGTATAGAGAGGTACTGGTGCCTTTGGGGTACCTTAACTCTAAAGTCCACTTGAACTATAAGTCTGTATGACTTACGATTTTGCCAACTGGAGCCTCTGGCAAAGGGAGCCAGCCTCAGTCTGGGGGTGCATCATGGGAGTTTGGACTCATTGACTACCTTTTGAAAAGCAGCTATGAGCTTGCTATTGGGCTCTTGTAGAAACTGAACCCTTAACTTATGGAGATTTTGATATTCTATAGACTGATATTTCTATTTGTGGTGAATCAATTTACACTCACTGAGTGACAAGGTAAGAGGGGTGCAAGATTTTCTTTTCCATTGAAAATGTTATATTCGAGAATGTAGAGGGACCAGCCCCAGCAGTTTTACATGGAAAAGTGACAGTTGTTTCATTTGGAGGAAACTTCACCTTCCCCTACTCCACTGCCTATAGGAAAACCACTGGCTCAATAGGGCCCTCAATTCACAGAGGTTCTCCTAAATGCTTGCGCCTGGTTAACTGATGATTTAGTGGTGCTGAAACCTGATGATGTGTACCGTCTCGACTGAGTGGGCAGAATAAAAGGTTGTGATTACAACTCTAGCCAATATCCACCTTCATGAACTTTGTCATATTCTTATTGACTTTTGAGCTATTTCCAGTGATTCAGTCTGCTCCTTGGAAAAATCAGAGACTGGCAGATTAAAGATACTCTTTGGAGAATAGTAAAATAGTGTTTGGAATTGCTGATTGAACCGTCTGTGTCACTGAGGCACATGTTCATAGGAAGGGCCTGTTGTGTGATGAGACTGACTGTAATGAAGCTGTTAGTAGAACATTCACTACAGAGACTGGCACATGGCTGCCTGGGTCCATCATCAGACTGGACACGGCCAGACATCAACTATCATAGACTGGACACGGCCAGACATCAACTATCATAGACTGGGCACAAAGGACTCTATGTTGCTGATGCCAGTCCAGCCAGTTGATGCTGGCTACACCATTATGGCTTTAGAAACGAATCATGTTTTCAGCTTTCCAGATCATTTTCAGACTTAAAATGTGATTCAGAGGTTTACTTTTTACTACAACAACCACTCAACAACAGGCTGAGAGTCAACATATTTGATGAGCCTTCATGTTCCTTATCATCTGCAGGCATCTGGTATCATTGAGCTTGGAATGGCCTCTTCAAAAACTAACTCAAGAGGATTTCTGACTCTCTCTAACCTGCTCCATACCCTAGTAAGTCAGTTTGGTCATTGAATGCAGCTCTACCCAGAGAGGAATCATCTTCTCTCACCTGCTTCCTGGGTAGTGATCAGGATGAAAGGAGTAGGGTTTTATAAAAATCTATTTTGAAACCTTGGGATTCCTCCCCCACCATTCTTGGATATGATGTTTTTTTCCTTTTCCCTGAAGACAACCCCACACCAACGCAGCTGACATGCCCTGTGAATGATACTTCTGCCAAAAGGGGACATAGGAGAGTCAAACTTAGTTCTAGTTCAGGCCCTTGAGTTCTGTTGTTTGATCGACAGAGTCCAAGATCATAAAAATAATGTCTTGGTTGGATATACTGCTTGCAGTCCTCCTTGGAGGCCCATGTGGTACAAAGTTGGAAGCCACAATGGATCTCTGAATGGTTTATACAAATTCTTTTTTCCCTCTTGCACTGGGCTCTCCTAGATAAAAATTCTGAGGGTGTTTAAGAGACAGGCCACATTTTGTGCAATGGGATAAAAACAACCATCTCAGCAGCCGGGGAGGCAATACTTTAGGACCTGGGAGCTGTGGCAAGGGGATGGTGGTTTTTCCAAAAGTAGGGTGACTTGTATCTTGAAGGTAATTGTAAGAGACCTTCAAGTGCTTAAAGAAAAGGCAATAGTATATCATGTAGCCCTCAGATGGCTGCAAGATCATTCCAAATAAGGCCATCCTTGGATATTTGTAGGAACTTCCTGGAGAGATAACTGACTCATTATTTACGCTCACCCCATAGACAGTTACACATATGATGGACAGGTGTCCACACAGTGTCATTTAATATAAAAGTTGGTAAAAATTTTGACCCTGACATTGATACCAACTTTGCCCTCGAAGGCAATCTGTTTAACCCCAGGTCACTGGAAAAGGTTGTTGTGGCTGAAAATATTGCCCTAGATATCCTCCTTACTGGAAAAGGCACAGAGTCTGTGTAAATGCTAATATATCCTGTTGTACCTGGATTAATGTCTCAGGTGAAGTGGGAAAGTCAACACAGAAATTTAGAGAAAGACACTTGACTTTCTGAAGTAGATCCTGATGGCATATGCGGTTTGTTCAGCTGCATCAGGGAACCAGGAATGGATGGTCAGGTTACTACTGCAGGTTGGCTGCCTCCTGGGGCTTGGAGTCCTATTGGCGGTAGCCTTTATTAAATGCTGCATGAGACTAATTGAATGGATTTGGTCCTAGCCTCTGCTGGTCAGATTAATCAGAGTAAGCATTGGATTGGCATACACATGGGAAAACTTGCCAGAAACAGAATGACATAGAGATGAGTGGTGGGGGCCAATTTCCCACGGTATCTTGCATCTCTGCACAACTTGTGAAGCAAGAAATTGCCTCCCTTTTTGTTCTAGATTTGCATAGCAAATATCCTTAGAGGGTAGAGATAGTGTTGCCCTCCACAGCAAAGGGTAGATATACCTACAGCCTGGAAAGGTAGAGATACTATCTTCCTCTGGAGCAAAGGGCAGGCATGCTTTCTGACCATTACAAAAGATTCCAGTTCCACAAGTTCAGGGTTCCTTTCTTGGAATGGAACCTACTGCATGTGATGGTTTGATATGGCCCTCTTTGTGTTGCTAGATTGGAGAATCAGCATAAATGCTAATACTCTGACACAAGCTGTTGCTGTGAGTAATGTGTTCTGCATGGGATGGTTTGATATGGTCCTCTGTGTGTTGCTAGACTGGGGAATCAGCATAAATGCTAATACTCTGACACGTGCTATTGCTGTGAGTAATGTAGTTTTTGTGTGTCTGACATAGGAGTCTTGTGCTTTTTATCAGCATCCATGAAACTGTGGCAGGCTCACTTGTTAGCTTGCAAGCAGAGAAAAATTTCACAGTTCTTGATATTGTTCAGGGAAGTTACATGCCTATACTAGAAATAATACTGCTCATACTAAAGACCGTGTAAGCTGCTGAGACCTTATCTCTTTCTGGGTTTGGAGGAAAAGGAGCTTTTGGGGCAATGTACAGTAAATCCATAAGGAAAACAGGAAGTCCACCGTCTATATCAGGCTGGCACTAACAGACCAACATTAGGTGACAATAGGGAGCTTGTGAAGATCCTTATGTCAGAAAAAGTATGATGAAAGCAGTCTGTCAGGTACATTAATCTGATACTGTCTCATAAAATGGACTATGAATCAATGAAATTAATTTAAATCAGCTAACATATTGAACACCTACTAGGTACAAAGCCACTATACTGGGTTCTTCAGGTGATACAGAGATGAATAAAATGAGAAATGGAACAACTGATAATTTGGTTGGAAAAAATTGTATAAAATCATGATGCTTGTTTGAATAAAGTAAGTGAAATAAATTGTATAAATGCAATATTAAGGGGCGAAAATAATTAGGGATTAGAAATCCCGGAGGAAGGGGAAGGAAGGTAGGAGAATTTGCTTTGTTTTACCACGGCTTTAGATAAATGAGTTCCATATTCTAGTTAGTCTGCAAGTTTCTAATGGATATTTAGTGACTGAACCACTCCTTAAAGAAGACCAGAGCAAGGACCTGAGAAAACATTAATTACAGGATCTATTCGACATCACCAAGGCTTTGTGCCACTGACCTAGATTTACCCACCTTAGGTTTTAGAGTTGGGATCACTCATCTTTCACTGAGGAAAATATTATTGGAGATGAGGAGAGAGCAGAAGATGGTGGATTTAAGGAAAAGAGGAGATACATAGAGAAAACCATTTTTGGTTGGGTGCACTGCTCACGCCTATAATCCCAGCACTTTGGGAGGCTGAGGCAGGTGGATCACGAGGTCAGGAGTTCGAGACTAGCCTAGCCGACATGAAACCTAGTCTCTACTAAAAATACAGGAATTAGCTGGGCATGGTGGCGTGCACCTGTAATCCCAACTACTTAGGAGGCTGAGGCAGGAGAATTCCTTGAACCCGGGAGGCGGAGGTTGCAGTGAGCCAAGACCATGCCACTGCACTCCAGCCTGGGCAACAGAGAAAGACTCCATCTCAACAAATAAAAAATAAAATAAAAGAATTCCTTATTTTCTTATGTTGGATCTTCTGTGCTTAAAATTAAGAAAGACCCAAACGTTAGATTGCTGCTTACATCTCTGTGGTTGCTTATAGCAACACAAAGGTATCTCAGAATAATTCTTTCACTGGCATATGCCATGATGGCTTTCTCCTCAAGCACTTGTACACATGGGATGTGCAAAGTAAGCCGGTGATAAAGTAACTTTTTAAAAGTTTATATTTTTGAATAAAACACTTGATGAGGGAGCTTTATCTGCTAGCAATGTTTAAACTCACTATTTACAGTTTTATTCTAGCAATAAACTCCTTTGGGACCACTTATAGGGTGATTGTAAGGATTAACCAGAGTCATTATATGTGAAAACAACTTGGTTAACAATAAAATGGTAGGCAAATTTAAAAATTTATTTACTTATGCACCCTAAGTCTTGCTCCAGAAAGAAGTGAAGACCTATTATTTATACTTCTATTAGTAGCTGGTCATTGCCTTTTGGGTAGGAGTGAAACAACTCAAAATACTATCTTTAAACATTTGTTCTGACTGTACTTTCTCTTCTCAGAGTTCCCACACCCGAAAACTCCTGCCTTTGGAGTGCAGGTAGGCCTTTAGAAAGACAAGAAATATATACAAACTATATATATACATAAACTACATATTGCTACCTTTTTCATAACACATTTCTGCCTCTGTAGCTAGAAAAAATGAAAATTACCTTCGCAACTAACCATCGTTGAAATTATTGTATATTCTACAAGTCTTTTTTATAAAGATCATACACATCTTTTGAGAGCCCGTTTTTTTTCTATTTTTACATAATAATTCATTACGAACATTTTCTCATGTTCATAAAATTCCTCAGAATTATACTTTTAAAATTAGAAATTACTGCATGGTGGTTCCATTTGGAGAGAGCATATTTGATTTACTTTTTGTTATTTGTTTAGGTAGTTTAAAATTTTTCACTTAATGAATTAAACATATACCTACCACATGGTATGGCCATTCTACTGCTTAGATATTTACCAAAAACAAAGGAAACATCTTCCCATACAAAATCTTGTATATGAATATTCATAGAAGATTTATTTATAATACCCCAAGCTGCAAATGACCCAAATGTCTATCAGCAGGTGAACGAATAAAACTCAGCAACATTACTCAGCAATAAAAAGCAAAAAACTACAGATACAGATGTCATAGATGCTCTCAAAATCACAGACTGAAAGAATCCACACACAAAATAACATGTGCTACATGATTTCACTAACATACAATTCTATAGAATACAAAATACAGTGGCAGTGGTTACCTATGCACAAGGGTGGAAGGAAGGGTGGATTCCAAAGGGCCAAGAGACAACTTTTGAAAGTAATGGAAATGTTCAGTATCTTGATTTTTCTGATTGTTTCATGGGTAGAAACATAAATTAAAATTCATTTAGTTTGGAATGAAATAATGTGTTGATATGTGATGATTAACAGAATTCATAAATCTATTTTTACAGCACTCGGCTTTGTTGAATATATTTTTAGAGACAATATTCCTGGAGAAAATGGTATGAACTTGGTAGGGCTTTGGGCACATATAAAGCTGGCCTTCAATAGATTTTAATATTTAGAAACCCAGTAGCGATATAAGTGTATACTTGTTTTCTGGAAATTGAGAAGCTATTTGTATTTGTGTATCATTTTATAGCTAGATGAGTTAAAGTCACTTTGTAATCTTCATAATTTCTTTCGGGATAAATTAGTAGGCAGAGCAGAACCAATTCATTCCTAATTGGACAGCATTTGGCTCTAAGAATTAGTGTTAGCAAATCAAAGACAAAAGAAATGATTCACTTGCAGGACTATCTGTTATTCAACACTGGTCTAGACACACAAAATAGAATCTTCTTCAAGTTATCTAGGTTGTTATTGAACTCAAACTGTCCAACCTCATGGAACTTGAACACATTCCCATAGCCCAGGAAGCTGGTCATGGAGATCAAGACAGGAATTTCATTTGCAATCGGTCATATAATGAGTCTGAGAATCAGAATCTGAGCTAACAGCCAGCAGATGCCCACAGTCCATGAAATCCTACCTGGCCATCCCTATTGCTGACCTCACTAACCTTTAAACACTCACACTTCGGGGTTCTTCAGCAGCCAACTGAGTTTTTGTTCCTGTAGAAGATACTCGTTGCAAATAGCTGTCTGCATAATTTAGTGGAAGAAGCTTCGGTGTTGGGGTGATCAGACCCAACACCAGGTCGTGAGGGTGATGAAGTCTGGCAGAGTCAAAGGAATGAGAAAAAGACAGTTTGAGAGAGAAAGTGGGTCCAGGGGGCCATTGCTAAGTATGGAGGCTGCGAAGGCCCCAAGCTCTGGAAGCCCAGACTATTTATTGGTGATCAAACAAAGAAACAGGTGGTGAGAATGTGGGGTTGAAAAGGAGTGTTGCATTAAGCACATGATTTACAGTTGTGACAGTTTAGCATATGCTCTGCTACTTGAGATAATGGAGAGCAGGTTCTTTTAACTCAAGATACCATCGATCCTGGGAGAACAAGGAACAAGCAGCCACCAATTCTAGACAGATTCCAGAGCCATGAGCCCTGGATTCTATCCATGCCACGAGGGCTTTTATGCCCGGGTCTTAGATTATGGCGCTTCAGGGTAACCTTCCACGTTTTAGCACAGAGCTTGGTGTTCCAAAGGCCACAAGGGGTTTTAGATCCTGGACCCTGGACATGTTCCATGACTCTTTTACATTATGTCAGACATGCAAGCCCTACCTCAGCTTCTCCCAACACTCAGCTTTTCTCCCAACATTAGGTATTGGAGTTGGTTTCAAATATGTGTCTTTGTACAAGTCATTTCTCTAAGGCTGATTTGGGTGACAACATTTATCTTGAAAGGTAATGAGAGGTGAAGCCAGCTGGACTTTCTGGGTTGAGTGGGGACCTGGAGAACTTTTCTGTCTAGCTAGAGGATTGTAAACGCACCAATGAGCACTCTGTGTCTAGCTAAAAGATTGTAAATGCACCAATCAGCATTTTGCTCTGTAAAATGGGCCAATCAGTACTCTGTAAAATGGACCAATCAGCACTCTGTAAAATGGACCAATCATCAGGACACAGGCAGGGACAAATAAGGGAAAAAAAGCTGGCCACCCCAGCCAGCAGCGACAACCTGCTTGGGTCCCCCTTCATTCTGTGGAAGCTTTGTTCTTTTGCTCTTCACAATAAATCTTGCTGCTGCTCACTCTTTGGGTCTGTGCCAACTTTAAGAGCTGTAACACTCACCACGAAGGTCCATGGCTTCATTCTTGAAGTCAGCAAGACCAAGAACCCACTTGAAGGAACCAATTCTGGACACATCTTGGTGACCACAAAGGGACTATTGCCAAGCGGTGAGTACCATCGGACCCCTTTCTCTTGCTATTCTGTCCTATTTCTCCTTAGAATTCAGGGGCTAAACACTGGGCACCTTTTGGCCAGTTAAAAGCAACTAGCGTGGCCACCAGACTAAAGACACAGGTGTTAGGCTTTCTGGGAAAGGGCTCTCTAACAACCCCCAACTCTTCAGAGCTGGGAGTGTTGGTTTGCCTGGAACCAGCTTCAGCTTTTCCTGTACTTCTGGACTGAGCTGAGGGTTGACAGAGAGGAAAGCCATTCAGCTGTGGGGTCCTGACAAAAAGTTGGTTGACCCTGTAACCATGAGCGGAACTCTCAATGTCACATCACCCAAGCGAGACTCACCCATCTATCCTATCTATCCTGACCCTTGCCTCCTGGGTCCTAATGCCTGTCAGACAAACTTCCTCCCGCCTCTCTTCTCTGAGGCTAGTCCTGCTTCTAAAAACCACTCCCTGTCTCTGGTGCTTTTCTAGTTTCTCCTATAAGAATGATTTCTAGTATAAATTTTGGGGCTGTCTTCCTTTCTTCAGGCACCCAGCCTCACCAATCAGAAAGACAAAATTTTTTCCCAAAGCCCCATCAGTGGGGGGGGCACTATCTGGAATTTTAGGATCCTCCCTCAGACTAGCAGGCCTAACAAAGGCTATTCCCAAAGCTAGGATATGGGAAGCCTCAGAAATTATATCCTTCCTATTTATATGATGAGAGGTGAGGACAAAGGCGTCACTCTTCCAACCATGGAGATCCCTTCCCTCCCTCAGGGTATGGCCCTCCAGTCCATTTTTGAGGCACATCATCTTTATAGGACAAGGGTAAGGTCCCAATACCAACAAGAGAAAACAGTTAGGACTGTAACAGGTTTTCAAGAATGCATTGGTAAGGGCCACTAAATCCGATTTTTCTTGTTCCTCTTTGTGGTCTAAGAGGAAAGGCAAGAGTGCAGGTTTTTGAGAATGCATTGGTAAGGGCCACTAAATCCAACCTTCCTCAGTCCTCTTTGTAGTCTAGGAGGAAAACTAGTGTTTCTGCTGCTGTGTTGGTGACTGCAACTATTCTGATCAGCAGGGTCCAGGGACCGTTGTGGGTAATTGAGCAAGAGGGGGATCTACTGCTGTGTCAGTGAGCACAACTATTCCAATCAGCAGTGTCCAGGGACCATTGTGGGTTCTTGGGTGGCAGGGGTTGGGGGGTGGAAAAAAACCAAAACCAAGAGTGGTTTTTTCTTTCAGATAGGAAACACTCAGGCATCAACAGGCTCACCCTTGGTGGCTCATTTTTTTTCTGCACTATGGCCTGGCCCCAATATTCTCTCTCTGATGGGGAGAAATGGCCACTTGAGGGAAGTATAAATTACAATACTATCCTGCAGCTTGATCTTTTCTGTAAGAGGGAAAGCAAATGGAGTGAAATACCATATGTCCAAGCTTTCCTCTCATTGAAGGAGAATCCACAACTAAGCAAAGCTTGCAATTTACATCCCACAAGAGGACCTCTCAGCTTACCCTCATATCCAAGCCTTCCTATAGCTCTCCATCCTACTAATGATGAGCCTCATCTAATCTTCCCCACCCAGAAGGAAACAAGCAAGTAAATCTCCAAGGGACCACAAAAACCCCCGGGCTATCAGTTATGTCCCTTTCAAGCTGTACGGGGAGGGGAATTTGGCCCAACCCGGGTACATGTCCCCTTCTCCCTCTCTGACTTAAAGCAGGTCAAAGCAGACCAGGGGAAGTTTTCAGATGATCCTGAGAAGTATATAGATGTCCTAAAGGGTCTAGGGCAAACCTTTGACCTCACTTGGAGAGATGTCATGCTATTGTTAGATCAAACCCTGGCCTTTAATGGAAAGAATGTGGCTTTAGCTGCAGCCTGAGAGTTTGGAGATACCTGGTATCTTAGTCAAGTAAATGATAGAATGACAGCCTAAGAAAGGGACAAATTCCCTATCGGTCAGCAAGCCATCCCCAGTATGGATACCCAGTGGGACCTCAACTCAGATCATGGGGACTGGAGTCACAAACGTCTGTTGACCTGTGTTCTAGAAGGACTAAGGAGAATTAGGAAAAAGCCCATGAATTATACAATGATGTCTACCATAATTCAGGGAAAGGAAGAAAATCCCACCTTCCTTGAGCGGCTACAGGAGGCCTTAAGAAAATATAGTTCCCTGTCACCCCACTCACTCAAGGGTCAATTGATCCTGAAATATAAGTTTATTACCCAATCAGCCACAGATATCAGGAGAAAGCTCCAAAAGCAAGCCCTAGGCCCTGAACAAAATGTGGAGGTGTTATTAAACCTGGCAACCTTGGTGTTCTATAATAGGGACCAAGAGGAACAGGCCATAAAGGAAAAGCAAGATCAGAGAAAGGTTGCAGCCTTAGTCATGGCCCTCAGACAAACAAACCTTGGTGGTTCAGAGAGGACAGAAAATGGAGCAGGCCAATCACCCAGTAAGGCTTATCAATGTGGTTTGCAAGGACACTTTAAAAAAGATTGTCCAACAAGAAACAAGCTGCCCCCTCACCCACGTCCACTATGCCGAGGCAATCACTGGAAGGTGCACTGCCCCAGAGGACAAAGGCTCTCTGGACCAGAAGCCCCCAACAGATGATCCAACAGGGTGCCCATGGCAAGTGCCAGCTCATGTCATCACCCTCACTGAGACCTGGGTATGTTTAACCATTGAGGGCCAGGAAATTGACTTCCTCCTGGACACTGGTGTAGCTTTCTCAGTGTTAATCTCCTGTCCCAGAGAGCTGTCCTCACCATTACCATCTGAGGAATCCTAGGGACAGCTTGTAACCAGGTATTTCTCCCACCTCCTCAGTTGTAATTGGGAGACTTTGCTCTTTTCACATGCCTTTCTTGTTATACCTGAAAGTCCCACACCCTTATTAGGGAGAGACATATTAGACAAAGCTGCAGCCATTATCTACATGAATATGGGGAACAAGTTACCCATTTTTTGTCCCCTGCTTGAGGAGGGAATCAACCCTGAAGTCTGGACATTGGAAGGACAATTCAGAAGGGCAAAAATGCCTGCCCAGGACAAATCAGGCTAAAAGACCCCACCACTTTTCCTTATCAAAGGCAATATCCCTTAAGGCCTCAAGCTCATAAAGGATTACAGGATATTATTAGACATTTAAAAGCTCGAGCCTTAGTAAGAAAATGCAGCAGTCTCCGCAACACCTGAATTCTAGGAGTACAAAAACCGAATGGTCAGTGGAGACTAGTGCAAGATCTTATACCCATCAAAGAGGCAGTAATTCCTTTATATCCAGTTGTACCAAACCCCTATACCCTGATCTCTCAAATACCAGAGAAAGCAGAATGGTTCATGGCTCTGGACCTCAAGGATGCCTTCTTCTGTATCTCCCTGCACTCTGACTCCCAGTTTCTTTTTGCCTTTGAGGATCCCACAAACCACACATCCAAAATTACACGGACAGTCTTGCCCCAAGGGTTTAGGGATAGCCCTCCTCTGTTTGGTCAGGCACTGGCCCAAGATCTAGGCCACTTCTCAAGTCCAGGCACTCTAGTCTTTCAGTATGTGGATGATTTAATTTTGGCTACCAGTTCAGAAGCCTCATGCCAGCAGGCCACTCTAGATCTCTTGAACTTCCTAGCTAATCAAGGGTATAAGGCATCTAAATTGAAGGCCCAGCTCTGCCTATGACAAGTCAAATATCTAGGCCTAATCTTAGGCAGAGGAACCAGGAGACCCAGAGGGCAAATACTCATCTAGTAGAATGGGAACCAGAGGTAGAAACAGCCTTCAAAACCTTAAAGCAGGCCCTACTACAAGCTCCAGCCTTAAGCCTTCACACAAGATAAAACTTCTCTTTATACATCACAGAGAGAGCAGTAATAGCTCTTGGAGTCCTTACTCAGACTTGTGGGACAACCCCATAACCAGTGGCATACCTAAGTAAGGAAATTGATGTAGTAGCAAAAGGCTGGCCTCACTGTTTACAGGTAGTTGAGGCAATAGCCATCTTAGTATCAGAGGCTATCAAAATAATACAAGGAAAGGATCTCACTGTCTGGACTACACATGATGTAAATGGCATAGTAGGTGCCAAAGGAAGTTTATGACTATCAGACAACTGCCTGCTTAGATACCAGGAACTACTCCTTGAGGGACCGGTGCTTCAAATACACACGTGTGCAGCCCTCAACCCTGCCACTTTTCTCCCACAAGATGAGGAACCAATTGAGCAAGACTGCCAACGAATTATAGTCCAGATTTATGCCGCCTGAGAGGATCACTTAGAAGTCCCCTTAGCTAATCCTGACCTTAACCTATATACAGATGGAAGTTCATTTGGGGAGAATGGGATATGAGGGGCAGGTTATGCCATAGTTAGTGATGTAACAGTACTTAAAAGTAAACCTCTTCCCCCAGGAACCAGCGCCCAGTTAGCAGAACTAGTGGCACTTACCCGAGCATTAGAACTGGGAAAGGGAAAAAGAATAAATGTGTATACAGATAACAAGTCTGCTTATCTAATCCTCCATGCCCATGCTGCCATATGGAAAGAAAGGTAGTTCCTAATCTTTGGGGGAAACTCCCATTAAATACCACAAGGAAATCATGGAGTTATTGCACGCAGTGCAAAAACCCAAGGAGATGGCAGTCTTACACTGCCAAAGCCATCAAAAAGCAGCTGGCAGAGGCAGGTAAAGACCAGAAGAGAAAGGAAAAGAGAAAGAGAAAGTCAAAGAGAGAAGGAAAGAGACAGAGGAAGAGACAGAGAGACGAAGAGGGAGTCAAAGAGAAAGGATGAGACAAAGGGAGTCAGAGAGAAAGAAAGAGAGACAGAAAGTCAAAGAGAGAAGGAAAGAGAGAGAGGAAGAGTCAGAGAGACTAAAAGGGAGTCAAAGAGAGAGAGAGAAAGCGACAGAAAGTCAAAGAGAGAGAGAGAAGTAGTTAAGAAAAAACAGTGTACCTTATTCCTTTAAAAGCCAGGGTAAATTTAAAACCTATAATTGATAATTGAAGGTCTTCTCCATAATCTTATAACACTCCAATACCACCTTGTTTTCAGTGTAAACAAGGGCATAACCTGAAAGCAATGAGGCCACTGACAACCCATAGCCTTCCTATCAAAAATCCTTATCCCAGCAGGTTTCCTAACAGGGGATCTAAATCTTAATTAATTATCATACAAAGGTCCGACCAGACCTAGGAGAAATTCTCTTCAGAACAGGATGATAGATGGTTCCTCCCGATTAAGGGAAAAAGACACAAATGGATTTTAAAATTGCCTAATAATTGGTCTGCTCAAATGTGCAAGCTGTTTGCACTCAGCCAAATCTTAAACTGCTTACAGAATCAGGAAGGAGCCATCTATACCAATTCTAAATTAATATGGACTGAATGAGGTCTTATTAATAGCAAAGAATAATTAAAATCCCAAACTTACAAGGTTTTCAACAAAAGTAAAGTTTGCTAAAAGTTAACAGTGTAACATGTATTATCCTAACTTCTAATCTTGTGGAAATCAGACCCTAGCAGTGCCCCTCAAAGCTCAAGTCCATCAGCGCAGGGCCGTACAACTAATAACCCTACTTATAGGGTTAGGAATGGCCACTGCTACAGGAACCAGAATAGCAGGTTTATCCACTTCATTATCCTACTACCACACACTCTCAAAGGATTTCTCAGACAGTTTGCAAGAAATAACGAAATCTGTCCTTACTCTACAATCCCAAATAGACTCTTTGGCAGCAGTGACTCTCCAAAATCACTGGGTCCTAGACCTCCTCACTGCTGAGAAAGGAGGACCCTTCACCTTCTTAGGGGAAGAGAGTTGTTTTTACACTAACCAGTCAGGGATAGTATGAGACACTGCTTGGCATTTACAGGAAAAGGCTTCTGAAATCAGACAACACCTTTCAAACTCTTATACTGACCTCTGGAGTTGGGTGACATGGCTTCTCCCCTTTCTAGGTCCTGTGACAGCCATCTTGCTGCTACTCATCTTTGGGCCCTGTATTTTTAACCTCCTTATTAAATTTGTTTCCTCCAGGATTGAGGCCATCATGCTACAGATGGTCTTACAAATGGAACCCCAAATGAGCTCAACTAACAACTTCTACCAAGGACCCCTGGACCGATGCACTGACCCTTTGTCTGGCCTAGAGAGTTCCCCTAGGTAGTTCCACTACCACGGCAGGGCCACTTCTTCACCCCTATCCAGCAGGAAGTAGCTAGAGTGGTCATTGCCCAATTCCCAACAGTAGCTGTGGGGGTCCTGTTTAGAGGGAGGATTGAGAGGTGAAGCCAGCTGGACTTCCTGGGTGAAGTGGGGACCTGGAGAACTTTTCTGTCTAGCTAGAGGATTGTAAACACACCCATCAGTGATCTGTGTCAAACTAAAGGATTGTAAATGGACCAATCAGCACTCTGTAAAAATGCACCAATCAGCACTCTGTGTCTAGCTAAAGGATTGTAAATGCACCAATCAGCATTTTACTCTGTAAAATGGACCAATCAGCACTCTGTAAAATGGACAAAACAGCACTCTGTAAAATGGACCAATCAGCAGGACATGGGTGGGGACAAATAAGCAAATAAAAGCTGGCCACCCCAGCCAGCAGCAGCAACCTGCTCAGGTCCCTTTCCATGCCTTGGAAGCTTTGTTCTTTTGCTCTTCACAATAAATCTTGCTGGTCCTCACTCTGGTCCATGCAACCTTTAAGAGCTGTAACACTCACTGCAGAGGTCCGTGGCTTCATTCTTGAAGTCAGCAAGACCAATAACCCACTGGAAGGAGCCAACTCTGGACACAGTAATTATGAGGATTAAATGAAATGACATATGTAAAAATTTTCCACAATGCTTGGTACAATGTTAGGTAAATATTATCTCCCTTCCTGATTGAAAAATCAAGTGAACATGTATAAGTCTTGTCTTCTAAAATAGAGTGTTACTGTATCTTATACTTATCCAATCTCTAGTTTGAAGAAAAATCTGACATCTATGCAAATGTTTTATAAAATGTAGAGTGCTATCTGTATCTAAAACACTATTGTTATCTTTCCTTTTGCACCCTGGAACACCTGGATCAAAGTTATCTCCTCAGAAACAAACAGAAAGTCTGTAGTGGTTGATCAATAAAGAGTAAAGACAGGAAGTTCTCAAAACCTTAATGCCAGAATGCCAAACTACTATATTTTATAAAAGGAAAAGTCAGCCAGTCACGGTGGCTCATGCCTATAATACCAGCCCTTTGGGAGGCCAGGGCAGGCAGATCACAAGGTATGGAGTTTGAGAGCAGCTGGCCAACATGGTGCAACCTATCTCTACTAAAAATACAAAAATTAGCCAGGCATAGTGGCTTATGCCTGTAGTCCCAGCTACTCAGGAGACTGAGGCAGGAGAATTGCTTGAACCTGGGAGGCAGAGGTTGCTGTGAGCCGAGATCGCACCACTGCACTCCAGCCTGAGTGACGGGGTGAGACTGTCTCAAAAAATGAATAAATAAATAAATAATAAAAACAGAAAGAAAAGAAAAGCCCTGGGCTAACGATGTCCACTGGATAATTACGGTGTTTGCCAGTGCCTGCTGTTGGCAGTGGTTTGGAGTCATTGTGAAAAAAACCTGGAATGGAGCCAGGCAATTTTATTTAAGGAAGGAAGGTTGTTGGATGAAATTTATTCACAAAAGCAGTAATGGCTACGGTTTCTAACAAAAGGGAGACTTGAAGAAAACCAGGCTCACAAAAAAAGTATTTTCTTACCCTTGATAACAAGGTCTATGTTGATAGCGACTGAATTGGAAACAGCTGACCTGCTGTTAACAAAATGCTCACATAGACTGCAAAGCTGGGAAGAAAAACAGATAGATGTGCTTCCTAAGGGGCAATGAACATGCCAACACGCTCTCTTCAAACCTTATGACAGCTTGGGAAACCTCTGATGTTACTTTGTATTTTTGGAAAGTGGGAAGCCAAAGAAAAAGAAAGAAAAGAAAAGAAAAATCCTGGGAAACCATCCAGGTTTTAAAAACATCTTCTCTCTTCATGGCCCTCCTGCTGTGATTTCAACTCTCTGCAAATAAGGACAATCCATAGTTATTTTTAGATATTTAACACACCATGAGATTGGTAATTAACCAAGGCAATGCTTCTGAGAATAGTTTGTTTCTATAGAATATGATGGTAACATTTGCATGAAGGCGCTTCCCTCCTCAAAGAAAATGTTTGTTAGATCATTATGGACTTTAATCCCAGCCAGCCACATACAAAGTTTGTGATTATTTGTCTTGCTGTAAATTGCGTCCCTACCTTGTGTCTAGCCCAATGTGTCAGAATGAAACAGAAGGGACCAGAAAACCTGAGCAAGTGGACTGGCTAAGAGCAGGTGTTAGGCAGCACCAAATCATTGCTCTTTTGAAAATATTCTCTTGTGGAATAATAAAAAAAGATGAATTAGAGCATAAAAGAATGAGAAATACGTAAGCAAAAATGAGATAATAGTTGGTAAGCTATGCTGATAAAAGGTGAAAGAAAAATAAGATAATGTTATGGGCCATTACATGTAAAAACAGAATACAAAAGAGGGAGCTCTCCAGCAAGTAAATCATTCCCATTTTATTCTAAACAAGCATATAGGAAATAGCAAAGATGATTATCTCATGTTTAATAAGCAGCAAGCTGATTTTTTGTTTCCAGTTTCTTTGAAGATGCAATCTTTTAAAATAATTGTTTTCCCTTTTTTCCTCTGAGAGTGGGAGGTAGATTCTCCACATTCTCTGCCGAAGCTACCCTGTTTTCTTGTAATTGCAAGATCTGCTTCAGAGGCACTAAATCCATGGGAGAGGGGTGCCAGGACATTAGCACATTGTGAACATCTGACCCCTGATTGGGGGAAATGATGAAAAATTAATGGGTACAGATGTGTCCATCCTGCAGTGGACAGATGTTCACTTTACACACCATTTAGAATTCCCTGGTGTGTTTGACTATAGGTTGATGAACACAACAGCTAAATGATATAAGGAGCAGCAAAAGTCCTAGAAAAAATAAAAGTTTACTCTTGAGCAGGGCAACATTGTTCTCCATCAACCAGTACTGGGATAACTGAGAGCCCTCTGTTTGGGATGGGGCAGATGTCACACTCAAACTGACTGGGAATATCCTAACTCATGTGTTGCTCTCCTCAGAAAATGAGTCACTTTTAAATGTTTAGGCAAAGTCTAGGGCAGGTGAAGCTTATTTGTTTAATTTGGTGACCACTGGCTACCATCCATGGACATTTGTCAGATGAGTGTTTTGGTCAGAGTAGGCTGTGCTTCTGCAGAGTACCATACTTCCTGGATTTTTTTCAAAATGTGTAGATACCATGTAATACCCATTCCAATAAACATGTAAACAATTATGTTTTTTCTTGAATAACCTTACAGATTAATTTACAATTTCCAAGCAGAAAAAATCTTCTGTGACAACATTTGTGCCCGATTTGTTTAAACCCAACCCCACAAAGGTTTTAAAATAAGGTATAACACTGAAGATCTTTGTCATTCAATAAGTATTTGGTGAATATTTACTACATGCCGAGGAATGTACTGAGGAGAATATTGTAACACATATTATGCAACATCTAATATATAATGCATAAAATAATATATACAATATAATTATATGTTACTATCTGAACCTGTATTTGGTACATTTCCTATGTCACTAAATTCTGTATAGAGGGTGTTTGTGCATTGCCCAGGTGTTCAGTCCTTAGTTATATGGCAGAATCTGTGCAGCTACGTATGAAGTGTGCTGAAAGGGACACTTGGACAATAATTGCAATAACATTTCAGGAAAAAAAGGAGATTAATATGGTCTAAAACAAACAAGAATGGCTTTGTGGAAGAGAAATTATAGAGAGAGAGGATAAGAGAGAGGATAAGTAAAATGATAAACCAATTTTAAGGAATCACTTCCCCAACTCAAACTTAACTCTGTCAGTGTCATATCAAAAGAGGCACACAGATTAAATGAAGCATGGGGAATAACTGTTAGAGGCAGTCTTGGACATGATTGTATCCTTACATGAGGTAGTCATTTGAATTCATCTCTAGGTTGCTGAGCCATGAACCAAGAGTTTAAATCAAGAACTGTATGTCTTTACTTTGTCCAAATAGGGCTCTTTTGTAGAGCAAGAATATTTGAGATGTCCCAGAAGAGGTCACTTTGGAAAAACCAAAGTATAAAAATAGCATCTATGTTTAAAGGTTAAATAAAAAAATAAACATATCTATCTGAAGAAAAGAAGGCTTGATGATGAGATAATAGTTTTTTAGGTTCCCTACTAAAACTGGAAAAAGAGGATAGATGCTTAAATCAAATAATGCAGGAAGTTGGATCAAAGTAGATGTGTCATTACAGTAGATTAGAACCCTAGAATGTTCTAAAAAAAACAATATTTGAAATCCACTTCCTTTAAAATAGGACAGGTGTTCCTCTAACTGGAATAGTTTATGAACCATGCTGTCTAAAGACAGAGAAAATGAATGAATGAATGAATGTTTGGAGCTTTCTTGAAGAAATGGAATCCTAGGAGACTAAGGAACAAAGGCATTCAGTAAAGCCCACAGTATAGTTATTTCTTACAACATTTCTCAGATCACATAATCTAAAATTTTCTCTCCTTTTATTCCTCTTGCTGATGTATCATCCTCATGTACTTCTTTCACTGCTGTTATAGATAATTGGTAGCTTTGGTTTTTTTTTTTTTCACTAGTATAGTGCTTCTTCCCCAATAAAAAGGCAAGATTCTGAGTGCAGGGGTCTGGCTATTACCTCCCCAACACATAATGCCTTGTTTTGTACATAGCAGATGTTCACTAAATACTTATGGAAAACAGCACCACACACGTCTTTGCTAAAGTGATGAGGGAAATGAAGTAAGATAGAATGAGAATATAGGATTCTCTCTTTACTTGAGAAAAGTCTTATTGGAATTACTTCAAATTTCTGCTGCCTTTTGCAATGACATGGAGGGCAGAGTGGCAGCCAATATTCCTCTGAATGAAAACTCAGATGCCGCGTAGGCTATCTCCTTCTAGGTTTTCTGACGATCATTAGGTAACTCCTGGTCTGATTGTTTTTGCTTGAGGAGTTGACCGCCTTTCCTGAAATTATTATTATTTTTCTCTTCTATTATGCTTGTCCAATGTAGCACTTATACTTTAATGCCTTACAGATAAAATGGTCTCTGTCAGTCTGCACTTCTCATGCCTGGAGAAAGTTTTACTGCTTCATAAACTCCTGTAATGCCCCAGGGTTTAAAAAACATCTATCACTCCATCAGTGGGTCTTTATGGGCTCCGTGTACATTATTATTATTATTATTATTATTATTATTATTATTATTATTATTATTATTATTTGAAATGCAAGGTTGGTTCCTGAAGCAAAAAAGAGACAGAGATAAATGGATTTTTGTATGCTAATAAATGTGAAGAATCCAGCTCAATTTATGCTGAGGTGGTATTAAATAGCTAAAGCAAATTGTAGAATATTTCACAAGCAATAGCTTTAGGCACTAGGAAGGAACTGTAATGTAAGATTTCCTCTTTATCAGTGATTACAGAAATATAACTATTTTATTCACTGGTTTGGGCTGGAGAATCTTTATAGTTGTTGTGTCTTGATTTTTTCCCTCCTGACAGATGCTCAGAGGCCCCATGCCTGATGAGTCAGTGGACAGGGGACATTGAATATGACCTGCTTCTGCCACCCATTCCACACCAAACAACTCTGTGTGACCTACAAAATCTTAAAGGCATCTTTTCAAGATGTAAGCTGAAGGAAGATATGTCAGATTTCAGGCATGAAATTTATTTCTCTAATCCATTTTAGGACTGTGTTAGCCACAAGCTGAAGATTTCTGTCAAGGATGTTTATGCAAGTGTGTGTGTGTGTGTGTGTGTGTGTGTGTGTGTGTGATTATGCACATAGGAACATGAGTGCACTGGGGATGTCTGTATGTGTGCAGGTGACCCCGAATGGCCTGGCGAAAAGGTGTCTTATCCATAGTGTTGGAGGTCCCAAGTTGCAACTTCTCTCTGAGAAGCTGCTGAGTCACTGCCTGCAATGGCTGTGAGTGTGGGCAGCAATTCAGTCTCCTATCATCCCAGGCATCTGCAGGGAGAATAAGAAAAGCTTCACCTGTCCTGTGGCCAGGAAGGTGGGAATAGCTTGATTACTTGTTGGTGGTACTCATACCAAATAAGCATGTAACTGCCACTTCACTCCCTATTTCTCTACTATGGTACACGGAAACCTTATTTTCAGAAGCTTTCAGTGAGTAAATGAGCATCTGTTTCTGCACTGCTGAACAATTTGTCGTATTTTGTTCAGAAAGTATTTACTAAGTAGTTTATTTATGCTCTGTACTTTGATAACAGCTATAATGAACAAACATATAACAATAGTAACAAAAAATGGGAGTGGGTGCAGGGATACTTGGGTAATTTTAGCCAAATAATGAAAACAAATAACACAGAAAGCTGGCACATGGGAACCCGGCAGCTCCTCCAAGATTGTTCCCTTGAAATTAGATCCATCTCACAAACTTTGCATCTCTACAGCTTGCTAGTGTGTATTGAGCAAGTGCATAAGGCGCACCCTTTGCTTGTCCTCCTCCAGGTGCAAGATCAAAAACCAAAGCATAAAACACAAACACAAGCCACAGAAGAGTTTATTTCTGACCCCAAATGATGTGATTTTTAAAAGGGAAAGAGAAGTAATGGTCTGTTAGTATTGATAAAAAGTGAGTGCAGTGGGAGGAAAGTAGAAAAAATGTTATCTTATGTACTTTCCAGGGTTACTGCATCAAGAAAGAGTATACGTGTACATGGACTTTGTAAAGTGGATTACACTTTGCAAGGTAGTCATTATGTGTTAGGTGTGAGGAGTGCAGACAAATGACAGATAGGAAGTTGACTCAGGTGTAAGTGATGCTTGCAGAAAGAGTGCTAAAGAGGAACATCTCCTGTCGGGAGCATGTACAGTGCTTGCTTGGCCTTGATGTTCTCTGGCCCATGCTCTTCCTACTTGCAAAGCACCAAGCACCGACCAGCACAAAATTGGGACCCAATAAAAGCTGACTTGTTTGACTGTTTTTTATATTATTAGCATTGAAATTCAAATCATGACCTTGTAATCTCTGAAAAGCAGTATCAGACCCCCAGCTGAGGTCACTCCAAGATGTGACACAACAAAAGACTTTAGAATAAAAGCATCGATTTACAAGCCTATAGGTGCAATCCAACCATGAGTGATGCTGAAAACAAAAAGCACATATTGCAGTCTTTATACCAAACTATTTGGGTGTGGGGAGAGCTTTTCTGCACCTGCGTTAATGAGCTCCATTCTGGTTGCTATGTATCAAGGAAGATATGACATAGCTGGAGTGTCAGTCCTTGCCTGAGGACCAGCTGTCAGAAGGATCAAAAATCTGCTGTCTTGAGCATGAGTCAATAATTGCTGAGACTGCCATCCTGTTACAATAGGGTCTGATTAATCTGCTGCCTGGGTAAATCTTCCCTGGAATGGCTCATCCCTCTAATCCTATGGACAGAGTCCAATCTCCATGCCTGCATTTCTCTCCTGGTTTCTGGTCTGTTCACTAGCTCCTTTGACAGGTGGGAGCCTAGTCCAGTTCTACGACTTGAGTCCTCTCCCTCTCTGCAGAGGATAGACACAGCTAACAATGCCTTCAGTTCAACTGGGGGCCCAGCTTCATTCAAAAATTTCTCTATTTAATAAGATGGTTTTGTTCTGGATTATGTTTTTTTCCCCCTTAGATTTACAATGAGTAAGCACTGAAAAATGTGTTGTTGAAAAACTAGTAGAGAATGTTCTGCTTCTTCAAATGTGGAGGTTTGAATTTTTATTTTCTGAATAACTGTTCTCCCAAAGACTTCACTAAAATAGTTATGATTAAGAATTCCGATCTCAAAGCAGAGGCAGAAAATTGGTATCTGGGGGAGATCATGTTCTTTTGGGAGAGGCTTATTAATGTAAGCTGAAGGCTGAGGAGGAAAACGGACACAACTCCAGTTCTCTTTTTGGTCCATTGAACTGGATGGGGGGCTCTATGATTGAGAGATGAGTACTCTTAATTGTGAAACTCTTTATGAGAAAAATTTACGGGTCTCTATTCTTGAGCAAAGCTCTTTTGGCAGGCAACAAAATATGACACAGCATTAGCAAGAAAGCTGCTCTCTGTGCTTCTGCGCAGAACTCAGCTCTGCTTTTGTTCCCTGAGAAATGGCAGCTTTGGGATGGACCAGCTGAGACTGCACCCCTGTCTCAGGTATTGCAGTCTCCTGATGATCACTCCGAGCAGTGGGGCAGGGGAGACTTCATGGGATATAACAAGTGGGACCAATGTAGAAGAGGATGTATGTCATGTGGTGTTTGCAGCCAAATGATCGGTCTTTGGGCACATGTGAGGTACCACTTAGGAAACCACTGGGAAAACTGAAGAGGGTATATATCAAGCTATTTTGATGCTACTGGGCCAAGAGAACTTAACTTGCACCTAAAGCCACAATTCTACCACCTATTTGATGAAGACAGATTGTTGTTGTTTGGTGAATCCTACTGCTCATTAAATAGGCATTTAGATCATCAGCACCAATTTTCATCTACCTTAAGCCTGCTTTGGGCATTAGTTGGGTTGGGTCTGCTGATAAGCAGACTAATTCTTGGAACCATAGGCCAAACATTGTTCCATTTCTGGGTTCAAAGCCTATAGATTCATTATATGGAATACATTTGGTAAGATAATCTGAAATGATTGAGAGATTATAGGTTCAAGGGCTACCATGTGAAGGGATATAAATGGTGAAGAGTCTTAAGTATATAAAGACAAAGCAAAAGGTGATATAATAACATATCTATGAAAAAGCAAAGTGCATAATTAGACGTGTTTATGAAAGCATAGGCTAAAAGAATTATGAAACTTCACTGAAAAGTTAAAACAAAGGCGTGTAACAGAAAATAGTATGTACTTCATTAGTATCTCAACATAGAAAGTAATACATAACTTGTTAACTTGTCATAGAGCCTTCAGCCATTTTTTTTTTTTTTTTGAGCGTTGAAAATATATTTTAAAGTGGGGCACGGTGGCTCACGCCTGTAATCCCAGCACTTTGGGAGGCCAAGGCGGGCAAATCACGAGGTCAGGAGATAGAGACCATCCTGGCTAACATAGTGAAACCCTGTCTCTACTAAAAATACAAAAAATTAGTCAGGCCTGGTGGCGGACGCCTGTAGTCCCAGCTACTCGGGAGGCTGAGGCAGTAGAATGGCGTGAACCTGGGAGGTAGAGCTGGCGGCAGGCCGAGATCACACCACCATACTCCAGCCTGGGCGACTGAGTGAGACTCTGTCTCAAAAAAAAAAAAAAAAAAAGAAAAAGAAAAAGAAAAAGAAAACAGAAAATATATTTTAAATGTTTCGAGGTAAGGAGTTAGTGCAGAGGGTTATGATCTAGGGATATCCACAACTTCCGAGTTGATGCCAGGGACAACAACCATTTTCCCTCCACGTAGTGTCTGGTGCCATTGCCTTAGAAACATCTTGGTTGCATAAACCATAGAAAGAATCAGAGTTAATGTTTACAATTGTTTTAGTTTTTTTTTTTTAGCACCATTTTAATAATTCATGAACTTGATCATACTCTTTCAAATAGCAAAATAATTAACTTTTATATGAGTCTTGCAACAAACTAAAGCCCTATAGTTGGGCAAAAACATATTGGCTACATTAATTCAACTGGTTAATTCCTCAAATATGATTCTACATTTCCTAGAAATAAACATGTGTAGTATATTAAAAAATGTTGAACTTCAATCCGACAAACATTTATTGATCCCTTAATATCTTCCGGGCCTATGCTAGTACTAAAATTTAGAGCTGAATAGGATGAGACCCTGCTTATAGTATTTGAACTGACAGAAAATATTCAGAGCTGTCTTTATTTCCTCATTGAGTTTTTTAATTTTCTCTCAAGAGATCTAGAAATATGAAGTTGACATTACAGATTCTAGAGACAAATTTATTAAATGCCCTGCCTCCAACTTTGGTCTACTCTTTGAGAAATGTTTTCACCATTATCTTAGGAGGACTTCCTAGCCATAGGATCTGAATTGTTATGGATGCTGCTTAAAGTGTATCATTTGAGCTTCCTGTCTCGAGTAGGCCAGGGTAGGGGGAGTTTGAGATGCAGGGAAGGGAAGAGAATAAGAGAAGTAGTTTCTTTTCAAAACAGAAAAAAGGAAGGAAGGACAGAGGGAAGGAGGGAGGGAAGGAGGGAGGGAAGGAGGGAGGGAAGGAGACAGGAGAAAGGCAAACAAGCTAGATATTCTGTACACTGTACATATTCTGGCCATTGACAAATCATATTTAAGGAGCATAACCTTCAGACCTCTCTAGGTTTTTAAGCAAAAGTCAATTTATATGATAACTCTAAAACTGAGTATCTGTCTATGTTAAAAAAGTAATGTCATGACCAAGAAATACCAAAAATATTGATACAGTTAGTGTCTAAAATGTTATGAATGCATTTCCTAGTTTAAAATATGCTAGCAGGAAGTATGTATTTACAGCTCAGAATAGCATACAAAAAAGGAATTTCTGCCAAATTTTTGGTAAAAAACTAGTAAACATGCCAAATCTGCTTGATTTCCAGGATGTCTCAGGACAATGTATATTAGAATTTAATAAAATTGAAAGAGATTTTTAAACATAGATATTCTAGTGTTTAAAATAGAAAATATTGTTATTAACACTATTTAATAGAAATAAAATAGAATTAAATGAAAGAAATTGTTATTAACACAAGAGGAGAATGGTGAAATTGGCAAGTAGTCATAGTTAGGACAGTTGATTCCATTCCTAAGAGCTTTGAACTAGTTCCAATATGCAAATTTTTAAGACAATAGCTAAAAGTTCTCATTGTTTCCCATGGCTCTAGTAACTTGGCCAATACAGGAAGAAGCTGAATTTCTGTAGTTAAAATTATACCTATCCTTTGAAAGGAAATGGGATAGCCCTAGAGAGTATTTTCCAGAAGACTGAATGGAGAGGAATTTATATCGTTATTTCAATGAGTAATTCCTACAGCCTCTACCAGCTCCAAACTTCTAAGTGGTAATATGTGATACTAACCTATGTTAGCACTGAAGAAATTCATTTCCCTAGCATAAATAGCTGCTTAGTGAAAGAACTCCTTAGCACCAGTTCAATGCCTTTTGCACTTCACTTTGTTACCTCCCACTCCCAACTGGGGTGCACAAGACTTACTTATACATAATTACTTCTTGAGAATTAGCTTAAAATTCAATTATAGCTGGCTGCAAAAGTCATTTGGTGGCCAAGTATGTCTTAGTAAAAGGAAGTTTTGATATATCACACGTATATCCCATTTTATTTGTTTCACAGGGAAGAATGGAGATAGATTCTTTACAGATCAAGAGATTGAAAGTGTCCTGTTTTAATGTAAAGTTAGAATCTCTCTTATTCCTTCTTCCATGGCCACTTTAGAGGAAAAGTTGTGACAGCTCAGGCAGATGTGTGAATGCATAGGCCTTTGATTTAGATAAACCTTCCTATGTTGCAACTCCCAACTTAGTGAATCTGACCAATTTTCTTAAGTTACCAAGGTCTCAGCTTGGATATCTCTAAAACGAGGTTCATAGTACCAGTCTCACAGAAATGTTGCGAAGATGAAATAGCATATGTGAAACACTGAAATCAATGAAGTATTGAGTAGACATTCAATAAATGATAGCTCTCATATTTTTTTCTAATATGAAACATTAATATGATTAATTAATAATATTGATTGCCTGGAGGTTTTTTTTTTAATTAATGAGCTCCTTTGGTTTTATGCAAAGTTTATCTTAGGGAGACACCAGTTTTCATATGAATGTTCTTATACACAACTTTTTTTTTTTTGAGATGGAGTATCTTGCTCTGTCACCAGGCTGGAGTGCAGTGGCATGATCTTGGCTCACTGCAACCTCTGCCTCCAGGTTTCAAGTGATTCTGCTACATCGACCTCCCAAGCAGCTGGGATTACAGACATGCACCACCACACCCAGCTAATTTTTTCTGTGTTTTTAGTAGAGATGGGGTTGCACCATGTTGGCCAGGATGGTCTCAATCTCTTGACCTTGTGATCCACCTGCCTCAGCCTCCCAAAGTGCTGGGATTACAGGCGTGAGCCACCACGCCCAGCCCACAACTGTTTTCATTACAAGGTAGTTTAGGAAAACAATTGGGATTCATGAGACCCATAGGATGCTTTCATAAGCTTTGTCACTAAATACAGTGAGGGTGCAATCATGTCTCCCCCAGCAGGGGCCCAGGACTCAGGCCAGAAGCCACCCAGAGAGTGTCAGTGCTGGCACATTTTGCTGAATGGGTTCAATCAACATTAATCCTTGAATATTACTTATAGAGTTTATGAGGAAGAAAATGTGATTAATCCAGACAAAAAAGAAAAAAAAAAACATTTCTCAACTGAGGGGAAAAATTCCTTTGAGCATAAACAGATTGCACTATTTATACACGAAATATTTTTTGCATCTATAAACTTACCATGCTCAAGTATTCTAATTAATCGTGGTGGTTGCCAGGGAAACCAAACTAACTCAATTATAGGTCTGCGGGAAGGTGCAGTGTATTTATGACTGTGAATCAGGTAGTTTTCTGTGCAAAAACTAAAACTGAACAGATGCTTGAAGATTTTAAATGTTCTACAGAACACACTGTTATCTAGATTGTTTTCCTTAAAGAATCTCTTGATTTTCTTTCTTCATAACAACTTGGTTTGGGAACATGGACAGTGAATGTGATAGATTAAGAAGAGACAATGAGGAACATGATCAGCAATAAAACCACAGGAAATGACTGAATTAGGAGCCTATGAGTTGCATTGAAAGAGAGCCATAATTCTATACCATTTCTGTTTGGCTACCTTATCTAAAACGCAAAGTCTAAATAATACTGAGGAGAGAGGCCATTTCTCTCACTGTCCCGTCTCCAAGGAGAAGAAAGAAGTAAAAGCTGAAAAACAACAGACTGATCAGCACCACTAGCCAGACCTGTAGCTTAAAGATTAACCCCCACCCTAACCACCTGTGCTATCTATAGATCACAGAAAATGGTATGGAGAAATACTTGCATTGCTTACCCCCACCGCCAACGTATGTGGACATAGTCAAGTACCCCATGCTTGCTCAATCTATCACGACCCTGTCACGTGGAACCCTCAGGGTTGTAAGCCTTTAAAAGGGCCAGGAACTCTTTCTTTGGGGAGCTCGGTTCTTGAGATGCAAGTCTGCCGATGCCCCCAGCCAAATAAAGCCTCTTCCTTCTTTAACCTGTGTCTAAGGGGTTTTGTCTGTGGCTTGTCCTGCTACATTTCTTGGTTCCCTGACCGGGAAGTGAGGTGGTTGATGGACGGTGGAGGCAGCCACTTAGGCAGCTTAGGCTTGCCCTGAAAAGCATCCCTGTGGAGGACTCTGGCTAGCTTGAGTGACGTGGATCCTAAGAGTGCTCCCAGGTAGGTACTTGCCCCGGTGGAACACCTCGTCGGAGCAGTGCACGGCAGACTCCTGCAGAGGATCAACTCAGTGGCTGAACACCCAGAAGGAACTTGTGCTTGGAGTCTGGACATCTGGAATATGGTAGGACCGGTCCTGGGAACTTGCCCACTCCATTTGAGTGGAAGCATGGCCTGATCACCCACGGTGTGCCCTTATTGGCACTTTGGTCTCAGTTTTGATTTGATTTTGATTTGGCTTGGCTTGTTTGAAGAAAGGAGAATGAAAATGAGTGAATACTTGTGATTGACACGAATCTCCTCTTGCAGTGTGAGTATTGTTCTTTTCTTCTTTCTTTTCTTGTCTTGGGAAGGAGATGGTAAAATGCAGAGTAAGCTCACTCCATTAGGAACTGTTTTAAAGAATTTCAAAAAAGGTTTTAATGGAGACTATGGAGTTACTATGACACCAGAGAAACTTAGAACTTTGTGTGAAATAGACTGGCCAGCATTAGGAGTGGGGTGGCCATCAGAAGGAAGCCTAGACAGGTCCCTTGTTTCAAAGGTATAGCACAAGATAACTGGTAAGCCAGGATACCCAGACCAGTTTCCATACATAGACACTTGGTTACAGCTGGTTTTAGACTCCCCACAGTGGTTAAGAGGATAGGCAGCAGCAGTACTAGTGGCAAAGGTACAGATAGCCAAGGAAGAATCCCACTCCACCTGCTGAGGGGAGTCAGCTCCTAAAGTCCTGTCCGACCCAACATCAGAAGATTAATGGCAAGAAACAGCACCAGTGCCCCCCACCCTACTCTTTCACCAAGAAGGAAGCCCTCCCACTCCTGAGCCCACTGCGCCAGAGCTTCCACAAGGCCTACATGCCCCTAGGCCACCCAGAGTAGAAAAGAAAGGATGTGAGCCCTCGGGAGAAACCCCTCCCTTGGCAGCCCATTTGAGGTCTAAAACTGGGATACAAATGCCCCTGAGAGAGCAATGGTATACTGGGGTATATGAGGATGGGCATATGGTGGAAGGGCATGCCTTTGTGTACCAACCCTTCACCTCTGACGATCTTCTCAATTGGAAAAACAATACCCGATCCTATACCAAAAAGCCTCAAGCTATAATTGATTTTCTCTAAACTATTATCCAGACCTATAGCCCTACTTGAGCTGATTGCCACCAGTTGCTCATATACCTCTTTAACACGGATGAAAGGTGAAGGGTGCTCCAAGCAGCCACTAAGTGGCTAGAGGAATATGTTCCAGCTGATTACCAAAATCCCCAAGAGTATGTGATCCAATTACCAGGAACAGACCCCCAGTGGGACCCAAATGAAAGACAGGGTATGCAAAGGCTAAACTGGTACAGGGAAGCCCTCCTGGAAGGGTTAAAGAAGGGAGTTCAGAAGGCCACAAATGTTAAAAAGTCTCTGAGGTTATTCAACAAATGGAAGAGAGTCCAGCACAATTTTATGAGAGACTATGTGAGGCCTATCATATGTATACCCCCTTTGATCCTGAAAGCCCTAAAAAATCAGTGCATGATTAACATGGCTTTACCATGTGCACATGTTTGATGACTTTGCATCATCAAAGTGCAGAAGACATTAGAAGAAAACTACAGAAACAGACTGGATTTGCAGGCATGAATACTTCAGTTATTGGAGATAGCCAACCAGGTGTTTGTGAATAGAGATGCATTAAGCTGCAGAGAGAACCACAGACAGAGCGAATGCCAAGCCCGGCAAAACACCGACCTGCTAGCTGCAGCTATTAGAGGGGTCCCCCGAAAGGGGTGAGAGAAGGGGGACCCCAGGAAAAATACCTGGTCTGGTCGTCCATGCTTGCAGTGTAACCAGTGTGCTTACTGTAAGGAAATAGGACATTGGAAGGACAAGTGCCCCCAGTTGAAAGGGAAACAAGGTGACTCTGAGCAGCAGGCCTCAGACAAGGATGAAGGGGTTTTGTTCAATCTGGAAGATGGGTTACTGGACTGAGGGGGACCGGGATAATGTGCCTCCAAAGAGCCCATGGTCAGGATGACAGTCGGGGGCAAGGATGTTGAGTTTCTTGTCAATACTGGTAACCACTCTGGTCACCCCCTTATCCAAAAAGACTACTGATATAATCGGAGCCACAGGGGTTTCAGCAAAGCAAGCTTTCTGTTTGCCCCGAACCTGCACTGTGGGGGGCATGAGGTAATTCACCAGTTCCTGTACATGTCTGACTGCCCCTTGCCTTTACTGGGAAGGGACCTACTTAGCAAGCTGAGAACCGCTATCTCTTTTACAAAGCATGGCTCTTTACAGCTAAGTTACCTGGAACAGGAGTCATCATGGCCCTTATGGTTCCTCGGGAAGAGGAATGGAGCCTCTTCTTAACTGAGCCAGGCCAAGAGATAGGACCAGCCTGGCTAAGCGGTGGCCAAAGGTGTGGGCAGAAGACAACCCTTCAGGGTTGGCAGTCAACCAAGCCCCTGTACTCATAGAAGTGAAGCCTGGGGCCCAGCCGGTCAGGAAAAAATAGTACCCGGTCCCCAGAGAAGCTCTTGAGGGCATCCATGTCCATCTCAAGAACCTGAAGGCCTTTGGAATTATAGTCCCTTGTCAGTCTCCATGGAACACTCCCCTCCTATCTGTTCCCAAGCCGGGGACCAAGGACTACAGGCTGGCACAGGATTTGCCCATGGTCGATGAAGCTACAGTGATTTTGCATCCAATGGTACCTAACCCGTACACATTGTTGGGGTTACTGGCAGCTAAGACAGCTGGTTCACCTGCTTGGACCTAAAAGATGCTTTCTTTAGCATCAGATTAGCCCCTGAGAGCCAAAAACTGTTTGCCTTTCAGTGGGAGGATCTGGGGTCAGGTGTCACCACTCAGTACACTTGGACCCGGCTCCTCCAAGGGTTCAAGAACTCCCCCACCATCTTTGGAGAGGCAATGGCTCGAGACCTCCAGAAGTTTCCTGCCAGATACCTAGGCTGTGTGCTGCTCCAGTACATTGATGACCTCCTGCTGGGACAACCCACAGCAGTCGGGAGTGCCAAGGGAATGGATACCCTGCTCCAGCACCTGGAGGACTGTGGGTATAAGGTGTCCAAGAAGAAAGCTCAGATCTGCAGATAGCAGGTATGTTACCTGGGATTTGCTATCTGATCAGATAGAGCGCAGCCTGGGATCAGAAAGAAAGCAAGTCATCTGCGACCTGCCAGAGCCTAAGACCAGAGGGTAGGTGAGAGAATTCTTAGGAGCTGTAGGGTTCTGCACTTTGTGGATCCCAAACTTTGTAGTATTGCCTAAGTCCCTGTATGGAGTCACAAAGTGGGGAGATAAGGAACATTTTGAATGGGGGTCCCAACAGCAACGAGCTTTTTATGAGTTAAAAGGAAAACTCATTTCGGCCCCAGCCCTGGGGCTACCTGACCTGACAAAACCTTTTACACTATATGTGTCAGAGAGAGAAAAAATGGCAGTTGCAGTTTTGACCCAGACTGTGGGGCCCTGGCCGAGGCCAGTGGCCTACTTCTCTAAACAACTAGATGGGGTTTCTAAGGGTTGGCCCCCATGTTTGAGGGCCTTGGCAGCAACAGCCCTGCTAGCACGAGAAGTGGATAAGCTAACTCTTGGGCAAAACCTAAACATAAAGGCCCCCCATGCTGTGGTGACTTTAATGAATACCAAAGGACACCATTGGCTAATGAATGCTAGAATAACTAGATACCAAAGTTTGCTCTGTGACAAACCCCATATAACCATTGAAGTTTGCAACACCCTGAACCCCACCACCTTGCTCCTGGTATCAGAGAGCCCAGTTGAACATAACTGTGTAGAGGTGTTGGACTCAGTTTATTCTAGCAGGCCCAACCTCCGAGACCATCCTTGGACATCAGTAGACTGGGAGCTGTATGTGGACGGGAGCAGCTTCATCAACCCACAAGGAGAGAGGTGTGTGGGATATACAGTGGTAACCCTGGACATTGTCACTGAAGCAAATCATTGCCCCAGGGCACTTCAGCCCAGAAGGCTGAACTCATTGCTTCAATTTGGGCCTTAGAGCTAAGTGAAGGTAAGACTGTAAACATTTATACTGACTCTCGGTATGCCTTTTTAACTCTCCAAGTGTATGGGGCATTATACAAGGAAAAAGGCCTATTAAACTCTGGGGGAAAAGACGTAAAGTATCAGCAAGAGATCTTGCAATTATTGGAGGCAGTGTGGAAGCCCCAAAACGTGGCAGTCATGCACTGAAGAGGACACCAGCGAGCTTCCACCTCGATTGCCTTGGGGAACTCCTGAGCTGACTCAAAGGCTCAAAAAGCAGCATCCACCCCCTACCAGGTGTCAGTCCCAGCCCCCCTGCTCCCTCAGGCACCTGACCTTGTGCCTACTTATTCTAAAGAAGAGAAGGACTTTCTCCAGATAGAGGGAGGACAGGTGATAGAAGAGGGATGGATCTGGTTACCAGATGGAATAGCCATGCCACAGCTGCTAGGGGCCACAGTCGTACTGGCTGTACATGAGACCATCCACCTAGGCTAAGTGTCACTTGAAAAGTTGTTAGGCTGGTACTTCTACATCTCACATCTGTCAGCCCTTGCCAAAACAGTGGTGCAGCAGTGTGTCACCTACTGGCAGCACAATGCTAGGCAAGGTCCAAATGTCCTGCCCGGCATACAATCTTATGGAGCAGCCCCCTTTGAAGATCTCCAAGTAGCCCTCACTGAGATGCCCAAATGTGGAGGTAACAAGTATTTGCTAGTTCTAGTGTGTGCATACGCTGGGTGGGTGGAAGTCTATCCAACACAGACCGAGAAAGCTCATGAAGTAACCTGTGTGCTTCTCCGAGATCTCCTTCCTAGGTTTGGACTGCCCTTACAAATCAGCTCAGACAACGGGCTGGGATTTGTGGCTGACTTGGTACAGAAGACAGCAAAGGTATTGGGGATCACATGGAAACTACATACCACCTACCGACTACAAAGTTCCTGAAAGGTGGAGCGGATGAATCAGACTACCAAAAATAGTTTAAGGAAAATGTGTCAAGAAACAGGATTAAAGTGGGTATAAGCTGTCCCTATGGTGTTGTTTAACATTAGATGTAGCTCTTCTAAAATAACAGGATATTCCCCTTATGAAATATTATATCATGGGTCCCTTCCCATACTAAGGGGACTCCCAGGCACTCCTTGAGAGCTAGGTGAAATTGAGTTACAGTGACAGCTACAGACTTCATGGAAAATTACACAAACAATTTCAGCCTAGGTAAATGAGAGGTACCCCATCAGCTTATTCTCCCCAGTTCACCCTTTCTCCTCAGGTGATCAGGTGTGTATCAAGGATTGGAAAGTAGCCCCCTTGTGGCCATGGTGGAAAGGACCCCAGACCATCGTCTTGACCACTCCCACAGCTATAAAGGTAGAGGGAATCCCGGCCTGGATCCACCATAGACGGGTAAAACCTGCAGCACCTGAGACCTGGGAGGCGAGACCAAGCCCAGGCAACCTCTGAAAAGTGACCTCAAGAAAGACGACAAGCACTGCTCCAGTCACACCAGAAAGATGACTGGTCCCTGCACAGCCAAAGCATGAGGAAACTCATCTGGGACTCATTTTCCTTAAATTTTGGACTTGTACAGTAAGGACTTCAACAGACCTTCCTCAGACTGAGGACTGTTCCCAGTGTATACATCAAGTTACTGAGGTAGGGCAAAAGGTTAAAACAGTCTTTCTGTTTTACAATTATGAATACATGGGAACTCTAAAAGGAATTTTTTTATATAATGACACCCAGTATAAGGTATGCAGTCCAGAAGATGGACAACCTAGTGTTTGTTATAACCCATCTGAACCCCCCATGGCCACAGTATTTGAAATAAGGTGGAAGACTGGGAACTGGGGAAAAGCCAATATGAGTAAAGTAATAACTAGAAGAGAAGAAAAAGGAGTCCCTAAACAAATTATCTTAAAATTTGATGTTTGTGCAGCAATCAACAGTGACCCACATGGAAATAGAATAAGATGTGGCTCTCTAGATTGGGAAAGGAGATATATAGTAGAAAATAAGTTTGTTTGTCATGAATTAGGACTGTGTAGTGATGAATATAGTTACTGGTCCTGTATCATTTAGTCCACCTGAAAAGAAGATGAGAAGGACCCTGTCCACCTTTAAAAAGGAAAGAGTAACTCTTCCTGCACTAGTGGTCACTGTAATGCATTAGAACTACTAATTACCAATCCCCTTGATCCCCATTGGAAAACAGGAGAGTATATAACTCTAGGAATCAGTGGAACTGGACTGAATCCCTGAGTAAATATTTCAGTCCAAGCGGAGGTCCAGATGCACTCTCCCAAAACAGTGTTTCAGACCTTTTGTGATAAGCTGAAATCTGCCATCACCAGAGCTTCCAAAAAGGAAAAAGAGATGAAGAACTTCTTTCTCCAGTTAGCAGAAAATGTAGCTCATTCCCTCAATGTTACTTCCTGTTATGTATGTGGGGGAACCACTGTAGGAGACTGATGGCCTTGGGAAGCCTGAGAATTGGTGCCTACTGATCCAGGTCCTGACATAATTCCAATCCAGAAGGCCCAAACTAGCAACTTCTGGGTCTTTAAAACCTTGATTATTGGACAATACTGCATAGCTAGAGAGGGAATGGACTTCACCATCCCTGTAGGAAGGCTCAATTGCCTAGGACAAAAGTTGTATAAGAGCAGGACAGGGACAGTCATCTGGTGGGGTCTCAACCGCACTGAAAATAATCCATTCAATAAATTTCCCAAGTTACAGACTGTTTGGGCCCATCCAGAATCTCACCGACACTGGACAGCTCCCACTGGACTATACTGGATATGTGGGCATAGAGCCTACACCAAATTACCTGACCAATGGGTAGGTAGCTGTGTCATTGGCACCATTAAGCCATCCTTTTTCTTGTTGCCTGTGAACACAGGTGAGCTCCTACGTTTCCCTGTCTATGCCTCCCGAGAAAAGAGAAGCATAGCTATAGGAAATTGAAAAGATTATGAGTGGACCTCCAAAAGGATCATACAGTACTATAGGCCTGCCACATGGGCACAAGACAGCTCAGGGGATACCAAACCCCCATCTACATGCTCAACTGGATCATACGGTTAAGGCTGTCTTAGAAATAATCACTAGTGAAACTGGCAGAGCTTTGACTCATTTGGCCCGGCAGGAAACCCAAATGAGAAATGCCATCGATCAGAAGAGACTGGCCTTAGACTATTTGCTAGCAGCTGAAGGACGAGTCTGTGAAAAATTCAACTTGACCAATTGCTGTCTGCAAATAGATGATCAAGGACAAGTAGTCAAATATATAGTTAGAGACATGACAAAGCTGGCACATGTGCCCATAAGGTTTGCCATAGGTTTGATCCTGGATCCCTGTTTGGAAAATGGTTTCCAGCTCTAGGAGGATTTAAAACTCCTATACTAGGAATAATAATAGTGTTAGGAACCTGCATGTTACTCCCTTGTATATTACCCGTATTTCTGCAGTTACTAAAGAGTTTTTTTACTACCTTGTTTCCTCAAGAGACCTCAGCACAAGTGTATTACATGAATCACTATCAATCTGTCTCACAGGAAGATCTAGATAGTGAGGATGACAGTGAGAACACCCACTAGTGAGTGAGGTTCTCCAAGGGGGGAATGAGGAGCGAGGCCATTTCTCTTACTGTCCCCTGTCTCCAAAGAGATGGAGGAAGTAAAAGCTGAAAAACAACAGACTAACTGGCACCACTGGCCAGGCCTGTAAGTTAGAGATTAACCCCCACCCTAACCACTTGTGCTATATATACATCGCAGACAATGGTATGGAGAAATATTTGCATTGCTTACCCCCACCGCTAACATATGTGGACACAGTCACATACACCATGCTTGCTCAATCTATCATGACCCTGTCACATGGGCCCCTTAGGGTTGTAAGCCTTTAAAAGGACCAGGAACTCTTTCTTCAGGGAGCTCAGTTCTTGAGACACAAGTCTGCTGATGCTCCCAGCTGAATAAAGCCTCTTCCTTCTTTAACCCAGTGTCTGAGGGGTTTTGTCTGTGGCTTGTTCTACTACAATACAATAAGTAAGATGGGAGCAGCTTTAACGGAAAAAAATTAAAAACATAGAACTAGTGAGTTTAGCTAAAGTAACTGTTAGAGGAAATTGTGGAAAATTGATGACATTTGGCTAAAGGATGCAGGAATGTCCACACCTGCATCTATAACAACCTTTCTTCTCATAAACATCTCATTCACTACAAAGAACTACTAGAAAATGAGATCAATGAAACTCAAGGGAGAAAGTGTGATCAGGTTTGAGAAAGTTTCTAACATGGCATTTTCATTAGTAAAGCACTTGTAATTATTATTGTTAAAAACTACAAGTTATGTAATTGTTTTCAGGAACAATATAATCTTATTTACCATATAAACAAAATTGACTGCTTTTCTGAAGCCCAGATCTACCATCTGCCCATCCATTAATCCACCCTTTTATTCAATTAAAAATTATTTATTGATTTCCTTCTCTGTGCTTGGTCCTGTGCTAGATCTTCAGTATACAATAATGAATAGAATTTCTACACAGTGAATTTATAATATGACCAGGGAAGCAAATCATAAACTGATAATTATAGAAATAAATGTTTAATAAATTAGACCTTTGGGAGTAGGTCTTAGAATGACTTGATGGGAGCTCAAAGCTTAGTCTTTTCTGTCTCCATAAAGAATCCATCCTCTGGATGAATTACCACTTCTATCATTAATTTCATTATGTATAGTAATGTTCTTGCTTTAAAGTCTACTTTTTATACTACTGATCTGTTCCTGTTATCTTTCTGTGAGTGCTACAATCTGTATGTATTTTTAAATGAGTAATTTAGGGTGTATCTCCTATAAGTAGCATATAACTGAATATATTCTAAAATCAGTCTGGTAATCTAGTTTTTAATTGGAATATATATTCTATTTAAATTTAATGTAATTACTTATGTATTTGGTTTTAATCATACCATCTTGATATTTGTTTTCTTTTTATTTCACCTATTGTATTCCCTTTCTTCTCCTTCTCACCTTTTTTTGAATCAATTAGTATTTTTCTAATCATTATTCAAATTTCACACTCTATTAGCTTGCAAATTGTACATTTTTTATTTTTCATTTGTTATTCTAGAGATAATAAGATGAATCCATGGCTTGTTAAAGTCTGGTATAAATGGAAATGTTCACCACTTTCCAGGCAGTCCAAAGACCTAAGAACACAATTCCCTTTACTCTTCTTACCTTTTGTGTTATTTTGTATTTCACTTATATTCTGATTCAAAAAACTGATTTCATGGAATCAGTATTTCTGATTTTGTATGTGTATAAGAACATTATTTATTGACTGAACCACTCTGACCTGACTCAGTAGGTGAATCCGCTGGAGTCCAGTGCTCAGAAGTGTTCCTGAGAGCACTGACTCAAACATTCCTTCCTCATGGCTTCTTCTTTTTCTGTGTTATAAACCATTCATTCATTCATTCATTTAGGATTCAGTAGGTATATGTGCAGATTTGTTACATGATATATTGTGTTGTGCTGAAGTTTGGGGTATAGATGGTCTTGGTACCCAGGTAGTAAGCAAAGTACCCAATAGGTAGTTTTTCAGTCCATGCCCTGCTCCCTCTCTTCTCTCTCTAGCAGTCCTCAGTGTCTCTTGTTCTCATCTTTACATCCATGTGTATTCAATGTTTACCTTCCACTTATAAGTGAGAACTTGCAGTATTTGGCTTTCTGTTCCTGCATTAATTCGCTTAGAATAATGGCCTCCATCTGCATCCATGTTGCTGCAAAGGACATTATTTTGTTCTTTTTTTATGGCTGTGTAGTATTCCATGGTACCACATTTTCTTTATCCAGTCCACCACTGATGGGCACGTATGCTGAGTCCATGTCTTTGCTGTTGCGAACAGTATTGTGGGGAACATGTGAGTGCATGTGTCTTTATGGTGGAATAATCCATTTTCTTTTGAATATATACCCAGGAACGAGATTGCTGGGTTGAACGATAGTTCTAAGTTTTTTGAGAAATCTCCAAACTGATTTCCACAGTGGCTGAACTAATTTACATTCCAACCAACAGTGTATAAGGACTCCCTTTTTTTTCCCACAGCCTCTCCAGTGTCTGTTATTTTTTGACTTTTAAATAATAGCCATTCTGACTGGTATGAGATGGTATCTCATTACGGTTTTGATTTGCATTTATCTGATGATTAGTGATGTTGAGCATTTCTTCACTCTTGTACATCTTTATCTGTTCATATTCTTTGGGCATTTTTAATTGGATTATTTATTTTTTGCTCGTTGATTTAAGTTCTTTGTAGATTCTGGATATTAGACTTTTGTTGGACCAATAGTTTGTAAATATTTTGTCCCATTCTATTGGTTACCTGTTATACTCTTTTGATTATTTCTTTTGCTGTGCAGAAGCTCTTTAGTTTGATTAGGTACCACTTGTCAATTTTTGTTTTTGTTGCAATTGCTTTTGGGGACTTAGCCATAAATTCTTTGCCAAAGACAATGCTGAGAAGGATATTTCTTAGGTTTTCTTCTAGCATTTTTATAGTTTGAGGTCTTACATTTAAATCTTTAATCTATCTTGAGTTAATTTTTATATATGGTAAAATGTAGGGGTCTAGTTTCCTTCTTCTATATATGACTAGCCAGCTATCCCAGTACCATTTATGGAAATAATCCTTTCCCCAGTGCCTATTTTTGTTGAATTTATGGAAGATCAGATAGTTGCAGGTATGCAGTCTTATTTCTGGGTTCTTCTCTATTCTGTTCTATTGGTCTTTGTCCATCTTTGTAATAGTGCCATGCTGTTTTGGTTACTGTAGCCTTGTAGTATAATTTGAAGTTGGGTAATATGATTCTTCTGGCTTTGTTCTCTTAGCTTAGGATTGCTTTGGCTATTTGGGCTCTCATTTCATTCCATATGAATTTTAGAATAGTGTTTTCCACTTCTGCAACAATTGATGTTGATATTTTGATAGGGATAGCATTGAATGTGTAAATTGCTTTGGTCAGTATGGCCATTTTAATAATATTGATTCTTCTAATCCATGAGTATGGAGTATTTTTCCATTTATTTGTGTCATTGCTGATTTCATTTAGCAGTGTTTTATAGTTTTCCTTGTAGATAGCATTCACCTCTTTGGTTAGATGTATTCCTAGATATTTCCATTTTTTGTGATCATAAATGGGATTGTGTTGTGTGTGTGTGTGTGTGTGTATGGTGTGTGTGTGTGTTTTGAGAAAGGGTCTCACTCTGCTACCCAGGCTGGAGTGCAGTGGTGTGATCATAGCTCATTGCAGCCTTCAACTCCTGGGCTCAATGGATCCTCCTGCCTCAGCCTTTTAAGTAGCTGGGAATACAGGTGCATGCCACCACACCTTGCTAATTATTATTATTATTATTTAGAGATGGAGTCTGGCTATATTGCCCAAGCTGGTCTTGAACTCCTGGCCTCAAGTGATCCTCCTCTTTTGGCCTCCTAAAGTGCTGGGAATACAGGCATGAGCCGTTCTGCCTGGTTGGGATTATGTTCTTGATTTGACACTTAGCAAAAACATTATTGGTATATAGAAGTACTACTGATTTTTGTACATTTATTTTGTATGCTAAAACTTTACTAAAGTCATTCCTATATATTGATTCTCATATTTTCTCTTCCAGTTTCTCTTCATTTTTCCTGATTTTCCATGTTTCCATCTGGGAGCATTTTCCTCCAGCCTAAATTACTTACTTTCATAGTTCTTTTAGTATAAATCTACGGGTAAAAAACATCCCCTGGTTTGGGTTTTGGTTGTTTGAAAACTCTTTTTTATTTTGTATTCATGAGGGATATTTTTACTGGGTATAGAATTCTATGTTGGCAGTTATTCTGCCACCCCCATTGTTTTTAATATTACTTTTCATTGCCTTCTGTCTTCCATTTTATTGTTTTATTTTTTCCTTTTGCTGCTTATGAGTTTTTTATTTTTATTTTTTTTATTTTTAGAGATGAGCTCTTGCTATATTGCCCAGGCTGGACTCGACTCTCAGCTTCTAGCCTCAAATGAGCCTCTCCTACCTCAGCCTCCTCAGTAGCTGGGACTGGCTCATGGCACCACGCCTAGCTGAGATTTTTTTCTTTTGTCTTTGGTCCCTAAAATTTCTACTATGATAGAGCTAAATGTTGCTTTCCTTGTAATTGATCTGCTTGGGAATATAGAGAGCTTTGTGTTTTATTGGTGTGATTTTTTAAAAATATCAGTTTCATAAATATCTTGGTCAATATACTATTTTTCTCCCTCCTTTTCTCTCCAATTACCTATATATCATCCTTTTCACAGTATTCTATGTCTCTTATATCCTTGCTTTTTTCTCTGGTGCTTCTCTTGTTCTATTTACTCATTGTTTCTGCAGTTATGTCCAATATATTTTAAATCCATCTATTAAGTTGTAAATTTTTTATTTTTTTCAGATCTAGAGATTTCATTTGACTTCTTATAGATTCCAGTTTCAGATGAAATTTTCCATCTTGTCTGTTATTATCTTGAACATATTATAAATAGTTATTTTATATTTTGTACTTGCTAACTATAATATCTGGATAATTGAATAATTTGTATTGGGTATTTTCTGACCTTGTTTGCAGTCATTTGATACCTTCTCCTAGCATACCTAATAATTTTTGACTGAATGCCAGACATCATTATAAAGAAGTATATAAATATTTTTAGGATCTGTCTCAGATTGCCATTCTTAAGAGAAGATTTACTTTTGTTTGGGGACAGGCAATTAGAGTTTAGGTCTGAGTTGTTTCTAGTTTGGATTTTAGAATTTTGTGACACTAGATCTAGTTTTGGTTGTCTTATTCCTAAAATATAGTCCTTCTTGGTCTAAACTCGTAGTCTGAAATGTTCACCAAGCACCCTCCAACTTGTGAGTCCTGAAGTATATTTTTGTTACTCCATCCCCATGAGACTGCTAAAAGTTCTGCTAAGTTTCCTAACCTCTTATCCACTGATTTCCCCTTGGGTTCTCTTTTGTCCTGGATACTTGACAAATGCCTTGAGGGGAAAAACACTCATCTCAATAGTCTTCTCACTGGTGTCTCAAAACTTCAAGTCCTGGTTGCTGTAGGAACGTCACAAAGCCTTCAAACACAAGTTTTAAAAATTGTCCAGCTATTCTAGTTTTTGTCAAATGGAGAGTTGGTTTGTAACCAACTCTTCCATTAGCAGAAGGAAAAAACCCATCATTACTTTACTTTCATTTTTCTAAATTTCCATATTTATTTAAGCTTCACTGACAGGTTAGAATCATATGCATTTTTATCCTACCTTTTATTTTCCACTTTGTGTTATTTCCTTTAAGAGGAGTCAGAATTTCTATGGTGCTTTGTTTCATCAGGATTTATCATTCATTAATCTGTTGGAAACAATGTTTGTCAGTCTTTATTCAGCTCCTTCGTAGGCAGCTTTTTGATAATCACCATAGTGAAATATTTCCTTGAACTGAATAATAGTGCTGATTCTAGCTTTCACATGGATATCTCTTATGCAAAGTCATTTGATAGCTATTTCTGTTTCTCTTGACTCTAAGGTGCCTTTTGCCTGGACTACTGTAGCTATACTTTTGTTCCCACCCAAGCATATAATAGCAGAGGATGGAAGGCCATTTTTGACAAATACCTAATTTTACCTACTGGCAGGACAGTTTTCCATAGTGCAGCTGAAACAACTGAAAAACAAATAAATTGCCCAATAGGAAAAATAAAAAATGAATTTTAGCCATTTCTGTGGTGTTTGCCTCTCTAGATCCTCCAGAGAGTTTCTCTGGTGACTTGAAAAGAGATGAAATGAATCCTAGATATTGCTGGTGTTCTGTGAGACAAGAAAGTGGTTACAAGATACTCCTTGTTCTAAGAATAGCATTCAGGAAAGAGACTGTATTCTGTGTAGTTTGACCAACCCAGCTTGACAGCACATTACATAGTGTCTTTGACAGCACCAAGGATTGGAAAATGGAATTGCAAGCATTAGGCATCGAGTTATGTTTTAACATTTAGTTATAAAGGCCATGTCATGCCCTCAGAGATGCAGCAGGAGTATTAGGCCTGACATTTTGAATTTCAAATGCAAATTGGAAAGTCCAATCCAAACTAGGAAAGGACAATTCATGTCGATTGACCAAGTTCAGTATTCAGAAATGTCTCATGGGTTAGGCCTATCAAATCTCCCACAGGTTCTTGTTTTACTATAGAGTAAACTGTCACCCACAAAAATGAAGAAAAAATTCAATTAATTCATCTGAGCAATATCTGAAGAGTGCTACTTGAATATCTTATTTGCCAGAGGTTACTGATGAGATCTATCCACATGACACAAGCAAATTATGCTACACTAATACAGTTTGCTTCACAATGAAATTATTTCACAGATGTTTTCTTTTCCTTGCTTAAATTAATGATATTCAAAACCTTCCAGTAATGCTACCCATCTTAAATAGATTTATTTTTTTCAAAGCCCCTAACCTGTTATCACTATGTTTCACAGTAGTTAAGTAATTTGCCCAAAATCATATTTTGAGGAAGTAATAAAGTTGAGGCTAGTGCTTGGTTGTCTGGTTTCCATTTTATTGCTTTTGCCCCTACTTCAGCACACTGTACAATTGCACACCATGTACAAAATAGTTATAATGAAAAATGGAGAAAATACATAGTTTAGTTGAAACATGAGTCCATTCTTTTCTGTTTAATAAGACAAGTGTGTGGATAGGAAGTAAGGATTGGCCAATAGAAGCATGGCTTTACCAGGAGACCAAAGCCCCTAGAAACTTGCTATGTCCTTAGTGATCTCTCTAAGGCTCCAAATTGATAAAGTTCCTTTTCTATTTAAAACCCTTTAATGGCTCCTCATTGCCTAGGATAAAGTCCAACTTCTGTTGCACAGCTCACAACTGCTTGCCCACCTCTTTTCTCTTTTTATGGTTCATTGAATGTTTCATGCCTTCTTCATCACTGGATCTGCAACTTTGCTGTCCCCCTCTACCTATAAAACTCTCCTTCCTTCTTGCCCTTTGCCCAAATTCCTTCTCATTCATATGGATTCAGCTGTTGCTACACCCTCTAAGAAGTAGTTTGTTTGAGAGACCGAGGTGGGAGGATCACTTGAGTCCAGGAGTTAGAAACCACCCTGGGCAACATAGCAAGGTACTACATATATATACATATATATATATATATATATACACACACATATATATGTATATATATATACATATATATGTAGAGTGTGTGTGTGTGTGTGCATGTGTGTGTGTCACAGATCTAAATTAGATTCATCTCCTGTGTTTTCAGGTACCCAGTACTTGTCTTATCACAGACATCAAAATAGGCATTGTAGTTATCTATTTGTTGATTTTAATTATCCATTATTCTCTATGGACTATGTGTGTAGAATCTCTGTCTATCTCATTCTTCATTTTATTCTGCATTTAGCACCCTACTTTGCATATAAGAGCACTCTATGTATCTAAAGAATGAAGGAATAAGAACATTCTAACACTTTGAGAAAGGCTTTCAATGGGCAAAGATCTTCACAGGGACAAATGCCACTTTGATTTATGATTTATAAGGTACCAGCTATATTCTATATATTATCTCTCACTCAGTGCTATTTTTATGGAAAAACTTTTAAAAAACAAACTCTTGTGATGGATTGGCTTAGCATTCACCAATATTTAATGCTCCTCCCTGAGGGTATATATTCTCTCCTGTTGAAGTCAGATACGGTCATGGGGCTCCCTTTACCAATGAAATGAAAGCAGAAATGACAAGTGTGACTTCCACATAGTAGATCCATAAACTAGCTCACGGTGGTTTGCCATGTAACTGATGATTGATGGGTTTCAAGAAGGCCTTTTGTTGGCCTCAGACACTGTCAAACAGAGCCCCAACTAATGTGGGCTGGGCATGTAGCATAAGAGATAAATAGAAGTTTTTGTGACTATAAAACATTGAGATTTTCTTGTGTGTGTTATCACAGCATACTCTAGTTCTGACTAACAGAGATCCGTGCAACCTAGTTTAAGGTAAGGGGAGTGTCATGAAAATATTCAACAAGGAATCTTAGGCACATCCTAGATTAGAATAAGGAACAGTTAGGCTTCCCTAGAACAGGAAGCTAAACAATCAGAAACCAGGGCTATTTTATTAATATCCTAGGAGCTGCATAGCCTCTCACATCTCTGCATCTCTCTGCTTACTCATGACTTTTTCTTTCTCCCTCAATAAATGTTATATACTGAGTCATCATACCCATGGCCCAGTGGGGATGATCCCAGCCTTGGTTTGATCTTCCAGCTCAGAACCTTACCAACTACCACCTCTCTCTGGTCTCTTGATTTACATTATTGGGAGAAATAGTAATAATTCTAGGGCCTCTTTTGAACTAGGTCACAAACTACATGTCACTGGCTAGTCAGTGTTGGTTACTGGTTTACAGTTTGCCAAATCAGTTGTGCCTCTGTGGGAGTGTGCTGAGGAGAGTGGTAGTAGTTTAGTAACAAGACATGTGGTATAAAACTTAGCTGTTTGGGACAGCAAAGACTATGTGATAGGATCCAGTGTCTTAAAAAGGTTTATAGACAGAACACATATCTTAAAATGTGTTGATTTGCCACACTGGTTTTATGAAAGAAGTATTATTAGTAGTATTATATCATCATCATTATTACCAAATTAAATTTGTGAAACCAAAATCAGCAAAATAACTTGGCTGAAATTACATGCTAATAAGTGTAAGATAGAGTGAATTTAAAATTTAAGCCTTGGTATGTTTAGCTGACTCCATATTTCATGCTCTGCAATATACTAAGTCATCTCAGAGATTTGAACTGTCCCCATCAGCAAAGAAAGTAGGAATAACTTCATAGTGAAAATAAAATAAAAATTATTTGAAGATGTCACAGACAAGCTGTTTATTGTGAAGGGAGTAGTTTCTCCATCCCCATGTTTACTATGGCACTCTTCACAGTAGCTAAGATACAGATGCAGCTTTAGTGTCCAACAGCAAATGAATGCATAAGGAAAATGTGGTATATATAAATAATAGAATACTATTCAGCCATGAAAAAGAATAAAATCTTGTCATTCAAGGCAACATGTATGGAACTGGAAGACATTATGTTAAGTGAAATAATCCAGGAACAGAAAGTTAACCACCATATGTTCTCAGTTATATGTGGAAGCAAGCTAAAAAGAAAAAAAAAAGTTGATCTCAGAAGTAAAAAGTAGGACAGAGAATGCTAGAGGCTGGGAAGGGTAGGGTGAAGGGAGAGACAGAGATTTGTTAAAGGCTACAAAATTACAGCTAGATAGGAGGAAAATGTTCTAGTGATGTAGAGTAGCAGTCCTCAACCTTTTTGGCACCAGGGGCTGGTTAGGGAAAGACAATTTTTCCACGGTGGGGAAAGGGGTATGGTTTTGTGATAAAACTGTTCTATCTCAGATCATCAAGCAATAGTTAGATTCTCAGAAGACGTGTACAGCCTAGATCCCTTGCATGCACAGTTCACAATAGGGTTTGTGTTCCTGTGAGAATCTAATGCCCCCCTGTGATCTGACAGGAGGGAGAACTCAGATGATAATGCTCGCTTGTCCCCTGCTCACCTGCTGTGCAGCCTGGTTCCTAAAAGGCACTACCGGTCTGTGGCCCAGGGGCTGGAGACCCCTGTTATATAGCACTATAGGATGACTATCGTTAAAAATAATATATGATATGTAGTTTCAATAGCTAGAAGATGGAGAATTGTGAATGTTTCCAACACAAATAAATAAATGTATGAGATGATGGATATGTCAATTTCCCTGATCTGATCACTATACATTGTATATATTTAAACATCATTGTGCACCCCATGAATAGGTGCAATGATTATTTGTCAATTTAAAAATTAAAAAAGAGAAGTGGGATGGTTGGTGCATTCTGAAAGGGAAGAAGGGTTTCAGAGTCCCAAAAACATTTCCTTCCAATCCATTTTTTCCAAATTTTTTTGTGAACAAAATTTTGAATGTACAGAATTTTAGATTATAAGCCATATATTCAGCGCCTAGATTCTAAAATTTATATTTTGCTATATTTGCCTTAATATCTACATATTCATCTATCAATCCATCTTATTTTTGATGCATTTATAAGTGAGTTGTATGTATTGCTGTGTTTTCTTTTCAGCATGTCCTTTCCTTTCAGTATGAACTACAGTTTCATATTTGTTTTATTTAGAAAAAATATATATAAAGTGAAATGCACAAATTTAAGTGTCCTGTTTGATAAGTTTTCACTAATGCATAAACCTCCATAGCCCAGCCCCTTCACAAGAACATTACCATCACACAGAAAATTTCCACCTTCTCTTTCCCAGGCTGTCCTCACTCTCAACATCCCCTCCAGCCAACTGCTGTTCTGATTTTCCCTCCAGAAACTGACTTCACCAATTCTAGAACTTCATACAAATGGATCACACGGTATGTATTCTGATCTGCAGGCTTTTTACACTTTCGTGTTTTTGAAATGCAGCCATGTCGGTGTTTGTATCAATGGTTTCTTTTTACTGAGCAAGCTTATAAGCACTAAATAAGATAAATGCCTTCATTTTATGCTTCTTCTATGTATCAGTGATGCAATCTTGAAAAATAACTAGCTTGAATGTGTAGGTATTTTATGTGGAGTATGGGGAGAACGTGATGTGGAGTGGGTATCTGGTCTACGTGCAGAGTTGTCACATTCCACTGTATCAATATACCACAGTTTATCCATTCTTCTATTCATCGACAACTGGGCTTTCCCATTGTCCGTTACTATAAATTAACCTCTTATCAACATTCTTCTTCAACTGTTTTTGTGAATATATGTTTTCATTTTTCTTGAGTAAATACCTAGGAGTGAAATGATTGAGTCATTGGGTGGGTGGATGTTTAATTTTATAAGAAATTGCCAGACCTTTTCCCAAAGTGATTGTGTTGCCATTTCAAACTCTCACCAATGATATATAAAAGTTGTTTCTTTCTGCATCTTTACTAACATTTGATGTTTTCAGTCTCTTTAATTTTAGCTTTCTTGGTGGGTGTGTAGTGCTGTCTCATTGTGGTTTCAATCTGCATTTCTCTGATGACTAACGATGATGAGGACTTTTTTCATGTGCTTCTTGGCCACTTGCATAGCGTCCTTTGTCAAGTATTTATTCAAATATTTTGCCCATTTTTAAATATGTGGTTTGTGTTTTGGTTATTGAATTGTAGGAGTTCTTTATGTGTCCTGGATATTGAATATTTGTCAGATATATATTTTGTGACTATCTTCTCCCAGTCTGTGGGGGTACTTATTCATTTTCTAAATTATGTCTGTCAGTAAAAGATTTTACATTTTAGTAAACTCTTATTTGTTATTTTTTTTCTTTTATGGTCATTGCTTTCTGTGTTCTAAGAAACCTTTGATTTCTTCAAGTTGTAAAGATATTCACCTATATTTTCTTCAAGAAGCTTTACAGTTTTAGCTTTTATGTTTAGGTCTGGGATCTATCTCAAATTGGTTATAGTGGATGGTGTGAATAGTGAGTCACTTTTTTCCATGTGACTATCCAGTTTTTGCAGCATCGTTTGTTGAAAAGGCTTTCCTTTATCTGTTAGATTGCTTTGGCTCCTCTGTGAAAAATCAATAGTCCTTCATAGATGGGTCTGTTGCTGAGCTGTGTTCTCTTCCACTGATTTATCTGTTGATTCTTAAGCCACCGTTATACCATCTTGACTACTGTAGTTTCATAATAAGTCTTCAAGCCAAGTGGTTTGAGTCCTGTGTTTTTGTTTTGTTATTCAAGATTGATTGAGATATTATAAATCCCATTTCATCCTTTGTAGGCCGAATATTAGCCCCCAAAGATATCCACCTCCTAGTCTCTGGAGCCTGTAAATTTTACCTTATTTAGAAAAAGGGTCTTTGTGATTAAATTTGGGATTTTGAGATGGGACAATGATTCCAGAGTCCCCAGGTGGGCTCTAATTCCGTCACTTCCTCTAATTCGATCTCTTACTCTTTTTTTTTTTTTTTTTTGAGATGGAGTCTCGTCCTGTCACCCAGGCTGGAGTGCAGTGGTACAATCTTGGTTCACTGCAAGCTCTGCCTCCTGGGTTCACGCCATTCTCCTGCCTCAGCCTCCCAAGTAGCTGGGACTACAGGTGTGTTCCACCATGCCCGGCTAATTTATTATATTTTTTAGTAGAGACGGGGTTTCACCATGTTAGCCAGGATGGTCTCAATCTCTTGAACTCGTGATCCACCCTCCTAGGCCTCCCAAAGTTCTGGGATTAGAGGCGTGAGGCACCGTAGCCTGCCACATATTTTTATAAGAAGGAAGTAGGGGGGGATTTGACATACAGAGAAGAAGGCCATATGAAGACACTGGCAGAGATAGGAGTGATATGGTCACAAACCAAGGAACACTAGCATTTGTCAAAAGCTAGAAAGGCAAAGAAAAGATTATTCCCTGCCTACTAAAGAGAGTATAGCCCTGTCAAACCTTAGTTTCAGCCCAGTACTACTAATTTTGGACCTCTGTTCTTTGGACTTTGAGAGAAGAAAATTCTGTTGTTTTAAGTCATCTAGATTATAAATTTTTTTATTAATAGCCACAGAAAACCAATACACATCTCCCTTCCCTCTCTTAACTATATGATACATTGACAAGTAGCATGTAAAGTACTACTTAGATAGACAGACTTCAGTAAAATAAATTCTTATTAGAAGACATTGTTTATAGTGGAATACATGCAAACTTTGATGTCAGACCAGTAGTTTTCAATTATGCCTAGGCATTAGTCTCCTAGGCAACAATTAACAAATCTCTGTGCCTGGTGCCCATCTTTAAAGACTAAATAGTTTAGTGGGGTCTGGCACAAACATTTTCTTTAAAGCACTCAAGGCCTTTGCTCCTCAAAGTATGTCCTGTGACCACCAGCAGCACTGGCATCATCGGTGACTTTGTTAGAAATGCAGAATTTGGGGCCCTACCCTAGAGCATAAATCTGCATTTCACCAAGATTCTCAGTGAAATGTGTATACAGGAAATATTAACAAACCCTGATATGGGTGACTCCAATGAGCAGCAAGGGTTGAGAAGCACTAATTTAGATAAGTAGTTTCATTTTATATCTCTTCCACTTATCAAGAGGATGCTCCTGACCAATAACTTATTTAAATCTTAGAATTTTAATCTGTGGTATAGAAAGAGCAATACCTACTTTGCAGCGTTGTTATAAGGGCCAGATGTGATAATTAATGGAGCGGGACCCTGGCATAGATACCTATTTCCATAAGCAAATGCATGTCGATATGGGCACACAAGCAGTGACGTCCAAATTAATAGCTCCCTAAACTAAGCTGCCCTAGGGTTCTCTTATGTTATCACCCAATTCTGTAGAGAATGCAAAGAAAATAATCTGTTACAGTCTAGAGACCATAGATGGAGCAGAGTTTGAGGTAGGTTAGATGAGGCTGAATTAAGACCTAGACCACCATAAGTCTGAATCTGAGTTGCATGCAGAGGAAGAAAATAAAGTTTTGAGTCAGTCTTGAGGCTAAAGAGAACGGAGAAAAGCACATTTCTTTGTTATTTACAGTTTAGATTTACTGAGCTGGAAAAGAACAATAAGGTAGGACCATTGATTCAGAGATGCCAGGAATTCGTAGAAAGAATAAAAGGTGACCAAGTGATTTGGCCATAGGATTTACTGGAAATCAGCAAACATTGATTGGACAAATAGTAACTATCACCCTGAGCACAAGTTCTTTGCTAATAAACTATGGTAGAGAGGAAATAAGATGCAAAAAGAGTGGGCCAAAGGTAGCATGTTTGAGTTTGTGAGAGAAATGGAAGGAAACAAATAGATCACAAATTCCAAAAACTCAAAGTTTAAAGAAGAGAAAGATACGTTGCTCAGCAGCAAAATTCAGAAGGAAAACAAAACTACCTGTATTAGTCATGGTTTTCTAGAGGGACAGAACTAATAGGATAGATGTATATATAAAGGGCAGTGTATTAAGGAGTTTTTACTCACACAATCACAAGGTCCAACAATAAGCTGTCTGCAAGCTGAGGAGCAAGGAAGCCAGTCTGAGTCCCAAAGCTGAAGAACTTGAAGTCCAATATTTGAGGGCAGGAAGCATCCAGCATGGGAGAATGATGTAGGCTGGGAGGCTAAGCCAGTCTAGTGTTTCCAAGTTCTTCTGCCTGCTTTTATTCTGGCCATGCTGGCAGCTGATTTGAATCATGCCCTCCCAGAATAAGGGTGAGTCTGCCTTCTCCAGTCCACTGACTCAAATGTTAATCTCCTTTTGCAACACCCTCACAGACACAACCAAGAACAATAGTTTGCATCCTTTAACCCAATCTAGTTGACACTCAGTATTAACCTTCACACTACCCTCTCAGCATTTCCATAGCAAATGAATGCTCAACAGGGCACACAAGCAACACCACCACATTCAGGACTCTCCAAAGCGAATCACTATAAAATTCTCTGGAATTATGACCCTCTGCCTTCTCCAGTCCACTGATTCAAATGTTAATCTCCTTTGGCAACACCCTCACAGACACAACCAAGAACAATACTTTGCATCCTTCAATCCAATCTAGTTGACACTCAGTATTAACCTTCACACTACCCTCTCAGCATTTCCATAGGAAATGAATGCTCAACAGGGCACAGAAGCAACACCACCACATTCAGGACTCTCCAAAGAGAATCACTATAAAATTCTCTGGAATTATGACGCAACCCTGTATCATGCCATCACCCTCCAGGCCTGCAGAACTCACATTTGAGCCTTCAGAATTGAGCCAAAGTCCTTCCAATAACTAGTACCTCTTACCTAACCTCCTTGTTGAGTCATCAATTACACATTCTTTATAGATGTGTGTTTTTCTTTTTTTACTTTTTTAAAAGCTTTTTAAAAATAAAGGCTCAATGAAGGCAGGGGAAGCCTCTTTCACAAATAGAAAGCCCCATTTCTAGAAGACAGAAAGTTAACACCATTTACATTATACCCTAAACATTATGAATAATGTTCTTGGTTTATTTTCTACTCCAGCTTCTTAAGTGTATCATCATAGTGGTATAGTTACAATGTCCTGAATGCTGCAGGCACCTTCTCAAAAGTGCCACCTGATAAATGCATTATTTCTACCAGATGTGCCTTTTTCTCATCAGCAGTTATGGATACTATTTTTAGCCTGGGCTGAGTTTTATCTTTCCACAGCATGGCTGTTGCTTCAGTTCCTTTCATTATACTTTGCTTCCATTTGTTTAAAAAAATAAGACTTATTTCAAAAAATTTCCAAGGATCCCTTTAGCAAATCCCAGTGCTATTTCTTCTAGTCACCTAAACAGAACAGGCCAAAGAGTGTAGCCTTTAGACATTCTCTTAAAGGTTAGTGTTTGATTTTGAGAAAACAATATGAACTGTAATGATTTAAAGTTAAAAAAAATCCAAACCTTCTAATTATTACATATTTTTATTTTATAAAGAAAGGAATAAGTGATACATAAGGAATAAGTGATACATAAGCAATGTGAAAATACTTAGTTTTTAGTATAAACAAAATTTATATTCTACAACAAATGTATGCTAATTTTTAAATAATGCTTTCGTTTTGTCCCATCCAAGTAAGAAATTGTAAATAAAAAAGAATAAATGCAAATATACAATTTTTTTTCCTTTTCCTCTCCAAACTCACCCCCCAAACTTTCCTACCCTATTTGTACTTGAGCTCTGGCTATTAGGGACTCTACTGGGAGACTTTCTTGTCTTCCAACTTGCAGCTAGGCTTTGCTAAGGGGAAGAATTTGCAGGATAGATGGGGGCAAGAGGAGGCTGAGGTCTGGCTCCTTCCCTACTGGACCAGGCTCTTTCCCTGCTTCCCTACTGGTCACCTTTGATTGACTGCATGTTTCTACTGAAGGCTACAACTTCTGTTGGGCAGCTTGATTTTATAGTGACTCTTTTCACATTCTGGCATCTGATACCTTCCCTTGATCCTTTAGGTATAAGAATAACAATTCCCACTGTGCCTGGCCCTGGGTATTGCACCACCCTGACTGGCACCCTTCAATCCTACACATATTTATAAAAAGCCCCTATTTCAAATTTATCTAAGTTTCCCTATTTGATTTTTTTCCATTTATTTCCTGCTTGAGGCCCTGATTGATTCAGAAGCATTTAGCTTTATTCATTCATTAGTTCATTTACTCATTCATTCATTCCTGTATTGATTCATTTATTCAGAAAATGTTGAATATCTACTATGTGCTATAAGCTATTCTGGGCCTTAGGAATACAAACACTGAACAAATAAGAAATCTCTCCCCTTATGAAACCTAGGTCTACTTAGGGAAGACAGATAACACAAAACAAGTAGTTACACTATAGTATGTTAGAAAAAGGAAAGTGCTATGAAGGTAGAAGAAAGAGGGAAAGAGGGATAGGAAGCATGAGTGAAGGAAGGGGCACAATATGGCTAGGGAAGGTCCCACTGAGAAAGTGACACTTGGATAACAATCTGTAGGAGATGAGAAAAAAAAGCAGCTCTCCAGAAGGAAGCATTACAGGCTGAGGAAATAGCAACTGCAAAGGCCTGAAGGCAGGGAAGTGCCTGGATGCTTGAGGGCAGTATGGTTAAAATGAAATGAGGGGAGGTGAGTTCTGGGTAATGAGTTCAGAGAGCTGACGGGATGCAGGATGTATAGGGCAGATAGGCCATTATATGGGCATTGACTTCTACCCTGAGTGGGTCAGGGAGCCATTGGAATGTACCCAGCAGATGAGTAACATGAGGAAGCTTCTGTTTTGGCAGGATTACCCTGGATGTTGTATTAAGAACAGAATGTAAAGAAGTGGAACTATCTCAGGGAGAATTATTAGTAGGCCACTGCAATAACAAAGTGAAGGGAAATGGTGACTTAGAGCAGGAAGATGGCTGAGGGGATGAGACATGGCCAGCTTTTGGATACACCTTGAAAAAAATCACTTGATAGATGTACTGAGGGATTGGATGTAGTATGTGAATGACTACATTCTTGAATAACTCCAGGGCTTATAGATTGAGAAAATGGAAAGATAAAGTGGCCACTAACTGAGATAGGAAGGACTTTTTTAGAAGGAGAAGGTTTGGGATGAAGGACTGGATTTTAGGTTTGAACATAATAAGTTTGAGATGTCTTTTAGACATTCCAGTATAGATGTCACAAAAAATATTTATGTCTGGAGTTTAGAGGAAAGCTCTGGGTAAAAAATGTAAACATGGTAGCTATTAGCTTTTATATTGTTGTTACGAGCATAAGGCTGCATGAGTTTATCAAGGGAGGGAAGCCTCAACAGAGCAGAGGACTGATCCTAAGGTGCTCCAACAATAAGCCATCATGATGATGAGGTGAGTGTTGGTAGAGAAGACCAAGAAAGAGTGTCCAGTGAGGTCGAAGGATATCCAGGACAGTATTAAATCCTAGAAGTTAAGTGAATACAGTGCTTCACAAAAGAGGGAGTGATTATATTAAATGATCCTGAACAAGATGAGGATTTAGAATTGTCTGGTGGATTGCCAGGCACAGTGGCTCACGCCTGTAATCCCAGCACTTTGGGAGGCTGAGGCAGGCAGATCAAGAGGTCAGGAGATCAAGACCATCCTAGCTAATATGGTGAAACCCCGTCTCTACTAAAAATACAAAAAATTAGCTGGGTGTAGTGGCACATGCCTGTATTCCCAGCTACTCGGGAGGCTGAGGCAGGAGAATCACTGGAACCCTGGAGGCAGAGGTTGCAGTGAGCTGAGATTGTGCCACTGCACTCCAGCCTGGACAACAGAGCGAGACTCCATCTCAAAAAAAAATTGTCAGATGGATTTGGTAACATGGTGGTCACTGGTGACCTTCCAAAGAATAGTTTCTATGGAATGAAGATGGTAAAAGCCATAATGGAGTAGGTTCAAAAAGGAACGTGAAGGGATGAATCAAGGAAATAGTATAGACCACTCTTTTGAAGGTCTTTACTTAAAAGAAGATTGGACAATAAAATGTTGTTGAGAGGAAAACACAGCATTATATTTGTGTGCAAATGGATAATATCTAATAGAAAGGCAAAACAATATTATGCATGGGAATGAACTGGGAATTTCTGGAGCAGTGTCCTTGAGGAAAGAGGGGCTGGAATAAATTTTTACTTGTGTAGGAAGTGGCCCTTGCCAGGAACATGCATGTTATAAAGAGTAACATGCATAAGTGCAGGCAGGTAAGTAGATGAGGAAGTGGGAGTGTGTAGAAGTTCTATTCTGAATGCTTGTATGTTCTCATTAAAGTAAAAAGCAAAAATGCCAGTTGGAAGTGAGAATGGAGAGGAGGTGTTGGAGATTTGAGAAAAGAAAAAAGAAGTGAAATAGTAGTCTAAAAGAGTGTGAAATGAAGATATGCCCAAAGTAAATATAGTAAGATTTCTGGGAAGCATTAAGGGTTCAACTTCAAATGGTTGAAGTTAGTAATCTTGAGTTTGAAGTGATGCCAGTAAGCATTGCTGTGTGTTTTTCTCAGTCGTCAACAACTGCATGAAAGTAAAGATGGAATGAGAAAGGAACTGTGTTTAACCAGGCAGTGATTTAGCCAAGTGTCATAGGTTATCTTCCCTAGGAAATAGACTTAGAAGCAGACATTTTCATGCAGGTGGTTTTGCAGGGAGTATTCTTGTGAAAACTATTTCTAAGGGAGTAAGGGTAGCAGATTTGCAGAGAAGGAGGGAGCAGAACTGATTTCTGATATTGCCTTCAGAGATTGTCAGGACTCTGAAACTGGAATGACCCTTGAAACATGGCTTCAGTTGAGGAAAGGGGGCAGAGTGCCTTTGTATCCCAATTTTAGCCAGTCTTGGGATGTGGGCTGCCCCTAGGGATGGAGGGTAACTTTGGATAGGGTAGTTCCCTCTGGCTGAGGACAATGCTGGGAAGGAGTCAGCTGTGAGTCATCAGCAGGCAGCACTTCTGGTAATTGGGAAAATAATTCCTTCAGTACTAAAAAGAGGATCTGGGAGGCATACCACAGCATTCATTATAGCCCACCCCTTGTGCAACTGAAACCCACTCACTTCATATGATAAATTCTCACTATCTGAGGACAGCTACCCCAGGGTTTCAGATGGTCTATTTTCCTGGGGAAACCTATAAGAGGGAAATTGGTAGGGTGAACTACAGTCTCTGTTGCTAAAATTTAGCTGGTCTTGGGGCCACAACTGATACATTATTCCCTACTACCCATTATAGACTTTGAGTGCTATCCTTTAGTGCTATCCTTGACTAGCACTTCTGTTAGTCTAGACAGCTAACTTGGGAGGTATTCAAACCCTAATCCATCGGGATTCTGAACCTCTGGTCACCATGCCCCTCATGAGCCATGACTACTCTATTTGTTGATATAGTATGAAAAGTTATCAAGAGAATAATAAAACAGACCCTAAGGTGATCCCCAATGATTCCTACCTTCTGATGTTTGTGCCCTTGTGACATCTCCTCCCCTAAAATGTGTGTGGCATCAATGATATACTTTTTTATTTGGGAGACAGATTCTCGCTCTGTCACCCAGGCTGGAGTGCAGTAGTGCAATGTTGGCTCACTGCAAACTCCGCATACTGGGTTCAAGGGATTCTCATGCCTCAGCCTCCCAAGTAGCTGGGATTACAGGCATATGCCACCATATCCAGCTAATTTTTGTGTTTTTAGTAGAGACGGGGTTTCACCATATTGGTCAGGCTGGTCTCAAACTCCTGGCCTCAAGTGATCTGCCACCTTGGCCTCCCAAAGTGCTGGAATTACAGGCGTGAGCCATTGCACCCGGCCGTATGAGGTACTTTTAATTAGTAGGATATGGCAAAGGTAATGGGATGTCACTCCCATGATTACATTGTGGTATATAAGGCTCTGTGTTGCTGGTAGACTTCTACTGATCTTCTGCTAGCCTTGATAATCCAAACTTCTATATTGTGAGCCATCTATGGACACATGCCAGGGAGCTATGTGGATGGCATGTAGTAGCTGAGTGAAGCCTTTGGCTGATAAGCAAAAACAATCTGAAGCTCTCAGTCCCACATTTACAAGAAAATAAATTCTGCCAACCACCTTAGTGAGCTTTGAAGCTGATTCTTCTTTAGTCAAGGGGAGAACACTGGCCTTTAGTAAAAAGGAGTGGACCAGATCTATAGCTCTAGAATGTTCAAGAAATCTAGTCACTCAAAGTTTGACATAGTATGAAAATGTTCAAGAAATCTAGTCACTCAAAATTTTCAAATATCTACATGTTCCCATCTCAAGGCCCAGAGTCACATTACTTCTCAGAGTCCTAGTCTTGGTGTAGTAGACTTTACAGGTTTTAGAATTCAACTGTATATGGCACTCTACTACCAACTAAGTCCTGGGCCTCACCTTCAGATTTGTCTGTTCTCCAGCTGCAGAAGATGAAAGACTCTGCATGTTGCCAAGGAAGCTTTCATTGTTCACCTTAAATTGGAGATTAACTACTGTTGGCCTTTCATTATCTTTCTACGATGCTTTAATAACCCCCAGCAACACCCATCCAATTCTATATAGTTCTATATAATTAGTACTTCCTAAATCTCTCAAATGCTTGAGACATAGTACCTGCCAGTGTACTTTTACTATGGATATCCCATCTCAGCTTGCCACCAATGGTAGTTTTAATAATCACAGCACTGCAGCATTCTAGGGTTGTCATAACTCCACCTCCCACCAGTGATGTTGTCCTTTTTGCCAGCTTGGAGACAGATGATCCCTTTCCAAAACTGGACTTTAGAATCTGCTCTCTGGCACCACTCTTCATGCAACTGTTTAAGTCTCATTCCCTGTTGAACAGACTTGGAGGTGGAGATTTGTATGCAGGTGTTTTATAGGGCAGCAGTTGGGGCAAGAGACCTGCATGGGAGTAAAGAGGGTAGGATTAGGCACAGGAAGAGGCTGAAATGCCACATGGCTGTGACAGAACACAGCTCTTAGCTGATATTGGGAGAACAGAGCTGAGATGGCCCTTCAGAAATGTCCTTAATGGAGGCAAAAAAGTGCTGGGCTTTGTACGCCAACATCAACCAGTCATTGGATGTAAGCTTACCCTGGAGGGGAGGGGTAGGCTTGGGCAAGTTAGCTCTCTTTTGTGGATGGAAATTCCTGGGGATGACACTCAGTTGTGGGCCAGGAACAACCAACAGACTTAGCATCATACAATGAATGCCTCTGTCTGGCAGTGGGGATCTTGGTGGTGCGGTGCAGTGCAGTGAAAAGGTGGTGCTGGAGAGAATGAGGCAGCTATGAGAGAGCATGAGATTTAGATAGGTGAGAAGGAAAAAGGGAATGCGAGGATAAGGAGGGTCGTGAATTGTAGATTCAAATGATTTCAATTGACTGTTAGAGTCAGCGAATCAGAGGTAATAAGCTGGAAAAGTAAAATATGGTATTTGGAGAGTGGGATGATTATATTTGAGATTTTGCAAAACTTTGTTCTCAGGTCCTTACTTATGACCATTTATTCTAAAGATTGAATCACTCAAACATGAAGTCTCGACATATATCAAATTACTTGCCAAATGAAAGCTTTTCTACATATGCCAGTGTATAATTCTATTAGGATTGTATACATTGAAACACACCCACATCTACAATAATGAGAGTGTGAAGGCTACAGTCATTTTTGCTCCAGGGCTGGTGACAAATTCCATTGAAAAGTTTGGTGATAACTAGTTCAGCAGTTTTCAAATTATATCAGTGGAAATAAATGGTGTTTTGCATCAGAAGCAGCTATCACCATTTTTTTCCAAATCTAGTTAAAAACTGGATATTAAAACACAAGTAATCAAATATTCCGCTTTGTCTACCTGTTCTTCAAAAGCCAATTTTCTTACCTCTGGCCTATGAAATTCTTTTTATCACAATTGAAATGCAGGGGTTCCTTGACAAGGACAGTTTTGAAAAGAAAATTGAAGTTTGTAAACTTCAAATGCCAAGTAAAAGTTTGCAGGCTTTAAAACTCCAACTAGCGTATCCTTCACCAGGAACTTCAATTTTTCACTCATTACTAGAAGAAACTTTCTAACCTTCACTAAATTTTGAAGGCTGCCAGAATAATTTAGGATGAAATGGCTACTTGCCCAGAGATAGAAGGCAATGATGTGAACTTTAATCAAAATTAGAGACTGAAAAGAATATTTGAAATATTCCTTCCCTAGAGGTAGATGTTTCCGACATTCCAATAAACTTTTATTTTAAAAAAAATTCTGCCTCTACTTCTGCAGCTTTGCAGTCATGCACTGCGTAATGGTGTTTCGGCGAAGGATGGATTGCATATAGGATGGAGGTCCCATAAGATTATAATAGCATATTTGTACTGTACCTTTTCTATGTTTAGATAGGTTCAGATACACAGATATTTACCATTTGCTCATTTGCCTACAGCATTCAGTACAGTAACATGCTGTAAAGGTTTATAGCCTGAGATCAATAGGCTATACTATAAAGTAAGTGTGTCAGTAGGCTCTACCATCTTGGTTTGTGTAAGTGCACTCTGTGATGTTGCACGACAAAAACTGCCTAACGATGCATTTTGCAGAACCTATCCCTGTCATTAAGTGACATGACTGTACTTGTGCAAGCACATTTGTATTTAATTGAATATAATCAGTTAAAGTCCAACTTCTTTACTTTTTTCAGAGCTTTGTGAGTGCTTTCCCTTAATACTCATGGCTGATCTTTTTATGTGTGTTGAACAAGTATTGTGTACTTCATGGACAGAGATTCACGTGGCATGACCAAGAAGAGCTGTCAATCTTACCAATGTATGTTGAATACTAAGTGGTAAAAGAGAATTTTAAAAGAGCAGTGCAAGTAGCCAATCAGATCACTTTTGAGAGGCCTTCAAGATAGTTTTGCACTTGCCCCTCAGCATATATGATAGAATGTTCAAAGGATATTCAGTTTTTTGAGTGGAATCAGATTAAACCAACATGCAAAATATATTTTTTATGAAAAAGATTGAGTGACACACTAGACATAAAAAGAAACTCTACATTGATTTTGTTGTCAATTAAGAAAGACAAACTTGTATACAGTTAGGGAGCACTAAAATCTATCAAGAATATTTTCTTTATTATATTTAATTTTAATTTTTAGAGGCAGGATTTGGCTCTGTTGCACAGGCTGGAGTGCAGTGGATAGATGATAGCTCACTGCAGCCTTGAACTCCTGGCCTGAACTGCTCCTCCTGCCTCAGCCTCCTAAAGTGCTGGGATTATAGGCATGAACCACTTTGCCTGGCCTATAAAGAATATTTTCTACAGTTCCCCAGATGAGGCTGGAATTGAGGGAAGAGTACACATGTGCTTCTATTGTATTGCTCTATTTATTTCAAAAATACCAAAAGGAAATATACTGCATAATAATAGTATTTAACTATTATTAGTTAAATACTAATACCAACTAAAGGTTGGTGATGGCTAGATGTATACTCATTATAATATTCCTGTTTCTGTATGTTTGCGATGTTTTTTGTTTATCTGAAAGTACTTTATTTTACTTTCTTTTTTTAAGTTAAAGAAATTGTGTGTACATAGTAGGTGTATTTATAGGGTACATGAGATGTTTTGATACAAGCTTGCAATGTGAAATAGGCACATCATGGAGAATGGGGTATCCATCCTTTCAAGCATTTACCCTTTGAGTTACAAACAATCCATTTACACTCTTTACATTATTTTAAAGCATACCATTAAGTTATTGGCCATAGTCACTCTCTTGTGCTATCAAATAGTAGGTCTTATTCATTATTTCTAACTATTTCATACCCATTAACCATCCCCACCTCCCCACTATCCAGCTCTCCACTACCCTTCTCAGCGTTTGGTAACTATCCTTCTACTCTCTATGTCCATGAGTTCAATTGCTTTGACATTTAGATCCTACAAACAAGTGAGAACATATGATGTTTGTCTTTCTATGTCTGGCTTATTTCACTTAACATAATGATCTTCAGTTCCATTTATGTTGTTGCAAATGACTGGATCTCATTTATTTATGGCTGAATACTACTCCATTATGTATATGTACCACATTTTTCTTATCCATTCATCTGTTAATGGACACATACGTTGCTTCCAAATCTTAGCTATTGTAAACGGTGCTGCAACAAACACAGGAGTGCAATTATCTCTCCAATATACTGATTTCCTTATCCTACACAGATGACCCTTCTTTTAAGTTATATACTCAGCAATGGGATTGCTAGATCACATGGTAGCTAAACTTTTAGTTTTTTGAGGGACTTTCAAACTGTTCTCCGTAGTGGTTGTACTAATTTACATTCCTACCAAGAGTGTACAGGAGTTCCCTTTTCTCTACATCCTCGCCAGCATTTGGTATTGCCTGTTTTTTGGATAAAAGTCATTTTAACTGGGGTGAGATGGTATCTCATTGTAATTTTGATTTGCATTTCTCTGATGATCAGTGATGTTGAGCACCTTTCATATGCCTGTTTGCCATTTGTTTGTCTTCTTATGAGAAATGTCTATGCAAATCTCTTGCCCATTTTTTGATCAGATTATTAGATTATTTCCTATAGAGTTTTTTGTTTGAGCTCCTTATATGTTCTGGTTATTAATCCCTTGTCAGATGGGTAGTTTGCAAATATTTTATCTCATCTCTGGATTGTCTTTTCACTGTGTTCATTGTATCCTTTGCTGTGCAGAAGCTTTTTAACCTGATGTGATCCCATTTGTCCATGTTTGTTTTGGTTGCCTCTACTTATGGGGTATTGCTCAAGAAATCTTTGCCCAGACCAATATCCTGGAAATTTTTCACACTGTTTTCTTGTAGTAGTTTCATAGTTTGAGGTATTAGATTTAAGTCTTTAACCCATTTTGATTTGATTTTTGTATATGGTGACAGATAGGGGTCTAGTTTCATTCTTCTACATATGGATATCCAGTTTTCCAAGCACCATTTATTGAAAAGACTGTCTTTTCCCCTGTGTATGTTCTTGGCACCTTTGTCAAAAATGAGTTCACTGTAGGTGTGTGGGTTTGTTCCTGCATTCTTTATTCTGTTCCACTGGTCTCTGTGTCTGTTTTTATGCCAGTACCATGCTGTTTGGGTTACTATATCCCTGTAGTATAATTTGAAGTCAGGTAATGTGATTCCTCCAGTATTGTTCTTTTTGCTTAGAATAGTTTTGACTATTTTGAGTCTTTTGAGGTTTCATACATGGAACCAAAAAAAATTAGGATTGTTTTTTCTATCTCTGTAAAGAATGTCACTGGTATTTTGATAGGGATTGCATTAAATCTGTAGATTGCTTTGGGTAGTATAAGGCATTTAAAAAATATTGATTCTTCCAATCCATGAACATGCAATATTTTTCCACTTTTGGTGTCTTCTTCAATTTCTTTCTTTCTTTCTTTATATTATACTTTAAGTTGTAGGGTACATGTACACAACATGCAGGTTTGTTACATATGTATACATGTGCCATGTTGGTGTGCTGCACCCATTAACTTGTCATTTACATTAAGTATATCTGCTAATGCTATCCCTCCCATCTATAAATTACCTCAGGCAGTATGGCCATTTTCATGATATTGATTTTTCCTATCCATTAGCATGGAATGTTCTTCCATTTGTTTGTATCCTCTTTTATTTCCTTGAGCAGTGGTTTGTAGTTCTCCTTGAAAAGGTCCTTCACATCCCTTGTAAGTTGGATTCCTAGGTATTTTATTCTCTTTGAAGTCATTGTGAATGGGAGTTCACTCATGATTTGGCTCTCTGTTTGTCTGTTATTGGTGTATAAGAATGCTTGTGATTTTTGCACATTGATTTTGTATGCTGAGACTTTGCTGAAGTCGATTATCAGCTTAAGGAGATTTTGGGCTGAGACAATGGGGTTTTCTAAATATACAATCATGTCATCTGCAGACAGGGACAATTTGACTTCCTCTTTTCCTAATTGAATACCCTTTATTTCTTTCTCCTCCTTGATTGCCCTGGCCAGAACTTCTAACACTATGTTGAATAGGAGTGGTGAGAGAGGGCATTCCTGTCTTGTGCCAGTTTACAAAAGGAGTGCTTCCCGTTTTTGCCCATTCAATATGATATTGGCTGTGGGTTTGTCCCAAATAGCTCTTATTATTTTGAGATACATCCCATCAATACCTAGTTTATTGAGAGATTTTAGCATGAAGGGCTATTGAATTTTGTCAAAGGCCTTTTCTGCATCTATTGAGATAATCATGTGGTTTTTGTCTTTGATTCTGTTTATGTGATGGATTACATTTATTGATTTGCATATGTTGAACCAGCCTTGCATCCCAGGGATGAAGTCAACCTGATCATGGTGGATAAGCTTTTTGATGTGCTGCTGAATTCGGTTTGCCAGTATTTTATTCAGGGTTTTTGCATCGATGTTCATCAGGGATATTGGTCTAAAATTCTCTTCTTTTGTTGTGTCTCCGCCAGGCTTTGGTATCAGGATGATTCTGGCCTCATAAAATAAGTTAGGGAGTATTCCCTCTTTTTCTATGGATTGGAATAATTTCAGAAGGAATTGTACCAGCTCCTCTTTGTACCTCTGGTAGAATTTGGCTGTGAATCCATCTGGTCCTGCACTTTTTTTGGTTGGTAGGCTATTAATTATTGCTTCAATTTCATAGCCTGTTATTGGTCTATTCAGGGATTCAACTTCTTCCTGGTTTAGTCTTGGGAGGGTGTATGTGTCCAGGAATTTATCCATTTCTTCCAGATTTTCTAGTTTATTTGCGTAGAGGGGTTTATAGTATTCTCTGACTGTAGTTTGTATTTCTGTGGGATTGGTGGTCATATGCCCTTTATCATTTTTTATTGCGTCGATTTGATTCTTCTCTCTTTTCTTCTTTATTAGTCTTGCTAGTGGTCTATCAATTTTGTTGATCTTTTAAAAAAACCAGCTCCTGGATTCATTGATTTTTTTGAAGGGGTTTTTATGTCTCTTTCTCCTTTAGTTCTGCTCTAATCTTAGTTATTTCTTGTCTTCTGCTAGCTTTTGAATGTGTTTGCTCTTGCTTCTCTAGTTCTTTTAGTTGTGATATTAGGGTACCAATTTTAGATCTTTCCTTCTTTCTCTTGTGGGCATTTAGTGCTATAAATTTCCCTCTACACACTGCTTTAAATGTGTCCCAGATATTCTGGTATGTTGTGTCTTTGTTCTCATTAGTTTTAAAGAACATCTTTATTTCTGCTTTCATTTCGTTATGTACCCAGTAGTCATTCAGGAGCAGGTTGTTGAGTTTCCATGTAGTTGAGGGGTTTTGAGTGAGTTTCTTAATCCTCAGTTCTAGTTTGATTACACTGTGGTCTGAGAGACAGTTTGTTATAATTTCTGTTCTTTTACATTTGCTGAGGAGTGCTTTACTTCCAACTCTGTGGTCAGTTTTGGAATAAGTGCAATGTGGTGCTGAGAAGAATATATATTCTGTTGATTTGGGGTGGAGAGTTCTGTAGATGTCTATTAGGTCTGCTTGGTGCAGAGCTGAGTTCAATTCCTGGATATCCTTGTTAACTTTCTGTCTCATTGATCTGTCTAATGTTGACAGTGGAGTGTTCAAGTCTCCCGTTATTATTGCATGGGAGTCTAAGTCTCTTTGTAGGTCTCAAAGGACTTGCTTTATGACTCTGAGTGCTCCTGTATTTGGTGCATATATATTTAGGACAGTTAGCTCTTCTTGTTGAATTGATCCCTTTACCATTAAGTAATGGCCTTCTTTGTCACTTTTGACCTTTGTTGGTTTAAAGTCTGTTTTATCAGAGACTAGGATTGCAACCCCTGCTTTTCTTTTTGTTTTTTTATTTGCTTGGTAGGTCTTCCTCCATCCCTTTATTTTGAGTCTATGTGTGTCTTTGCATGTGAGATGGTCTCCTGAATACTGCACACAGATGGGTCTTGACTCTTTATCCCTTTTGCCAGTCTGTGTCTTTTAATTGGAGCATTTAGTCCATTTACATTTAAGGTTAATATTGTTATGTGTGAATTTGATCCTGTCATTATGGTGTTAGCTGGTTATTTTGCTTGTTAGTTGATGCAGTTTCTTCCTAGCATCGATGGTCTTTACAATTTGGCATGTTTTTGCAGTGGCTGTTACTGGTTGTTCCTTTCCATGTTTAGTGCTTCCTTCAGGAGCTCTTGTACAGCAGGCCTGGTGGTGACAAAATCTCTCAGCATTTGTATAGGATTTTATTTCTCCTTCACTTATGAAGCTTAGTTTGTTTGGATATGAAATTCTGGGTTGAGAATTCTTTTCTTTAAGAATGTTGAATATTGGCCCCCACTGTCTCTGGCTTGTAGAGTTTCTGCAGAGACATCCGCTGTTAGTCTGATGCACTTCCCTTTGTGGGTAACCTGACCTTTCTCTCTGGCTGCCCTTGATATTTATTCCTTCATTTCAACTTTGTTGAATCTGACAATTATGTGTCTTGGAGTTGCTCTCTCGAGGAGTATCTTTGTGGCATTCTCTGTAATTCCTGAATTTGAATGTTGGCCTGCCTTGCTAGGTTGGAGAAGTTCTCCTGGATAATATCCTGAAAAGTGTTTTCCAACTTGGTTCCATTCTCCCTGTCACTTTCAGGTACACCAATCAGACGTAGATTTGGTCTTTTCACATAGTCCCATATTTCTTGGAGGCTTTGTTCATTTCTTTTTACTCTTTTTTCTCTAAACTTATCTTCTCACTTCATTTCATTCATTTGATCTTCAATCACTGATACCCTTTCTTCCACTTGATTGAATCTGCTACTGATGCTTGTGTATGCATCACATTGTTCTTGCCCCATGGTGTTCAGCTCCATCAGGTAATTTAAGGTCTTCTCTATGCTGTTTATTCTAGTTAGCCATTCATCTAATCTTTTTTCAAGGTTTTTAGCTTCTTTGCGATGGGTTTGAACATCCTCCTTTAGCTCGGAGAAGTTTGTTATTACCCATTATCTAAAACCTTCTTCTCTCAACTCGTCAAAGTCATTCTCTGTCCAGTTTTGTTCCATTGCTGGCGAGGAGCTGCATTCCTTTGGAGGAGAAAAGGCTCTCTGATTTTTAAAATTTTCAGCTTTTCTACTCTGGTTTTTCCCTATCTTTGTGGTTTTATCTACCTTTGGTTTTTGATGATGCTGATGTACAGATGGGGTTTTGGTGTGGATGTCCTTTTTGATTGTTAGTTTTCCTTCTAACAGTCAGGACCCTCAGCTGCAGGTCTGTTGGAGTTTGCTGGAGGTTGACTCCAGACACTGTTTGTCTGGGTATCAGCAGCATAGGCTGCAGAACAGCAAATATTGCAGAACAGCAAATGTTGCTGCCTGATCCTTCCTCTGGAAGCTTCATCTCAGAGGGGTACCTGGCCATATGAGGTGTCACTCAGCCCCTACTGGGAGATATCTCCCAGTTAGGCTACTTGTGGTTCAGGGACCCACTTGAGGAGACAGTCTGTCCGTTCTCAGATCTCAAACTCCATGCTGGGAGAACCACTACTCTCTTCAAAGCTGTCAGACAGGGACATTTAAGTCTGCAGAAGTTTCTGGTGCCTTTTGTTCAGCTATGCTCTGCCCCCAGAGGTGGAGTCTATAGAGGCAGGCAGGCAGGCCTCCTTGAGCTGTGGTGGGTTCCACCCAGTTCGAGTTTCCCAGATGCTTTGCTTACCTACTCAAGCCTCTCCAATGTTGGACGCCCCTCCCCCAGCCTCGCTGCCACCTTGCAGCTTGATGTCAGACCCAATTTTCCAGGTATCATCTGTCATGGCTTCCCTTGGCTAGGAAAGGGAATTCCCCAAGCCCTTGCACTTCCCAGGTAAGGCAATGCCCTGCCCTGCTTCAGCTCACACTCTGTGGGCTGCACCCACTGTCTGACAAGCCCCGGTGACATGAACCTGGTACCTCAGTTGGAAATGCAGAAATCACCCATCTTCTGTGTTGCTCATGCTGGGAGCTGTAGACTGGAGCCGTTCCTGTTTGGCCATCGTGGAACCTCCCTTCAATTTCTTTCATTACTGTTTTCCAGTTTTCATGATAGAGATCTTTCACTTCTTTGGTTAAGTTAATTCCTAGATATTTAATTTTAGATTTGCTATAGTAAATTGGGTTACTTTTTTATTTCTTTTTTACATTGTTCACTGTTGGCATACAGAAATGCTACTGATTTTTGTATGTTGATTTTGTATACTGCAACTTTACTGAATTTGCTTATCAGTTTTAATAGTTTTCTTGTGGAGTCATTAGGTTTATCCAAATATAAGATCATATTATCTGAAAACAAGGATAATTTGACCTCTTTCCAATTTGGATCCCTTTTATATCTTTCTCTTATCTGATTGCTCTAGCTAGGACTTTCAGTACTGTGTTGAATAACAGTGATGACTGGGTATCCTTGTCATATTTCAGATCTTAGAGGAAAGGCTTTCAGTTTTTCCCCATTCAGTATGATACTAGCTATGGGTCTGTCATATTTGGCTTTTATTATGTTGAGGTATGTTCCTTCTATCCCTGGTTTTGGAGAATTTTATCATGAAGGGGTATGAAATTTACCAATAATAGTTTGGAAGTACTCTCTCCTCTATTTTTTGAAATAGTTTGAGTAGGATTGATATTGATTCTTCTTTAAATATTCGGTAGAATTCAGCAGTGAAGCCATCAGGTCCCAGGCTTTTCTTTACTGGGAGACTTTTTATTACAGCTTTGATCTTGTTACTTGTTATTGATCTGTTCAGGTTTTGGATTTCTTTCAGGTTCAGTCATAGTAGGTTGTATGTATCTAGGAATTTGTCCATTTCTTCTAGATTTTCCAGTTTATTGGCATATAGTCTCTCAGAGTAGCCACTTGTGCTTTTTTGAATTTCTGCAATATCATTTTTAATATCTTCTTTTTCATTTCTGATTTTATTTGAATCTTCTCTTTTTTCTTAATCTGGCTAAAGGTTGTCAATTTTGTTTAACTTTTCAAAAAACAACTTTTTGTTTCATTGATTTTTTGTATTGTTTTTTCATTTCAATTTCACTCATTTTTGCTCTGCTCTTTATTATTTGTTTTCTTCCACTAATTTGGGGTTTGGTTTGCTCTTGACTTTCCACTTTAAGATGCATCCTTAGATTGTTCATTTGAATTACTTCCCTCTGGGCACTTCTTCTGCTGTATCCCATAGGTTTTGGTATATTGTTTCCAATATAATTTGTTTCAAAAAAATTTTCAATTTCTTTCTTAATTTCTTCATTGGACCACTGGTCATTCAGGAACATATTGTTTAATTTATATGTGCTTGTATAGTTTCCAAAATTTCTCGTTATTAATTTCTAGTTTTATCCCATTGTGGTCAGAGAAGATGCTTAATATTATTTTAATTTTTTTGAATGTTTTAAGACTTTTTTTGTGACCTAACATAAGGTATGTACTTGAGAATGAGCCATGCGCTGAGGAAAAGAAGGTGTATTCCACAGCTCTTGGATGAGATGTTCTGTAAATATCTATTAGATCATTTGGTCAATAGTGTAGATAAGTCTGATGTTTCTTTATTGATCTTCTGTCAGGAAGATCTGTCCAATGCTGAAAGTGGGGTGTTAAAGTCACCAACTATGATTGTATTGGGGCCTATATGTTTCTTTAGCTCTAATAATATTTTCTTTATATATCTGGATGCTCCAGTGTTGGGTACATATATATTTAAAATTGCTATATTCTCTTATTCAATTAATCTCTTTATCATTATAGAGTTACCTTTTTGTTTCTTCTTATAGTTTTTGTCTTGAAATCGATTTTGTCTGACATAAGTATAGTATTCTTGCTCTTGTTTGGTTTCCATTGGCATGGAGTATCTTTTTCCATCCCTTTATTTCAAGTCTATGTGTTCTTTATAGGTAAAGTGTGATTCTTGTAGGTAACACACAAATGGGTCTTGTTTTTTCATCCATACATCCAGTCTATGAATTTTGAGTGAAGAGTTTAGTGCATTTACATTCAATGTTATTATTGATAAGTAAGGACTTACTTCTGCCATTTTGTCATTTGTTTTCTGGTTATTTTGTGGCCTTCTCATCCTTCTTTGTTTCTGTCTTTCTCTAGTGAAGACGGTTTTCTCTGGTGATATCATTTAGTTTCCTGCTTTTTATTTTTTGTGTGTTTATTGTATGCTTTTTGGTTTGAGGTTACCATGAGGCTTGGAAATACTACGTTAAAACCTATCATTTTAACCTGGTCACAACCTAATACTATTTTCATAAACAAACAAACAAGCAAAAAGAAAACCAATAAAAACTCAACTTTATTTCCCCACTTTTAAATTTTTTGTTGTTTTAATTTGTATCTTATTGTACTATGTCATGAATAGTGGTAGGTATTTTTGACTGTTTCGTTATTTAGTCTTTTTTCTTAGTGTAAGAGTAGTTTACACCCTACAGTTATGATATCATAATAATAACTTTTGTTTTACTGTGTACTTACTGTTACCAGTGCATTTTCTACCTTCAGGTAATTATTTATTGCTCATTAATATCCTTTTCTTTCTGATTGAAGCACTCTCTTTAGTATTTCTTGTAGCATGGGTGTAGTATTGATGAAATCCCTCAGCTTTGTTTGTCTGGGAAAAATCTTTATTTCTCTTTCATGTTTGATGGATGTTTTTGTCAGATATACTATTCTAGTGTAAAAGTTTGTTGTTGTTGTTGTTGTTGTTGTTTTCAGCACTTTAAATATGTCATGCCATTCTCTCCTGGCCTATAAGGTTTCCACTGAAAAGTCTGTTGCCAGATGTATTGGAACCTCATTGAATGTTATTTGTTTATTTTGCTGCTTTCATGGTCCTTTCTTTATTCTTGACCTTTGGGAGTTCGATTATTCAATTTCATGAGGTAGTCTTTGGGTTAAATCTGCTTGGTGTTCTATAACCTTCTCGTACTTGGATATTAGTATCTTTCTCTAGATTTGTGAAGTTCTCTGTTATTATCCCTTTGAGTAAACTTTCTACCCTATCTCCCTCTCTAAGTCCATTAAGTCTTAGATTTGCCCTTTTGAGGCTATTTTCTAGATCCTGTAGCGTGCTTCCTTGTTTTTTACTCTTTTTTCTTTTGTCTCCTCTGACTATTTCAAATAGCATGTCTTCAAACTCACTAATTCTTTCTTCTGCTTGATCCATTCTGCTATTAAAGGACTCTGATACATTCTTCGGTATGTGTGTTGCATTGTTTTAAAATTATACTTTAAGTTCTGGGATACATGTGCAGAATATGCAGGTTTGTTACATAGATAGACACATGCCATGGTGGTTTGCTGCACCCATCAACACATCATCTACATTAGGTATTTCTCCTAATGCTATCCCTCCCTTAGCCTTCCACCCACTGACAGGCCCCATTGTGTGATGTTCCCCTCCCTGTATCCTATGTTATCATTGTTCAACTCCCACTTATGAGTGAAAACATGCAGTGTTTGGTTTTCTGTTTTTGTGTTAGTTTGCTGAGAGTGATGGTTTCCAGTTTCATCCATGTCCCTGCAAAGGACATGAACTCATCTTTTTATGGTTGCACAGTATTCCATGGTGTGTATGTGCTACGCTTCCTTTATCCAGTCTATCATTGATGGGCATTTGGGTTTGTTTTAACTCTTTGCTATTGTGAACAGTGCTGCAATAAACATATGTGTGCATGTGTCTGTATAGTAGAATGATTTATAATCCTTTTGGTATATATCCAGTAATGGGATTGCTGGGTCAAATGGTATTTCCGGTTCTAGATCCTTGAGGAATTGCAGTACTGTCTTCCACAATGGTTGAACTAATTTGCATTTTCACCAACAGTATAAAAGCCTTCCTATTTCTCCACATCCTCTCCAGCATCTGTTGTTTCCTGACTTTTTAATGATTGCCATTCTAACTGGCATGAGATGGTATCTCACTGTGGTTTTGATTTGCATTTCTCTAATGACCAGTGATGATGAGCTTTTTTTCATATGCTTTTTGGCCGCATAAATATCTTTTTTTGAGAAATGTCTGTTCATATCCTTCAATCACTTTTTGATGTTTTTTTTTCTTGTAAATTTGTTTAAGTACCTTGTAGATTCTGGATGTTAGCCCTTTGTCAGATGGGTAGGTCGCAAAATTTTTCTCCCATTCTGTAGGTTGCCTGTTCACTTGGATGATGGTTTATTTTGCTGTGTAAAAGCTCTTTAGTTCAATTAGATACCATTTGTCAATTTTAACTTTTGTTGCCATTGCTTTTGGTGTTTTAGTAATGAAGTCTTTGCCTGTGCCTGTGTCCTGAATGGTATTGCCTACGTTTTCTTCTAGGATTTTCATGGTTTCAGGCCTTGTGTTTAATTCTGTAATCCATCTTGTGGTAAGCCCAGCCGAATTCTACCAGAGGTACAAAGAGGAGCTGGTACCATTTCTTCAGAAACTATTCCAAATAATAGAAATAGAGGGATTCCTCTCTACTCACTTTTATGAAGCCAGCATCATCCTGATACCAAAACCTGCCAGAGATACTACAAAAAAAATAAATAAAATTTCAGGCCAATATCCCTGATGAACATTGATGTGAAAATCCTCAATAAAATACTGGCAAACAGAATCCAGCAGCATATCAAAAAGCTCATCCACCACAATCAAGTTGGCTTCATCCCTGGGATGCAAGGCTGGTTCAACATATGCAAATCAATAAACGGAATCCATCACATAAACAGAACCAATGACCAAAACCACGATTATCTCAATAGATCCAGAAAAGGCCTTCAATGAAATTCAACACCACTTTATGCTAAAAACTCTCAATGAACTAGGTATTGATGGAATGCATCTGAAAATAATAAGAGCTGTTTATGACAAACCCACAGACAATATCATAATGAATGGGTAAAATCTGGACACATTCCCTTTGAAAACTGGCACAAGGCAAGGATGCCCTCTCTCACCACTCCTATTCAACATAATATTGGACGTTCTGGACAGGGCAATTAGGCAAGAGAAAGAAATAAAGCGTATTCAAATAGGAAGAGAGGAAGTCAAATTGTCTCTGTTTGCAGATGACATGATTATATATTTAGAAAACCCCATTGTCTCAGCCCAAAATCTCCTTAAGCTGATAATCAACTACAGGAAAGTCTCAGGATACAAAATCAATGTGTGAAAATCACAAGCATTCCTATACACCAATAATAGACAAAAAGAGAGCCAAATCATTAGTGAACCCCCTTTCACAATTGCTACAAAGAGAATAAAATACTTAGGAATACCACTTACAAGGGATATGAAGGACCTCTTCAAGGAGAATGACTAACCACTGCTTAAGGAAATAAGAGGGGACACAAACAAATGGAAAAACATTCCATGCTCATGGATAGGAAGAATCAATATTGTGAAAATGGTTACAGATTCAATGCTATCTCCATCAAGCTACCACTGACTTTCTTCACAGAATTAGAAAAAACTATTTTAAATTTCATATGGAACCAAAAAAGAGCCCGTATAGCCAAGATAAGCCTAAGCAAAAAGAATAAAGCTGGAGGCATCATGCTACCTGACTTGAAACTATACTACAAGACTACAGTAACCAAAATAGCATAGTACCAAAACAGATATATAGATCAATGGAACAAACAGAGGCCTCAGAAATAATGCCACACATCTACAACCATCTGATCTTTGACAAACCTGACAAAAACAAGAAATGGGTAAGGATTCCCTATTTAATAAATGGCATTGGGATAACTAGCTAGCCAATGTGTATTGCATTTTTAAGCTCCAGAATTTCTGCTTTTTAATTATTTCAATATCTTTGTTAAATTTAGCTGATAGAATTCTGAATTTTTTCTCTGTATTACCTTGAATTTCTTTGAGTTTCCTCAACACAGCTATTTTGAATTATCTGACAGGTCACATATCTCTTTTTCTCCAGATTTTGTCCCTTGTGCCTATTTAGTTCATTTCTTTAGATCATGTTTTCCTGGATGGTGTTGATGCTATAGATGTTCTTTAATGTCTGGACATTGAAGAGCTAGGTATTAATTGTAGTCTTCACTGTCTGGGCTTATTTGTAGCCATTCTTCTTGGAAAGGCTTTCCAGAAATTTGAAAAAACTTGGGTGTTGTGATCTAAGCTGTATCTGCTTTAGTGTGCACTCCAAGCCCAGTAAAACTGGGGTTCTTAAAAATTTATAGAGGTACCACCTTGATGGTTTTGGACAAGATCTCGGAGAATTCTCTGGGTTGCTAGGCAGAGACACTTGTTCTCTCCCTTACTTTCTGCCAAACATACAGAATCTCTCTATCTCTGTTCTGAGCCACCTAAGCCTGGGGGTGAAGTGACATGAATTAAACCTGTGGTCACCATGACTATGCCTGTGCTCGGTCAGGCCTGAAACCAGCACAGCACTGGGTCTTGCCCAAGGTCTGCTGTAGCCACTCCATGGCTACTGTCTATGTTCACTCAACGCCCTGGGACTGTACAATCAGCAGGTGGCAAAGCCAGCCAGGCCATCCTTCTCTTCATGATGACAAGTACCCCCAGGCCCTGGTGGGTCCAGAAGTGCCATCCAGGAATCAGGGACTAGAGTCAAAAATCTTTGACATCTACCTGGTGTTCTAAAACCACAAGTTGCAGTTCTTTGCACTCTTCCCTCCTCTTTCCAAAGGCAGAGAAGCCTCGCAGTGTAGCTGCCACCACCCTAGCCAACAATGATACTGCCGGACTACCACTGATGTTCCCTTAAGTCTCAAGGCCTCTTAAGTCAGCTTGCCATGAATGCTACCTAGCCTGGGACTCAATTTTTGGGGCAATGGGCTCCTCACTGGCCCACAGTAGGTCCAGAAATACCATCTAGGAGTCATGTCTTAGAACTCGGGACCCCAAGAGTCCACTTGGTACTCTACCCACCATGGCCATGCTGGTACCTAAGGTGCAAGCCAAAGTCTCCTTTACTTTTCTTTCTGCTTTTCTCAGGCAGAGGAAGTTTTGCCCTGTAGCTACCATAGCTGGTAATGTGCTGAGTCTCAACCTGAAACCAGCAAGCCTCAGAGGCTTGCCCAAGTCCCTCGATGCAGTACCTGGGTATTGCTGCTTGTTATTCAGGGCCCAAGGGCTGTTAAGTTCACAAGTGATGAATGCTGCCAGTACTGAGTTCTTTCTTTCAAGACAGCAGGTTCTTTTCTGACCCAAGGTGTGTCTAGAAATGTCGTCTGGAGACTGGGAGCAGTGGCTCATGCCTGTAATCCCAGCACTTTGGGAGGCTAAGGTGGGTGGATCATGAGGTCAAGAGATTGAGAACATCCTGGCCAACATGGTGAAACCCCATCTCTACTAAAAATACAAAAATTAGGTGGGCGTGGTGGCTTGCGCCTATAGTCCCAGATACTCAGGAGGCTGAGGCAGGAGAATCGCTTGAACCCAGGAGGTGGAGGTTGAAGTGAGCCGAAGTCATGCCACTGCTCTCCAGCCTGGCGACAGAGTAAGACTCCGTCTCAAAAAAAAAAAAAAAAAAAAATGTCTTCTGGAAGCTAGGGCCAGAAAAAGGGGCCTCATGACGGTGATTGGTGCTCTATTGTGCTGTGGCTGAACTGGTATTCTAGATCCAAGATGAAGTCCTCCCCACTCTTCCCTCTTCTTTCCTCCAGCAAATGGAAGGAGTCTCTTTTGGAGCTGTGAGCTGTGCAGCCTGGGGTTAGGGGAGGAGTGATGCCAGCACTCTTTTGGCTGCCCCAGTTAGTATCGCAATATGTCACATGCCCTCCAGCCCACTGTCTCTGGACCTAGTTTAGCATGAGGGCTCACATAAGAGTTGCAGTATTTATGGCCTAGACTGCCTTTCAAGTTTATTTGGAGACATAGAGGGCTGTAGCCCTTGGTGGAGAGGTTTTCAGGCACTCAAGTTTGGACCTCTGGGATCAGCACTTCCCCTCTGGCTAGGGCTGGTTTCCAAGCTCTCTCTTTGGGTGGGTGTCAGCTGAGTTTGGTCCAGTTTTCCTTTCTGCTCTAAAAGGACAGCACTGAGTTCGGTGTCTCACAATTGCTGTGATCTCCCTTCCTCTGTGCCCAGAGATGCTCTCTGCACCAGATTGCTACTGCCGTGGGTCAGGGAGAGTGGCACTGGCGATTTAAGGCAGCTGTTTTTTTCTGTTTCTTCAGTACTTCCTTCAGGGATAAGAAGTTAAAACCAGGAACTCACCTGATTTTTGGTTCTTATGAAGGTGGGTTTTTTTTTTTTTCGGTGTAGATACTTATTAACTTGGTGTCCTTGCAGAGTATGGGACAATCAGTGGAGTTTTTATTTCATATAGTTCAACCTAAGAGCATAGCTATCTGAAATATTTCTTCCCTGCTACTACTCTTGGAACACATTTCTCCTTGTACCCAATCTTTTGGCTAGTGTGGTCCAAAAAAAGGAAATACATTTACATGGTTATATGTTATATTACTATTCCAGAAACACAGTTTCTTTAGTGTCATGTTTATTTTTGTAACCAGTAAGGAACAGCGCATCTTTCATTACTATAAATAGAAAATCTTATCTGTGTTACTCTGTTCCTTAATATCAATGTGAAATACTAAGGGTAGTTCTAATGTATTTTCTAGGGGAAACTTCAGCATTTTTAGGCTAGGCTATTCTAAAAAAAAAAAAAATCAGATGCAAAGAAAAGCACTCGAAGTATCTTGAGAGGCTGAATAATAACCCTCTAAAAAGGTCCAGGTTCTAATCTTCAGAACCTGTGAACATGGCACTTTACATGGCAATGAGGACTTTGCAGATGTGATTAAGGACCTTATTGGGGTTTTAATTTGCATTTCTCAAGTTTTCTTTGGGTATATACCCAGTAATAGAATTGCTGGGTTGATAGTTCTTATTTAAATTCTTTGAGAAATCTCCAGACTGCTTTCCACAATGGCTGAACTAATTTGCATTCCCACCAGCAGTGTGTAAGTGTTCCCTTTTCTCCACAACCTTGTCAGCATCTGTTATTTTTTGACTTTTTAATAAATAACAATCTATGTGCACACACACATGTATATGCTATTCTTGATTGTACATTTGTCTGTTATATACATTGTAAATATATTTACTCATTCAAATAAATAAATAAAAGCCATTCTGACTAGTGTGAGATGGTATCTCATTGTGGTTTTGATTAGTGTTTTCCTAATGATGAGTGATGGTAAGTGTTTTTTTCATATGCTTTTTGCTCATACATATGTCTTCTATTGAGAAGTGTCTGTTCATGTCCTTTGCCCATTTTTTAGTGGGCAAGCCCACTCATATTTGAATACACTCATATTTCACATTGGATTTCATCAAAATGTTGGAAGACTGCTATTGAGAAGTTCGTCCTCTCTATAGCATCATAGATATGGGATTACATCCAAGAATTTCACAGTCCCTGAAAATGTATCATGATTGTTCCAAATTGGTCAGGTAGCTTTATTCCCTGCATCACAGATTATTCTAAGATAAGTATGTGGTCAGATCAGACAATGGCACATATTGGGTATTATGCCATTTTTCTCACCATTAAAAAAATAATAAACGCACACAAAGAGAAAGTTACTATCCTGATTTGGTCACGGGTGTGTGAAGTAATAATAGGGCAGCCATCTTGCATCCATGAGTGACCAAGCCACAGTATGAAAGGCAAAAAGTTGAGGATAATATAGAGAATAATAGAACAAATTTGGGTTCTATAAGAACCCAAGTTCTTATAGAACAAGTTTGTGTGGCTATAAGAAAATACCATAGATGAGGTTGCCTAATTAATTTATTATTATTTATTTTTTCACAGTTCTGGAGGCTGGGAGGCCAAGATCAGGATGTCATCATGCCATGTTCTGGCAAGGATGTTTTTCCTGGTTTGTAGCCCTCTATTAATAACTGTGTATACCAGGCAAAGAGACATAGGGCTGTAGTCTCTTTCTCTTCTCAAAAAGACATTAATCCCAACATGGAGACCCTACCTTTATGATCTCATTAGACCTAATTACCTGTCAAAGACCCCAATCCCAAATGCCATCACATTCAGGGTTAGAGTTTCAACATATAAATTTTGGGGGGAAACATTCAGTCCATTACAATTCTTCAAGCCACTTTTAGTTAAGCATTTTCTTACAGTCAGCCAAAAGAGTCCTAACATTTCTACCACAGTTCCTTCAATATTCTTCACATAAATTGTGTGCAAAACTTTTCACAGCCTTGGCTAATTTACATTTGTTTTTTATAAGTCATCTAAAACTCTTTTAAGAGTGAGGGCATGAACAGATGGCTTTGATCCAAGTCCAAACTGACAACACAGAGAGAGTGAGATTATGTCATTGTTCATTTTAGATTTTATAGTTCTATTCAGACTATGTTGTTACGGTTTTTTTCAGTTCAATTTTTTTAGCCCTTATTTGACTGAAAATAAATTCACCATTGATTCTCTAGCATTTGCTAAGATACAACTTATCAGTCCTACAATTACCCAGTTGCCTATTAGGACCCAAAGGTAGACTATTACCCTGTTGATCTTAGACCTGTTTAATCTTTTTTAGATTTATCATTTTTTCTCTTACATTCAAATACACTTGAATTTTGATACAAATTGTTCCAAATACGCAATTTTTCTGTCAGCCACAGATGATCCACAGATGTAATGAATGGGAACTTTTTAAATAAAGTCATTGTAGAAGACAGAGCTTTGTGTTACTCCCTCAGAATTCTTTCTTCAAGATCATAATGGTCCAATCATTCAGTTGGTTACAAATTCAAATAACTGAACAAGAATCTCCATTAGACTGATTACCTTTAAAGCCGAGATCAGAACTTATTTATTTTTGCCAGGTGTTGGGAATAAGGAGCATCTGATTTTTGGTGGGGACCAACAGAATGTTTAATACATTGGTCCTCACCCCTAATGCCTTTGTCCTCAACCCTGCCTGCCTGTTACCATGCTCAGTAAAGTCTTTATAAAATACCAGTGCCTCACTCCAGTCTAACTGAATCAGAACTTTAATTATTAGGCCCAGACACTGATATTTTTAAAGAGCTCTTCAGGTAATTCTATTGTATTGCTATATTTTCAAACCACTTATTTATTGAATAAATATTGCATGAACCTGACTCAACTTCTTTTATCATGTGCATAAGATAATCATACACTAGATGTACCTTTTGTCATTTCCCTGCATCATATGCTGTTTTTACTTATAATACATGTAAATGTCTGCCTTTTCTGTTACATGGTAAGTTACTTTGGAATACAAACCGTGGTTTGTTTCCTGTAACAAACAGTATAGTATCTTCTTTGTAGTAGCTACTCAATACAGGCTTAATTAGAGCAAAAGAAGGATATTTATGAGCAAAGATTAAAAGTGATTTGCCTGTTCTTGGAAGAGATCAAATGGATGCTATACTTTTAAACTTTAGCTTTTAGTAATAATACACTATTTTTAGAATTTGTTTCCTTGCTGTTTTTTTTTTTTTCAGACAACCCCCCTCTCTTTGCTTGTTTGCTTGTTTTTCTAGCTTTCTGCTAATTGAATGAGTGAGAACAGAGATTAGAGAGATTAGTCAATGTTTGGCAGAGAGATTTTTGAAGACAGAGAATTTCACCATGTGTCTGCCATATGTATGTCTGGTGTTTATACAGTGTGTATTTTGTCTAAGAATAAAAATTATACAACTTATGTGAATCCTTTTTTTCCATGGCAATTGAGAACATCAGTGTAGTTGAAGGGGTAAGAAAGATAAGAAATGATGTAGGAATGTATCAGAATACAACAGTGACTTAGAGTAGAATAAATCTAGAATGATTTTTTCTCAGCAGTTGAATAGTACATGGTTAGCGACCTGCTTGGTTTCTGTGTTTTGTTATTACTGACCAAAGCATCTTCTGATTATGATGCTTAGACACTCTCAAATAGATAACCTGACCACAAGAAGTGAAGAAAAGAAACTTCTAGGTCAGGTATGGTGTCTCATGAACCTGAAATCTCAGCACTTTGGGAGGTGAAGGTGGGAGGATGGCTTGAAGCCCGGAGTTTGAGACCAGCCTGGGCAACATAGCAAGACCCCATCTATACAAAAATTAAAATAAAAAAATTATTTCGGTGTAGTGGCACCTGCCTGTAGTCACAGCTACTTGGGAGGCTGAGACAGGAGGATTGCTTAATCCCAGGAGTTCAAGGCTGCAGTGAGCTATGATCATGCCACTGCACTTCAGCCTGGACAACAGAAGAAGAACCTGTCTCTAAAAAGAAAAATAAAAACTTCCATATTGCAAGACAATGGAAAAGTTTCCTCATATTACAACCAAATAAGTTATCTACTTAAAAGACTTATGACTTACTTTGGCACTTATTTTAAAATGTGATGTCATCAAGTTGGATTTCTTAAGCTTATAGACCAAGAGATTTCTATTTTACCATAAAAGCCCAGAATAATAATGTTGGAAGATACTTTTTTAACCTCTGATTCCTATTCTCCTCATCAATATGAAGAAATTCAACCAGATTAGGTGACTTGTCCAAAGTCATATATCTGCATAAAAGCAGAGTCAGAATTAACTCTGGATTTTTAGATTTTCTTTTCATCTACATTGTCCGGTCTGCTTGCAGAAAGAGAACAGACTTTAAAAAAACACGTAAGGCCGAGAGCAGTGGCTCATGCCTGTAATCCCAGCACTTTGGGAGGCTGAGGCAGGCAGATCACCTGAGGTCAGGAGTTTGAGACCAGCCTGACCAACATGGAGAAACCCTGTCTGTACTAAAAATAAAAAATTAGCCAGGCATGGTGGTGCATGCCTGTAATCCCAGCTACTCGGGAGGCTGAGGCAGGAGAATTGCTTGAATCCGGGAGGCAGAGGTTTCAGTGAGCCAAGATTGTACCATTGCACTCCAGCCTGGGCAACAAGAGTGAAACTCCATCTCAAAAACAAACAAACAAACAAAAAAACAGAAAACACATAATACTCTATTAATTTATGAAATCCTCTTATGATGTCATATTAAAAATTTCTCTTTTCTGACTTTACCCAGATTTGACACTTAATTGACTTGTGAGATTGCTGAATGTATCCTTCTCCTCAGCACCAAAATGGATATTATACAAATGAAATCCCTCAGGGCTTTGCTTTTTCTATTGCTAGGCTTTCTATGCACATCAATACTGCAATTCTAGTGGTTTCTTGAACAGCATGTTTTAAGATAATAAGTTAAAACTAAAATCATCACAGTCTTTTTTCATAACTTTCACTAGGCACAATAAACAGTCAAGCAATTTTTTTAAAAATCACTATCAAGATGATTTATGAGCTTTAACCAATCATAGTAAGAAAAATTTTAATTATTCGGTATAAAACATAGGTGTTGGATGAAATTTTCATGCCTATTCCGAATGATATATGGAAAAGAGTGAAAGATCTGATTTGAGTGGAGACTATTATCCTTGGAGGCAGCATGTTGCACTGGAGAGACCAAGAAATTTGAAGTGAGATTGAACTTTGAGAATCAAACCCTGATAGGGCCACTCCAATTATATGCCATTGTGGTACTTGCTTCACTTTCTATACTTCACTTTCTTCATCTGTAAATTGAGGAAAATAGGACCAGAATTCTTTTGAATGTTAAAGGAATATATGAAAAGGTACTATGAATATAGAAATCACTTAATAAATATTTCCTGAATGTATAGAGTCATATTGACCATAACCAATTCCCAGGAAAACAGCTAACATCAAGTTCTGATAAGATTCTGTGTAGGTTCTGTGAATGCCTTACTATGTTCAGCAGGCCCAGGATTAATTTTCTTAACAAAATAATGCCTCGTAAAATTAGACAAATTGTCTACTTTCAACTTACACATTTCTCATAAATAATAGCTTTTCTTTAGCTGCAAAGAATAACATTTTAACTCCACAAGAGCCACCCAAATAATTACATGTAAATCTTCTAAAATGGTTGTGACTATTGACTCCTTCTGGGGACAAAATAAGAAAAAGGCCATTAGTAATGAATGACCAAAATGAGGATTGAGTGAAAGACAGTATGCATCAATTGGCTTTAATATCTGGGGCACATGGTATACAGACAATGAATAATGTGATATTACTACCATTGTAAATGGTTCATAAACTATAGTCATGTCATGGCAGAGATCTTAGATTGCCATACTTGCTTTAAGTCAAGGTCAGTCCCTTGTGTGTTCCACCTACTTGATGTGTTCTCTGTTAGCATCTTGGCAGATGGAAATTGAGGAAATGCTAGTTCTGTAGAGCTTACAGATAGGATTCTTGCCAGGACAAGCTTCTGTGTCTGAAAATGAGCAGGAAAAAGATTAGTAAGTGCTCTCCAAGACCTAGTTCCCTTTCCATAAAACTAGGCTGATTCCAAATGTATTCTTTCTGTATAAGAAAATAGAAAATAAAATGTCTTAAGAATTAATGACATTTTCACAGTGACGCCTGACTCAATCAATATGCTAAGTAAGTATGATAGAGTTACTTGAAGATTGACTGAGGCAGAATGCCTACATTTCCTAAATTATTGGCTTGGTATGTAAGAGACTATTCACTGGTCTCAGGGCCTATTTATGCTGCGTAAGGAAGTCAGAACTCTGGGAAAGTCAAGCCATAAACAAAAATTTCAGTTACTCTACACAGTAAATGAAACCCTCAGCTCCCCTGTCTGCTCTCAGTTTTTTGGCTATGATGAATAAAATAAATGAATATTACTAAATCAGCCACATGCCCAAAATTTATGTTTCTAGTCAAGAACAAGTGATAAGAACCAGGATTACTCTCATGCCTTAAACAACAAAAAAATGAATGAAAATATATGAAACAACAATTCCCAACTGGAAAAGTTTCCAGGCCAAGGTACTAGAGGGAAAATCCAGATAGTTCCTGGGAGAATTCCTGAATTGCAAAGACAGAGCTGCAAGTCTGGCACAACCAAAGAAACTAGAGTCCAAAGAACAGAGTACCGGGCAGGAGAAAATTACAAAGACACAAAATCCCAGAGAGCTGAAGAGGATTCCTAAGTATTTAGTATAGTACTAATTGGTATAGTACTAATAAAAACAGGTTTTACAGTTAACTACTCAAGTCTGGGGAAAGACCTACATAAAATGATAAGAAATAACAGTTCCTGGCACTCACAAGGAGCTACAAGTAGTGCCTGTTGCCTGTTTCAACAACCAGATTGGAAAACCTCATAATTCACAAGGCATTAAGAATACACAAAAGGGTCTACATTCAGTGCAGGAGCATGATTAGCCATATGTTGTTGATACAGTTTGGCTGTGTTCCTAACCGAATCTCATCTTGAATTGTAGCCCCCATAATCCCCATGTGTCATGGGAGGGACCCAGTGGGAGGTAATTGAATCATAGGGGTCAGTTTTTCCTGGGCTTTTCTTGTGATAGTGACTAAATCTCATGAGATCTGATGGTTTTATAAAGGGCAGTTCCCCTGCACATTCTCTCTTGCCTGCCACCATGTAAGACATGCCTTTGCTCCTCTTTCACTGTCTGCCATGACTATGAAGCCTCCCTAGCCATGTGGAACTGTGAGTCTATTAAACCTCTTTTTCTTTATAAATTACCCAGTCTCAGGTACATCTTCAGAGCAGTATGAAAATGGACTAATAGAGTTGAGTATTGCTCTCATCTAGTCTTAATCAGTTTTAAAATCAACAAAGAAAGAATCACACTGATTCCAAGTAAAGTGAATGCATTTTGGAGTAAAGTGTAAGAATATTTGTAGGAATACAAATATATTTAGGACATTAAATATGCAATACCTGGATTCCAGTAAGAAATTGCCAGGCCTGGAGGCAGTTGACAAGATGGCCAAATAGGAAGAGCTCCAGTCTGCAGCTCCCAATGAGATCAATGCAGAAGGTGGGTGATTTCTGCATTTCCAACTGCGGTACCCAGCTCATCTCGCTGGGACTGATTAGACAGTGGGTGCAGCCCACGAGGGTGAACAGAAGCAGGGTGGAGTGTCACCTCACCCAGGAAGCACAAGGGGTTGAGGAACTCCCTCCCCTAGCCAAGGGAAACTGGGAGGGACTGTGCCATGAGGAACAGTGCATTCTAGCTCAGATACTATGCTTTTCCCACCGTCTCTGCAACCCACAGATCAGGAGATCCCCTCCGGTGCCTACACCAGCAGGACCCTGGGTTTCAAGCACAAAACTGGGCGGCCATTTGGGCAGACACTGAGCTACCTGCAGGAGTTTCTTTTCATACCCCAGTGGCACCTGGAACACTAGTGAGACAGAGCCATTCATTTCCCTGGAAAGGGGCTGAAGCCAGGGAGCCAAGTGGTCTAGCTCAGTGGATATCACCCCCATGGAGTCCAGCAAGCTAAGATCCACTGGCTTGAAACTCTTGCTGCCAGCACGGCAGTCTAAAATTGACCTGGGATGCTCCATCTTTGTGTGGGGAGGGGCCTCCACCATTACTGAGGCTTGAGTAGGTGTTTTCCCCCCATGGCATAGACAAAGCCACCGGGAAGTTCAAACTGGGCAGAGCCCACCACAGCTTGGCAAAGTGGTGTAGCCAGACTGCCTCTCTAGACTCCTCCTCTCTGGGCAGAGCATCTCTGAAAGAAAAGCAGCAGCCCCAGTCAGGGGCTTATAGATAAAACGCCCATCTCCATGGGACAGAGCACCTGGGGGAAGGGGCGGCTGTGGGCACAGCTTCAGCAGACTTAAATGTTCCTGCCTGCCAGCTCTTAAGAGAGTAGCCGATCTCCCAGCACAGTGCTCGAGCTCTGCTAAGGGACAGACTACCTCTTCAAGTGGGTCCCTGACCCCAATGCCTCCTGACTGGGAGACATCTCACAGCAGGGGTCAGTAGACACCTCACACAGGAGAGCTCCAGCTGGCAACTGGCAGATGCTCCTCTGTGACAAAGCTTCCAGAGGAAAGAACAGGCAGCAATCTTTGTTGTTCTGCAGCCTCCACTGATGATACCCAGGCAAACAGGGTCTGGAGTGGACCTCCAGCAAACTCCAGCAGACCTGCAGCAGAGGGGCCTGACTGTTAGAAGGAAAATTAACAAACAGAAAGGAATAGTGCCAACATCAACCAAAGCGATGTCCACACCAAAACCCCATCTGAAGGTCAACAACATCAAAGACCAAAGTAGATAAATCCATGAAGATGGGGAGAAACCAGCACAAACGGGATGAAAACTGCAAAAACCAGAATGTCTCTTCTCCGAAGCACCACAACTCCTCGTCAGCAAGGGAACAAAACTGCATGGAGAATGAGTTTGACGAATTGACAGAAGTAGGCTTCAGAAGGTAGATAATAATAAACTCCTCCAAACTAAAGGAGCATGTTCTAACCCAATGCAAGGAAGCTAAGAACCTTGAAAAAAGATTAGACGAATTGCTAACTAGAATAACCAGTTTAGGGAAGAACATAAATGAACTGATGGAGCTGAAAAACAGCATGAGAACTTCCTGAAGCATACACACATATCAATAGCCGAATTGATCAAGTGGAAGAAAGGATATCAGAGATTGAAGATCAACTTAATGAAATAAAGCATGAAGACAAGATTAGAGAAAAAAATGAAAAAGAAGAACAAAGCCTCCAAGAAATACGGAACTTATGAAAAGACCAAACCTACATTTGACTGGTGTAACTGAAAGTGATGGGGAGAATGGAACCAAGTTGGAAAACACTCTTCAGGATACTATCCAGGACAACTTCCCCAACCTGGCAAAGCAGGCTAACATTCAAATTCAGGAAATATAGAGAACACCACAAAGATAATCCTTGAGAAGAGCAAACCCAAGACACATAATCTTCAGATTCGCCAAGGTCGAAATTAAGGAAAAAAATGTTAAGGGCAGCCAGAGAGAAAGGTCAGGTTACCTACAAAGGGAAGCCCATCAGACTAACAGTGGATCTCTCTGCAGAAAACCTACAAGCCAGAAGAGAGTGGGGGCCAATATTCAACATTCTTAAAGAGAAGAATTTTCAACCCAGAATTTCATATCCAGCCAAATCAAGTTTCATAAATGAAGGAGAAATAAAATCCTTTACAGACAAGCAAATGCTGAGAGGTTTTGTCACCACCAGACCTGCCTTACAAGAGCTCCTGAAGGAAGCACTAAACATGGAAAGGAACAACCGGTACCAGTCACTGCAAAAACATACCAAATGTAAAGACCATTGACACTATGAAGAAACTGCATCAACTAATGGGCAAAATGAGCTAGCATCATAATGACAGGATCAAATTCACACATAACAGTATTAACCTTAAATGTAAATGGGCTAAATGCCCCAATTAAAAGACACAGACTGGCAAATTGGATAAAGAGTCAAGACCCATCATTGTGCTGTGTTCAGGAGACCCATCTCATGTGCAAAGACACATATAGGCTCAAAATAAAGGGATGGAGGAATATTTACCAAGCAAATGGAAAGCAAAAAAATAAAGGGATTGAGGAATATTTACCAAGCAAATGGAAAGCAAAAAAAAAAAGCAGAGGTGGCAATCCTAGTCTCTGATAAAACAGACTTTAAACCAACAAAGATCAAAAGAGACAAAGAAGGGCATTACATAATGGTAAAGGGATCAAGGCAACAAGAAGATCTAACTATCCTAAATATATATGCACCTAATACAGGAGCACCCAGATTCATAAAGCAAGTTCTTACAGACCTACAAAGACATTTAGACTCCCACACAGTAATAGTGGGAGACTTTAACACCCTGCTGTCAATATTAGACAGATCAAGACAGAAAATTAACAAGGATATTCGAGACTTAAACCTGGCTCTGGACCAAGCGGACCTAATAGACATCTAGAGAACTCTCCACCCCAAATCAACAGAATATACATTCTTTTCAGCATCACATCACACTTATTCTAAAATTGACCATATAGTTGGAAGTAACACACTCCTCAGCAAATGCAAAAGAATGGAAATCATAACAAACAGTCTCTCAGACCACAGTGAAATCAAATTAAAACTTAGGATTAAGAAACTCACTCAAAACCACACAACTACATGGAAACTGAACAACCTGCTCCTGAATGACTACTGGGTAAATGATGAAATTAAGGCAGGAATAAATAAGTTATTTGAAACCAATGAGAACAGAGACACAACATATCAGAATCTCTGGGACACAGCTAAAGTAGTGCTTAGAGGTAAATTTATAGCACTAAATGCCCACAAGAGAAAGGCAGGAAAGATCTAAAATCGACATCCTAACATCACAATTGAAAGAACTAAAGAAGAGCAAACAAATTCAAAAACTAGAAGAAGACAAGAAATAACTAAGAAAGAGCTGAACTGAAAGAATTAGAGTCACAAAAAATGTTTCAAAAAATCAATGTATCCAGGAGCTGGTTTTTTTTAAAAGAACAACACAACAGATAGACCACTAGTAGACTAAAAAAGAAAAAAAGAGAGAAGAATCAAATAGACTCAATACAAAGTGATAAAGGGGATATCACCACTGATCCCACAAAAATACAAACTATCATCAGAGAATACTATAAACACCTCAATGCAAATAACTAGAAAATCTAGAAGAAATGGATTAATACCTGGACAAATATGCCCTCCCAAGTCTAATCCAGGAAGATGAATAGACCGAATCCCTGAATAGAATGATAACAAGTTTTGAAATCGAGGCTGTAATTAAGAGCCTACCAACCAAAAAAAGTCCAGGACCATAGGAATTCACAGCCAAATTCTACCAGAGGTACAAAAAGGAGCTGGTAGCATTCCTTCTGAAATGATTTCAAGCAACAGAAAAAGAGAGACTCCTCCCTAACTCATTTTATGAGGCCAGGATCATCCTGATACCAAAACCTGGCAGAGACACTATAAAAAAAGAAAATTTCAGGACAATATCCGTGATGAACATTGATGTGAAAATCCTCAATAAAATATGGGCAAACCGAATCCAGCAGCACATCAAAAAGCTTATCCACCATGATCAAGTGGGCTTCATCCCTGGGATGCAAGGCTGGTACAACATACACAAATCAATAAACATAATCCATCACATAAAAAGAACCAATGACAAAAACCACATGATTATCTCAATAGATGCAGAAAAGGCCTTCGATAAAATTCAACAGCCCTTCATGCTAAAAACTCCCAATAAACTAGGTATTGATGGAATGTATCTCAAAATAATAAGAGCTGTTTATGACAAACCCACAGCCAATATCATACTGAATGGGCAAAAACTGGAAGCATTCCTTTTGTAAACTGGCACAAGACAAGGATGCCCTCTCTTACCACTCCTATTCAACATAGTTTTAGAAGTTCAGGCCAGGGCAATCAGGCAAGATAAAAACATAAAGCGTATTCAAATAGGAAGAGAGGAAGTCAAATTGTCCCTGTTTGCAGATGACATGATTGTATATTTAGAAATCCCCATTGTCTCAGCCCAAAATCTTCCTAAGCTGATAATCAACTTCAGGAAAGTCTCAGGATACAAAATCAATGTGCAAAAATCACATGCATTCCTATACACCAATAACAGACAAACAGAGAGCCAAATCATGAGAGAACCCCCATTCACAATTGCTACAAAGAGAATAAAATACTTAGGAATACAACTTACAAGGGATGTGAAGGACCTCTTCAAGGAGAACTACAAATCACTGCCCAAGAAAATAAAAGAGCACATAAACAAATGGAAAAAGATTCCATGCTCATGGATAAGAAGAATCAATATCATGAAAATGGCAATACGGTGCAAAGTAATTTATAGACTCAATGCTATCCCCATCAAGCAACCATTGACTTTCTTCACAGAATAAGAAAAAACTACTTTAAATTTCATGTGGAACCAAAAAGAAGCCCACATAGCCAAGACAAGCCTAAGCCAAAAAAAAAAAAAAAAAAAGGCAAATAGGATCTAATTAAACTAAAGATCTTCTGCACAGCAAAAACAAACAAACAAACAAAAAAACTATCATCAGAGTGAGCAGGCAACCTGCAGAATGGGAGAAAATTTTTGCAATCTATCCATCTGACAAAGGGCTAATATCCAGAATCTTCAAGAAACTTAAACAAATTTACAAGAAAAAAACAAACAGCCCCATCAAAAAGTGGGTGAAGGATATGAACAGACACTTCTCCAAAGAAGACATTTATGCAGCCAACAAACATGAAAAAAAGCTCATCATCACTGGCCATTAGAGAATTGCAAATCAGAACCACAATGAGACACCATCTGACACCAGTTAGAATGGCAATCATTAAAAAGTCAGGAAATAACAGATGCTGGAGAGGATTCAGAGAAATAGGAATGTTTTTACACTGTTGGTGGGAGTGTAAATTAGTTCAACCATTGTGGAAGACAGTGTGGCAATTCCTCAAGGATCTAGAACCAGAACTACCATTTGACCCAGCAATCCCATTACTGGGTATATACCCAAAGATTTATAAATCATTCTATTATAAAGACACATGCACACGTATGTTTATTGCACCACTGTTCACAATAGCAGAGACTTGGAACCAACCCAAATGCCCATCAATGATAGACTGGATAAAGAAAATGTGGCACATACACACCATGGAATACTATGCAGCCATAAAAAGGAGGAGTTTATGTCCTTTGCAAGGATATGGATTAAGCTGGAAACCATCATTCTCAGCAAACTAACACAAGAACAGAAAACCAAACACCACATGTTCTCACTCATAAGTGGGAATTGAACAATGAGAACTCAAGGATACAGGGTCGGGAATCTCACACACTAGGGCCTGTTGGGGGTTGGGGAGCTGGGGGAGGGATAGCATTAGGAGAAATACCTAATGTAGATGATGGGCTGATGTGTGCAGCAAACCACCATGGCATGTGTATACCTATGTAACAAAACCACATGTTCTGCATATGAATCTCAGAATTTAAAACATAATAATTTTTTTTTTTAAATTGCCAGGCTTGAAAAGAAGCAGAAAAGTATAAACCACGTTGAGAGAAAAAAACAATCAAAACCAACCCAGAACACACACAAGTGATAGACTTAGCAGAAAATAATATTAAAACAGTTATGATAATTGTATTTCATATGTACAAAAAGTTAAGCAGAGTTATAGAAGCCACAGTAAACACCCATATCAAAATTCTAGATTGAAAATATTAATATATAAAAGAAAAATAAACAAAATGGGATTCATGGCTGATTTGACATTGGAGAAGAAAATATTAGTAAATGTAAAACACAGAAATAGAAATTATCAAAATTGAAACATGAAGGGAAAAGAGAATAATAATTAAAAAAAAAACCTCACAGAGAATCAGTTAGGTGAAGACAACTTCAAGTAGCCTAATATAACTATAATAATAATCTCCCAAGGAGAGAACAAGTGGGTGAATAGGCAAGCAAAAGAAATAAAAAATAATAATGAAAGTGTTTAAATTTTTATGAAGATTATAGACCCACAAATCCAAGAAACACAATGAACATCAAGCACAAGAAATACAAATAAAACCACACCAGACAGATCATATTCAAGTAACACAAAACCAATGACAAAAAGAAAATTGGCCGAGTGTGGTGGCTCATGCCTATAATCCCAGCACTTTGGGAGGCCAAGGTGAGTGGGTCACTTGAGGTCAGTAGTTTGAGACCAGCCTGGCCAAAATGGTGAAACCATGTCTCTACTAAAGAAAAAAAAAAAAAAAATTAGCCAGGCATGTTGGTGCGAGGCTGTAATCCCAGCTACTCAGGAGGCTGAGGCACGAGAATTGCTTGAACCTGGGAGGCGGAGGTTGCAGTGGGCCAAGATTGCACCATTGCACTCCAGCGTGGGTGATGGAGTGAGACTCCATCTCAAAGAAAATAAAAAGAGAAAATTTAAACAGGATTCAGTGGGGGAAAAAGATGTTACATACAGAGTAACAAACATAAACGTTATTGCAAATTTCTTATTGGAAACAGTGTAAGTGAGATGATAGTGAAGCAATGTTCTTTACAGGAAGAAACTCTTCAACTTAGAATTCTATGCCCAGAATAATTTTCTTTTCTTTCAAAAACAATGGAAAAAAGTATTTTTTTAGATATATGGAAGCTGAAAGAAGTTATCGCAAGCAGACTACTACTGTGAAATATTTTTTTGAAAGTGGAATTTATAGGGTTTCTACATTGTTACTGTATTACTCTTCTTTCAACCAATATTAAACATTTTACCTATAGTATAAGAACCTCAAAACTGCATACTCCCATTTCTCCCTTTTGACTTTTGCAATATTATATGTGTATGTGTATTTATATATATATATTACAGTAGTCATAAGAAAAATGATAGGCAACAGAAATATGAAATTTACACAGAGGAATGAAGACTGGTGGAAATGCTAAGTATGTGAATTAATATAAAATATTTTATTATTATTTGAATACCTTTAAAACATAATTTTAAACCATTTAAACAAAATAACAACACAATATGTAGTTTATAATTTATGTAGAATTAAGATCTATAGCTACAATATTGCAAAAGTCAAGAGAGTAGAAATGAAAGTATGCAGCTGTGAGGTTCTTATACCATAGGTAAAATGTTGTAATATCACTTGTAGGAGGAACATAATACATTAACAATGTAGAAACCCTATAAATTCCACTAGAATAATAAATATGATACAGATAGCTTCTAAGCCAACAATAGAGATGAAATAAAAATTTAAAATCCAATTAATCTAAAAGTAGACAGACAAAAGAGGAAAGAGGGAACAAAAAACAGATGAGATAAATAGAAAACAAATAGCAAGATATCAGATTTAACTCACCTATATAATTAATCACATTAAATATAAATGGTCCATGTCACATTAAATATAAATGGTCTAAATACCCAAATTAAAAGGCAAAAATTGTTAGTATGGATGTAAAAAGAAAATCGCAAGACCCAATTATTTTCTGTCTAGAAGAAATGCAATTTAAATATAAAAATATAAATAGCATAAAAATAAAGGATAGAGAAATATATACTATCCTAACACTAATTAAAGTGGAGTGGCCATATTAATATCAAGCAAAGCAGATACCAGAGCCCAGAATATTGCCAGGAACAAAGAATTTATTTCATAATGGTGAAAGAGTCAATTCATTAAAATGACATAATATTCCTAAATGTTTATAAATCTAGAAGCTGAGCTACAAAACAAGTGAAGCAAAAACTGATACAACTACAAGGAGAAACAAAAAAAATCACAGTTATAGTGGGAGATTTTAGTACCCCTTACTTGATAATTTATTAAACAAGTAGACAAACAATTAACTAAAAATGTATATTTGGACAGCCCCATATGTAACTTTATCTAATTAATATCTATAGAACCCTTCACTCAGAAGAACACTTATATTTTCCAGTAGATAGGAACCATTTATCCATGTAAGTCATAATCTAGGCTATAAAACAAAACTCTATCTAACAAAACAAATCTAACAAATTTAAAATAACTGAGGCCATGCAAAGTATGCTCTCTAACCAAAATGAAATTAAAATTACAAATCAATCACAGAAGCAATGTCTACACTCTAAAAATAATTTGAAACTGCAAAGGATTTAGAGTTGCCAAGACAGCGTTGAGAAAGAAAAACAAAGAAGACTAACACTGCCTGATTTTAAGTGTTATTCTAAAGCCACAGTAATCAAAACAAAGTGGAATTGGTGTAAAAATAGACACATACATCAACAAAACAGAATATAGAGTTGAGAAATAGACCCACACATATATGGATAACTAATTTTCAATAAAGGTACAAACATAATTTAGTAAAGAAAAGGAAGTCTCTTCTACACTTAATGTTGAAAGAGCTGGATATCCATGTGTAAAAAACAAAAGTAAAATATTTTAAAAAGTAAAAAAAAAAAAAAGAATGCCTCTGTATATTACATACCATATACAAAAAAATAACTAAAAATGGATCCTAGGCTGGGCATGGTGGCTCATACCTGTAATCCCAACACTTTGGGAGTCTAAGGCGGGCAGATCACCTGAGGTCAGGAGTTCAAGACTAGCCAGGCCAATATGGCAAAACCCTGTCCCTACTAAAAATACAAAAATTAGCTGGGCATTGTGGCAGACACCTGTAATCCCAGCTACTCAGGAGGCTGAGGCAAGACAATTGCTTGAACCTGGGAGGTGGAGGTTGCAGTTAGCCAAGATTGCACATTGCCTTCCAGCCTGAGAGACAGAGCAAGACTCCATCTCAAAAAAAATAAAATAAAATAAAGGATCCTAAATTAAGATGTAAGACCTAAAACTATAACATTTCTAGAGGAAAACATAGAATAGAACTTTTGTGACCTTGGGTTAGCAAAGTTTTTTTTTTTTTTTTTTTAGCTATGACACCAAAAACATGATACATAAAACAAAGGTTTACATATAAGATTTTATCAAAATTAAATACTTTACTCAGCAAAAGACATTGTTAACAGAATGGAAAGCCAAACCACACATTGGGAAAAAATGTCTGATGAATATTTGAAAATCATATATTTGATGGACTTGCATTCACAATAGAGAAAGAACTCTTAATACTTTACAATAAGCAAAAGCTCAATAAGCTCAATTACAAGATAGGCAAAAGATATGAACAGATCCATACCTAAAGATAATATAGAGCTTGCAAACAAGCACATGAAATGCCATTAGTCTTTTGAGAGGTGCAAATTAACAACACAATGAGATAGCACTAGATATCTATTAGAATGACTAAAATTATAGAATGATCATATTAAATGTTAATAATGACATGGAAGAAATAGAACTCATACACTGCTGGTGGAAATATAAAACAGTGTAACCACTTTGGAAAATTTAAGAATTTTCTTGAAAAAGTGAAGCATATACCTACATTACTACCAGCCATTCCTTGATTTTTTCCCTAAAAAAATGAGAGCTATATGTTTATAGCAGCTTTATTTGTAAAGACAAAAACTAGAAACAACCCAATGTCCAACATGTGAATAACATGTGAATATACTGTGAGAGCTACATACAATGGAATACTACTCAACAATAGAAAGAAATGAATTACAGATACACACAACATAGATGGATCTTAAAATAATTATACTGAGTGAAAGAAGCTAGGAAAAAAAGAGTATATGCAGTATGAATCTGTATAAAATTCTACAAAATGAAAACAAATCTATCATGATAGAAAGGAGACCAGCATTTGTCTCAGGGAGGGCAAGACAGGGGGCACTGGGAAGGTGCATTTACCAAAGGAAATAAACGTATTTGAGCCTTAAGGTGTCAGCCTTAATTCTGCCTTCTAATTTAGTGTAAACATCCATTGTCAAGATTCACTTTCATGGCATTTATTGATCTGTTCGGTCAATAGATCTCTGCTTCAATTCAGGAATAACATCTGTAAACGCGTATGTTCTGTCTACTCTGTGTATGCATGTGGATGTAAAGAGGTGTATGATTCTCTTTAGATATTGTTGGTAATTGGAAATGATTTTTTTTTCAGCAGCAAATGCTGAGCTAGAATCTGATTGGGAATTAGTTCATGCCTCACTCGCATAAATAAATCTCAAGGGCTAGGATTATCATGCTTAGTTTAGCAGCTAGTTTCATTACAGTTTATTTTACGTGACTGGAGGTCTTGGTGGGTGCTGGAGGGCCTTGCTAAGGCATTCAGGAGATATCAGCTGGGTGGGCTTATGTGTGAAAAAAGGGAAGGCACTTTTTTTTTCCATTGTGTTAAAGCTGTGGTAATTAAATGTGACAGAGCTAATCTGTTGCTGGGATTGTTATAGCCATTGGTTATTACTGCACATTCAAGGATGACAGCCTCACTTCAGACTGTCTTCTTCCCAAATGAGTCAGCATTTATCCACTTTGCCAAGTCAACTCACTGTCTGTTGGGGTGTGGGGCTGGTATTTTGTAAGGAAATAAGAACTAGAATTTTGAAGTCTTTAGTGAAAGCAAAGACCCAACACTAAGGGTCTAAATTCCTTGAAAGCAAGAGCTGTATTGTTTTCATTTATGTAACATAGACCAGTAACTGCTTCATAGTAAGTGCTCGATCAAGATTTTTAGTAGTTCACTGAAGCGTGATTTCAAAAAGAAAGCCAAAGCAAAATTCAGCATTGTTAAGAATTGTGTTTCGTGAATTTGTTTAAACACTGTTCACCTCAATTCCCACCTCCCTGCTATTTGGGATCTACAATGCTGTTGAATTTACAATGGTAAGCTTGTTCTTGGTAGCTATAGTTACTTATGCATATTTATTTGTATTATATGTTACTTATATATATATATTTACGTATTCGTATATTTAAAACATGTTTTATTATATAAACTTACATATTAATTCATATGTAGTAATTTATATTGGATTTAAAAAGCAATAAAGAAAGCAGTACAAATCAAAGAAAAAGTCTGTCCTGGAAGGATCACTTGTGGTGGGAATTAATTTCTGACTTATTAGTAGGCCTGGAATATTATGCAACAATTCCTAACTCACTGAATTAGTTTTATGTCTTTAAGACCATATCACTGGGTCTCTAGACTTTGGCTCTGTAAATTTTGTACAATATGCAAATAAAACTGAACCCCCTCGCTAGTTTTCTTAACCAATTGGTTTAGATACTACATATATTATCTATTATTTTTCTCAGAGATTTGTGTCTTTATTTTTATACCATTGTTTCATATCATTTTTGTGTCAGATTAATGCTATTTTTATAATAATGCTTATAAGGAAAGTTGTTTTACCTTAACATGCATCTTCTTATGTTGCTATGTTCTTGACTTATTATTATCAGTTATAATTATACATGTGCTACATTATTAAATTACATATATTGTTATATGGGGTCTGTATGATCATATTTTTTTAAATGTTAGTAAATTATTAAGTTCCTAGTGATCCTTTAAATAAAATCGTATTAGAATACAGAGGACCATATATGTACATGTGCATATAACAGATAAATGAATATATTCAATATTTACTTTGAAAAAAATTAACCTGTGAGAATAAATGATTTGAGAATTGCTATGACATTTTGAATATGGAATTCCATAGACATAGAATACCATGTAGAGAATAATATGCCTTACAAAACAATAACTTGTCTGAGACATCATAGACAGAGAAGGCAAAATTATTTTAAAATTTTTATTTATTGTAGAGACAGGGTCTCATCCTATAAGCCAGGCTGGAGTGCAGTGGCATGATCATATCTCCTCACAGCCTCAAACTCCTGGGCTCAAGGAATCCTCCCATCTTAGCTTCCCAAGTAGCTGGGACTACAGGCACACACCACCATGCCCAGCTAATTTTGAATTTTTTTTTTGTAGAGATGAAGTCTCATTATATTGCCCAGACTGGTCTTGAACTCCTGGCCCTAAGTGATTCTCCCATCTTAGCCTCCTTGAATAGCTGGGATTACTGGCATGAACCATAGTGCCCAGCTTTATTTTTGGTTCTGTGCTTAGTAGTAGCTAATAGCTTTGAATATGTAAGTTTGCATTGACGTGAAGGACATACACCAAACATTTTTGTACAAATATTTTCACCTGAAAGCAACCTAAATAATCTCTTAAAATAATGTGCCAAAGGCTTCTAATTTCTCTCTGAATTAATCCATCAATCAATACATTTATCAAACACCAACTGTATGGAAACCACTATGCTAGACAGAAATCAAAACACAAAGATACAATGGGCACATCATCTGTACTTACAGAGCTTATAGTTTATTTGAGAAAACATATTTATAAAACATACTCTTTTTGTTTTGTACTACCCTGTAGAAGGTATGGTGGTAGGTGTTATGATGACTATAAAAAAGATTAAAACACAGACCTCAACAAGAGATGTATTGTTTAGTAGGAGGAATAAAACAAGCATATAAACACATTGAATGATGAAGGAGAGTATGAAGTATATTATAAAAGAAAGCTAAATAAAGTGTTATGGAAATTGAAAGGCAAAGAGAGTATATGTCATGTCAGGGGTTTCATTGAGCCGGTAGCCTTTTGAATAAAAAATGACAGACATAAAATACCAATTGCCTTCTAGTCACCTTCAATATTTCTAAGATTCCAAAGAAAGTATGACATCTTCCCTATTGCTCTTAGCAGTTGTAATTCCAGATGGCTCAGGAGAGAAGTCATGATAGAATGGGATGTGTGTGTGTATCTGTGTATAAAGAAATGTGTGCCTTATAGGATATCTATAGATGACATTTACTTTTGCAATCTCTTCCATGCTCATGATTTTAAATAACCACCTATATGTCAATGACCACCTCATCTATTTCTAAAGAAGCCCAGTGGCTCCTCTAAGCTCCTAGTCTCACAAACTAGCTGCCTACTTAATATATTTCTCTGGTTATTTTAAAAGCATCTCAAATTCAACATGTCTACAATGGAACTCTCGATCTCTCCTTCTCCCCAATCCTGGTGCTAGTAGTCATTAGTGTGTTTCTAGATCTCTTCTTTTTGATAAGATTGTGCTTCTCTTTGACCTTGAAGTTTGTCACATGACTTGCTTTGGCCAATACAATATGAGCAGAAATGACATTAATTACTTCCAAGTATAAGCTTTTAAAAGCTTCTGTGAATTTTGTCATGTTCTCTTCATGCACCCTGCCCCAAACAAATCAACATTTCAGATGGTCCAAAAACCATAAGCCTAGTTCTGAAGTGAATATGCCACTGAGCAGATCCCCTGTCTTGCCTGAAATCAACATATAGTGTGAATGAGAAGTGAACGAAAGCTTTATTAAAATATATTTCACATGCCATAAAATTAATTCAGTAGTTTTTAGTAATCAGGGTTATGCAACTATCACCACAATCTAATTTTAGAACATTTTAAATACCGACCCCCTCCCTGCAAAGAAACTATACACATCAGCACTCGTTCCCCTATTGTCTTTCCCTCAACCTCAGCTCTAGCTCTAGGAACCACTACTCTGCTTTCTGTCTCTGAACCTCTATTGTTTACATCAGCAGTAATTGGGTGATGCTTGTTTTTTAAGCATAGCTCAGTCTATCCTCACTGATACATTGGTCCTCTTTCAATGGTCTCTATCTTAATGAATGGCATTCACCATCACAATAACAGAAACAAGAAGTTATTCTTGAAACTCTTCTGTAGCTCATTCTCCACATCTAGTTATTCTACCACTCCTATGAATTTTACTTCCTAGATATTTCTTTAATTTGTCTATTTCTTTCCATCTCCATTGCTACCACTATTGTTCAAGATACTACCATTCCTTTCTCTCACTTCTGTTAGTGTTTCCAAGTTCCTGACAGATAGTAATTTTCGTGATTTGAGAATGAGAAATCAGAATTTCTGAGAACTCCTTAGAAATCCTGAAATCATAAGCTATTATGTACAACAGTTTATTTATGTGTTTTTTTAGGGAGAGGTGGTAATAATGCTTTGTAACAACAATATTTACGTATATTTAATAATAATGAGTACCCATAATAATAAATAGTGCATTATTTTTCTGTGATATGAATATACTGTTTCAGAGGTATCCTATAAAGGTATAATAATAAATGGTTACTTTATTATTGTCATGAATCAAATATTGTGACAAGAGTCAGTATTTTAATAGCATGTACAAGTAACTTCTGCCTGATAAAGGCATTTGGGAGCAGAAAAAAATTAAATGAGGGGAACATCAACAGAAAATAAATGTCAAATAAAAATAATTTTAAAATGGAAAAATGAAACCATAGCATTTAATAGTTAAGAGTTATTCTTAAATTTAAAAAGACACAGTACTAATTGTCCTTTCTTATAACTGTCTTGACCTTTCTTTCATGTCAAATATTGTAAATGTAAAAAAATTTCTTACCTTGTTCATTTGTGGTCAAATTTTTAAGAATTCATCCAGAAGCATTTCAAATTTGTCATTAAGGTACATATTTCTTCATATATGTCTATTTTCCTTTTTATCAATGAAAGTATTCTGTCTACTTGTCCTGATTTTGGTTTTGCCATGAAATCCATATTGTTTTTGCTAATTCAGATTTCAAATCAGTTTCTCATTTTGTGTTGGTGTTCCACAAAAACATCTTCCTCTCTTTGCACTTCCTTGGTTAAAGTGTTTACATTGAACTATAGCTCATGGCAAATATTCAAACACTAGAAAACAGCATTTGAATAGTTTGTTGGAAGGTATTTGAATAACATGACTTCAGATCTCCTACAAATCTCAGTAACACTACTCAGAATCATGTGTCAAAATTGCCCATTGCCCAAATCCTTAACATGTAAAAGGTATCTGCAAACCTCTCTGCCCTATTATTTCACTATTCTTCCTCTCACCCTCTGCATGTTACTTGAGCTATGCAGGTCCCCTTAAATTCCATGCTCTTCCTCCCACAGAGCCTTTGCATGTACTATTTCCTGCATCTGAAAATCTTCCTCACAACTCATCTTTCTGATCACAGTTCAAATGACATTTCTTTCATTGTTTTACTGACTTCAAGTCTATGTCAGGTTTAAATGTTCTCTCAAGCTGCCTTCTTTCCTCCAAAACACTTAGCACAATCATAATTACATAATTTGTGTAGGGTTATCTGATTAATATCTGTCTCTGTGTTTTATAACTTCCACAAAAACAGAACTCTCTTTTTTTCCTCACCAATGTAGCCCTGACGTCTTACAGAATGAAGGCATCATTATCTGAAGCGTGGGTGGGAGGGACATTGTGAAACTGTAGGTTTGGACTAGAGGGGTTTGGAGACAAAAGTGACTCCATCTTGGATGCTAATCTGCCATGTTGGCTTCTGATTAGCCCCAGTCCTGATTTCTCCTTTATTTCCTGTCTTTAGTGTAACAATGTTTCAACCTTGATGTTACCACACACATTACAGGCTATGACGCATGTATTAATAGCAGTCTTGCCTATTCTGGAGAGTTGCCTTTCATTATCTTCCTGGAGCACATATACTTTTTCCATATGGTACATAAGCCCTGGGTCTGGGGGTAATGGGTGCAGAGCCCTATCTGTCTTGCAGCTGCCCAAGACCATGCTTCTGTAAGTTCCCCAGTAAAACATCCGTTACCAACAAACTGGACGTGGCTGCCTTGTTCTTTGGTTTTCAAACTTGTTCAGCATTTGGGGGTCATTTTGTATATTGAGTTCTTTCATGGAGCAAGGAGGGCAGGAATCTAGGTTAGGATTTGTTAAGTCTGAGATGCCTCAGATCAATCCAAATGAAAATATTGAGTAGGCAGTAGAGTAAGTATGAAGTTCAGGAAACAGAATGGGGCTGGTATATTAATTTGGGAGTTACTAGTGTAAAGATTGTATGTATAGTCATGTTACAGGATGTTGTACCCAAAAGAGTGACTAACATTAAAAAGGGAAAAGGTGCAAGGACAGAGAGCTGCACATCTTAATAATAGGGAGAAGAGAAGAACACCAGCAAAGAGGATTGAGTAGTAACCAAAGTGAAAGAAAAGCCTGGGAAGTGACTGGAGGTCTTGACAACACAGTGGTCTAATTTTGAATTTATGTGATTCCTTTCATCTTAGCCAGCTGACAAAGAAACAGTCTCGCATCAAGTGCACAGGCTACTTCTTGATTTCTGCTGATAGAAACCTCAGTGATGAAAGAGGAGCAGTATCACTTGAGTCCATGAAATTCCCACTTGACTCCTAACAATGGACTTGGGGATATCGGCAGCTGAGCCCTCATCCTGGTTGCTCCCTTTTGAGTTCTATGGATCAAGGAATTGAAGCTAGCCAAGATGTTTTACTTAATATGAAATAAAATATGCATTTCTATGAATATAATAAAATGATTTGCCAGAGAATTACTGAACATATACCTTTTACCCTGTGTTGATTGGAAAACACCACTTTTATAAATTAGATTACCTTTTTGTTTGGGGAATGAAGAAAGCCATTATTAAGATATTAGGTCGTGAACGTAAACTTCTTTCAGTACTGGCTGGTGACATCACACAACAGTGGAACAGGCTTAAATTCTCATTCTAGCTAACTTCTCTTAAACTGCTTTGCATGATCATCATCTGTGTTAATGTACTTTTCTGTAAATTTCAGGTATTATTTTTTCAGATGTTTCTTGTATAGACAAAGTGTATAATCTGTCTGATTTTATCTTAAAGTGAGAATGAGGTATAGGAACTAACTTTCCTTTGGTTAAAGATAAATTTTGAGCTTATTACAGAGGCATAATGTTAGCTGATAGCTGTTAAAAGAGGGCCAAATGTTGTTTAACACATTGGCCCTGTTGGACCAACAAAACAACAACTTCCTTACAACTCTGAGGGACCTGTTGGGGTAAGCTAGCTTCAAATGCTGACCCTGACACTTGCATTTGAATTACCTCAGGCAAGTCAGTTAATATCTCTGAGGCTTGGTCATCATTTATGAAATACAATAGCATCTCCTTTGCCGATTTAGTTGAGGGTTATAGGAGATATTATATGTGAAATCACCTAGCACAAAGCAGGTACTCAACAAAGTTGAACACGTGTGGGGTGAGGTCAGTCTGGCTATGCTTGTGTGAAAGAAGAAATAATAAAGTGAACCAGCTCAAAATTAGAAGACCTACAAATGAAAGAGAGGGACAGAAAAAGTGAAGGGAGAATTTGTGATTTCGTGGGCAGTCACTTCCTAGCAGAGCATGTAGCATTCAGGTAGTCAGCAGGGGAGAAAAACCAGATGGGGGCCGGGCATGCAGGGGTGCCAGCCCAAAGAAAACATTTATTTTACTTTTTTTTTTTTTGAGACAGAGTCTAGCTCTGTCACCCAGGCTGGAGTGCAGTGACATGATCTCAGCTCACTGCAACATCTACATCCCAAGTTCAAGTGATTCTCATGCCTCAGCCTCTGGAGTAGCTGGAATTACAGGTACGCATCACCATGCCAGGCTAATTTTTGTATTTTTAGTAGAGACGGGGTTTCAACATGTTGGCTGAGCTGATCTCAAACTCCTGACCTCAGTGATCTGCCCGACTCGGCCTCCCAAAGTTTTGGGACTACAGGCATGAGCCACTGTACCCGGCCTCAAAGAAAACATTTCTAATTGACAATAAGAAATAAGAGTAATGACAACTAACAGATATTTAGAAAGCCTGCCTCCATTTTATAATTTTCCCATTTTGTATATGTTATTGTCCTCATTTTACTGATGACAAAATTCAAAGTGTTTAACTGACTTAATCAAGGACACACAGGGAAAAAACCAGCAGGTTTAGTTGCAGCATCTAGGAAGGGCTTTCAGTTTTTGTCTTTCGGAACTGATTTTTTTAAAAGAGAAGAGCATTAAAAGGAGAAGAATACAAAGCTGAAGCTTGACAGCTGAATAAGCACAGTAGTTTAGGAATATATAAACATTTCTTGTAGAACAGTCATTGAAAATATGTTAAGATCACAAGGCCATCTTTAGCTGGCAGCCAAACAACAGTAAAAGTCATTTGGAAAAAGGATACAGTAACCATCAAGGACTGTATCATAATTAACACTTAGTTGCCTCTGCCTGAAGAATAGAGCAGTGAGAAGAAAATGTGTCTTAGTCACAATCAAATGAAATGTTTTGGGCCTAGAGCCAAACCAAAAACATCCTGTGATTAAATTATTTTTCAGGTCCCTAAAATTAACTTGCTCATTTTTATTTTTTTCTCCTATATCCTAAGACATCTACAAAATGAGGGCTTGGGATCAAATAATCTCTATGCTCTTTTCCAGTTCTTAAATTTCAGGATTCTATTCAATGTTTTAGTTAAGGAGGGTACGGAAGGAATTGAACTTTTAGTGGAAAATTTCTGTTTCATCAGAAAGATAAAGTTATGTGTCCTTGACAGTATTTCTCCATATGAAATTATTTTTTCTCTTTATAGTTCATGCTTAACACATCAGCAAGAGAAGATTTCAAAAAATTCATTTCAGGCCAGATGGATATGGAAGGATCATAAGCACAGAAACTATAACAAGCAATCTCAGAATCCTAATCCTAGATTGGAAAGATTCTTAAGCAAACTAAAAAATTAAGAACCAATGAGAGTTCCTGTATAACCAAAATCACCAAAATTTGCCACCTTGAATGGTCTGTTTAATTTGGTTATTCTAATGGTCAGTTTGGTGGGAGAAGCAGTTGATGGTGTTACAGAATTAATCGATACACTGACTAAATCAAATCTATAAATGCAAGTAAATTAGGGGCACATTTTGAATGGAGGCTTAAAGTCATCTACTTATTTTAATGGCAATATACACTATTATTAGACAAAAAAGTCAAGGACAAGTTCATTCTGTGAAATGATAGGACTTGGGTCTTCTCAAATTCATGCCACACTGGCAAGATATCTCATACTTTACCAAATACAATATAACCCTATCAATTTCTCAATTTCAAGTTACAGGAAATTGAGAAAGAAAATATGTTCATAGGATTCTCATTACTAAAGCAAGAGAGAAGTGTTTTGTTGATTATATCATCAATTAATTAAGAATTATTAGTAATAAGAAAACAGGTATTTTTAAAATTCTGTCACCACTGAAAACAGATTCGTTACACACTGGTTCAATAGTACAAAATAATCTTAATGTGACAAGTTTTATAATCTAATGCCAGTACATTGTTTTGTATAAATTATTTAAGTTATCTGGGACTCTATTTCTTCATCTGTAATAGAAGTTTAGACTGAATTAATCATTCTCAGACAATGAGGACACATAATAATTATAAATATCTTTGAACACTATATTAGTCTCTTCTCACATTGCTATAAAGAAATATTTGAGCTGATCAGGCTGGCAAGATGGCCGAATAGGAACAGTTCTGGTCTGCAGCTCCCAGCAAGATTGACACAGAAAGCGGGTGATTTCTGCATCTCCCACTGAGGTACCTGGTTCATCTCACTGGGAATGGTTGGACAGTGGATGAAGCCCATGGAGGGTGAGCCGAAGCAGTGTGGGACATCGCTTCAACTGGGAAGTGAAAGAGGTCAGAGGATTTCCCTCCCCTAGCCAAGGGAAGCCGTGTGAGGCTGTATCAGGAGGAACGGTGCACTCCAGCCCAGTTACTATGCTTTTCCCATGGTCTTTGCGACTGGCAGACCAGGAGATTCCCACCAGTGCCTATGCCACCAGGACCCTGTGTTTCAAGCTCAAAACTGGGTAGCCGTTTGGGCAGACACTGAGCAGGCTACAAGAGCTTTTTTTTTTTTTTTTTTTTACACCCCAGTGGCACCTGTAATACCAGTGAGTCAGAACCATTCACTTCCCTGGAAAGGGGGCTGAAGCCAGGGAGCCAAGTGGTCTGGCTTGGCTGGTCCCACCCCCATGGAGCTCAGCAAGCTAAGATCCACTGGTTTGAAATTCTCGCTGGAAGCACAGCAGTCTGAGGTCGACATGGGACGCTTGAGCTTGGTGGGGGCAGGGTTGTCCGCCATTGCTGAGTAGGCGGTTTTACCCTCACAGTGTAAACAAAGTCGCTGGGAAGTTCGGACTGGGCGGAACCCACTGCAGCTCAGCAAGGCCACTGCAGCCAGACTGCCTCTCTAGATTCCTCCTCTCTGGACAGGGCATCTCTGAAAAAAAAGGGCAGTAGCCCCAGTCAGGGACTTATAGATCAAAACCCCCATATCCTTGGAACAGAGCACCAGGGGGAAGGGGCGGCTGTGGGTGCAGCTTCAGCAGACTTAAACGTCCCTGCCTGCCAGCTCTGAAGAGAGCAGCAGATCTCCCAGCACAGTGTTTGAGCTCTGATAAGGGTCAGTCTGCCTCCTCAAGTGGGTCCCAGACCTCCAGGTATCCTGACTAGGAAACACATCATACAGGAGAGATCTGGCTGGCATCTGGAGGATGCCCCTCTGGACAAAGCTTCCAGAGGAAAGAACAGGCAGCAATCTTTGCTGTTCTACAGCCTCTGCTGGTGATAGCCAGGCAAACAGAGTCTGAAATGGACCTCCAGCAAACTCCAGCAGACCTGCAGCAGAGGGGCCTGACTGATAGAAGGAAAACTAACAAACAGAAAGGAATAGTATCAACATCAACAAAAAGGGTGTCCACTGAGAGACCCCATCCAAATATCACCAAAATCAAAGACCAAAGGTAGATGAATCCAAGAAGATGGGGAAAAAACCAGCGCAAAAAGGCTGAAAATTGCAAAAACCAGAATGCCTCTTGTCCTTGAAAGGATTACAACTCCTTGCCAGCAAAGGAACAAAACTGGATGGAGAATGAGTTTGATGAATTTACAGAAGTAGGCTTCAGAAGGTGGGTAATAACAAACTCCTATGAGCTACAGGAGCATGTTCTAACCCAATGCAAGGAAGCTAAGAACCTTGAAAAAAGGTTAGACAAATTGCTAACTAGAATAGCCAGTTTAGAGAAGAACATAAATCACCTGATGCAGCTGAAAAATACAGAACGAGAATTTCGTGAAGCATGCACAAGTATCAACTGCTGAATCAATCAAGCCTAACAAAGGATATCAAAGATTGAAGATCAACTCAATGAAATAAAGTGAGAAGACAAGATTATAGAAAAAAGAGTGAATAAAAACAAAGAAAGCCTCCAAGAAATATGGGACAATGTGAAAAGACCAAATCTACATTTGATTGGTGTACCTGAAAGTGATGGGGAGAACGGAACCAAGTTGAAAAACACTCTTCAGGATATTATCCAGGAGAACTTCCCCAACCTAGCAAAACAGGCCAACATTCAAATTCAAGAAATACAGAGAACACCACAAAGATACTCCTTGAGAAGAGCAAACCCAAGACACATAATCTTCAGATTCACCAAGGTTGAAATGAAGGAAAAAAATGTTAAGGGCAGCCAGAGAGAAAGGTCAGGTTACCTACAAATGGAAGCCCATCAGACTAACAGTGGATGTCTGCAGAAACTCTACAAGCCAGAAGAGAGTGGGGGCCAATATTCAACATTCTTAAAGAGAATTTTCAACCCAGAATTTCACATCCAGCCAAATTAAGCTTCGTAAATGAAGGAGAAATAAAATCCTTCACAGATAAGCAAATGCTGAGAGATTTTGTCACCACCAGGCCTGCCTTACAAGAGCTCCTGAAGGAAGCACTAAACATGGAAAGGAACAACCGGTACCAGCCACTGCAAAAACATACCAAATTGCAAAGACCATTCACACAATGAAAAAACTGCATCAACTAATGGGCAAAATAATGAGCTAGCATCATAATGACAGGATCAAATTCACACATAACAGCATTAACCTTAAATGTAAATGGGCTAAATGCCCCAATTAAAAGACACAGACTGGCAAACTGGATAAAGAGTCAGGACCCATTGGTGTTCTGTATTCAGGAGACCCATCTCATGTGCAAAGATGCACATAGGCTCAAAATAAAGGTGAGAGGTGACAGTGTGCTGGCAGTCCTCACAGCCCTCACTCACTCTTGGTGCCTCCTCTTCCTGGGCTCCCAATTTGGTGGCACTTGAGGAGACCTTCAGCCCACCGCTGCACTGCAGGAGCCCCTTTCTGGGCTGGCCAAGGCTGGAGCCCACTCCCTCAGATTGCAGGGAGGTGTGGAGGGAGAGGCGCAAGCGGGAACCGGGGCTGCGTGCGGCGCTTGCGGGCCAGCTGGAGTTCTGGGTGGGCGTGGTCTTGGCGGGCCCCACACTTGGAGCAGCCAGCCAGCCCTGCTGGCCCTGGGCAATGAGGGACTTAGCACCCAGGCCAGTGGCTGCGGAGGGTGTACTGGGTCCCCCAGCAGTGCCAGCCCACTGGTGCTGCGCTCGATTTCTCACCGAGCCTTAGCTGCCTTCCCGCAGGGCAGGGCTCGGAACCTGCAGCCCACCATGCCTGAGCCTCCCACCCACTCCATGGGCTCCTGTGCAGCCCAAGCCTCTCCAACGAGCACCACACCCTGCTCCATGGTGCCCAGTCCCATCGACCACCCAAGGGCTGAGGAATGCAAGCGCATGGCACAAGACTGGCAGGCAGCTCCACCTGCAGCCCCAGTGCAGGATCCACTAGGTGAAGCCAGCTGGGCTCCTGAGTCTGGTGGGGACGTGGAGAGTCTTTATATCTAGCTCAGGGATTGTAAACACACCAATCAGCACCCTGTGTCTAGCTCAAGGTTTGTGAGTGCACCAATCGACACTCTGTATCTAGCCACTCTGATGGGGCCTTGGAGAACCTTTATGTCTAGCTCAGGGATTGTAAATACACCAATCGGCACTCTGTATCTAGCTCAAGGTTTGTAAACACACTAATCAGCACCCTGTGTTTAGCTCAAGGTTTGTGAGTTCACCAGTCGACACTCTGTGTCTAGCTGCTCTTGTGAGGACGTGGAGAACCTTTATGTCTAGCTCAAGGATTGTAAATACACCAATCGGCACTCTGTATCTAGCTCAAGGTTTGTGAATGCACCAATCGACACTCTGTATCTAGCTGCTCTGGTGGGGCCTTGGAGAACCTGTGTGTCAAAACTCTGTATCTAACTCATCTGATGGGGATGTGGAGAACCTTTGTATCTAGCTCAGGGATTGTAAATGCACCAATCAGCACCCTGACAAAACAGGCCACTCGGCTCTACCAATCAGCAGGATGTCGGTGGGGCCAGATAAGAGAATAAAAGCAGGCTGCCCAAGCCAGCATTGGCAACCCGCTCGGGTCCCCTTCCACACTGTGGAAGCTTTGTTCTTTCGCTCTTTGCAATAAATCTTGCTACTGCTCACTCTTTGGGTCCACGCTGCTTTTATGAGCTGTAATACTCACTGCGAAGATCTGCAGCTTCACTCCTGAGCCCAGCAAGACCACGAGCCCACCGGGAGGAACAAACAACTCCAGACGTGCTACCTTAAGAGCTGTAACACTCACCGTGAAGGTCTGCAGCTTCACTCCTGAGCCAGCGAGACCACGAACCCACCAGAAGGAAGAAACTCCAAACACATCTGAACATCAGAAGGGACAGACTCCAGACGCACTACCTTAAGAGCTGTAACACTCACCGTGAGGGTCTGCGGCTTCATTCTTGAAGTCAGTGAGACCAAGAACCCACCAATTCTGGACACAAAGGGATGGGGGGAGATTTACCAAGCAAATGGAAAGCAAAAAAAAAAAAAAAAAAAAAAAAAAAAAAAAAAAAAAAAAAAAAAGCAAGGGTTGCAATCCTAGTCTCTAATAAAACAGATTTTAAACCAACAAAAATCAAAAGAGACAAAGAAGGGCATTACATAATGGTAAAGGAATCAAGGCAACAAGAAGAGCTAACTATCTTAAATATATATGCACCCAATACAGGAGCACCCAGATTCATACAGCAAGTTCTTAGAGATCTAAAAGGAGACTTAGACTCCCACATAATAATAGTGTCACTCCGCTGTCAATGTTAGACAGATCAATGAGACAGAAAATTAACAAGAATATCCAGAACTTGAACTCAGCTTTGGACCAAGCAGACCCAACAGATATCTAGAGAACTCTCCACCCCAAATCAACAGAACATACATTCTTCTCAGCACTACATCACACTGATTCTAAAATTGATCACATAAATAGAAGTAAAACACTCCTCAGCAAATGCAAAAGAATGGAAATCATAACAAACAGTCTTTCAGACCACAGTGCAATCAACTTAAAACTTAGGATTAAGAAACTCACTCAAAGTCACACAACTAAATGGAAACTGAACAACCTGCTCCTGAATGACTACTAGGTAAATAACAAAATTAAGGCAGAAATGAATAAGTTATTTGAAACCAATGAGAACAAAGACACAATGTACCAGAATCTCTGGGACACATTTACAGCAGTGTGTAGAGAGAAATGTATAGCATTAAATGCCCACAAGTGAAAGCAGAAAAGATCTAAAATCAACAACTTAACATCACAATTAAAAGAACTAGAGAAGCAAGAGCAAACAAATTCAAAAGCTAGCAGAAGACAAGAAATAACTAAGACCAGAGCAGAAATGAAGGAGATAGAGACACAAAAAACCCTTCAAAAATCAATGAATCCAGGAGCTGGTTTTTTTAAAATGTCAACAAAATAGATAGACTACTAGCCAGACTAATAAAGAAGAAAAAAGAGAAGAATCAAACAGATGCAATAAAAAATGGTAAAGGGGATATCACCACTGATCCCACAGAAACACAAACTACCGTCAGAGAATACTATAAACACCTCTACACAAATAAACTAGAAAATCTAGAAGAAATTGATAAATTCCTGGACACATACACCCTTCCAAGCCTAAACATGGAAGAAATCAAATCCCTGAATAGACCAATAACACATTCTGAAATTGAGGCAGTAATTAATAGCCTACCAACCAAAAAAAGTCCAGGACCAGACAGATTAACAGCCAAATTCTACCAGTTACAAAGGGGAGCTGTTAGCACTCCTTCTGAAACTATTCCCAACAATAGAAAAAGAGGGAATACTCTGTGACTCATTTTATGAGGCCAGCATCATCCTGATACAAAAACCTGGCAGAGACACTACAGAAAAAGAAAATTTCAGGACAATATCACTGATGACCATAAATACAAAAATCCTCAATAAAATACTGACAAAACAAATCCAGCAGCACATTAAAAAGTTTATTCACTATGATCAAGTCGACTTCATACCAAGGATGCAAGCCTGGTTCAACATAACGCAAATCAATAAACGTAATCCATCACATCAGCAGAACCAATGACAAAAACCACATGATTATCTCAATAGATGCAGAAAAGACCTTTGAAAAAATTAATCACCCCTTCATGCTAAAAACTCCCAATAAACTAGGTATAGATGGAGCGTATCTCAAAATAATAACAGCTATTTAGGACAAAGTCACAGCCAATATCATACTGAATGGGCAAAAACTGGAAGCATTCCTTTTGAAAACCGGCACAAGACAAAGATACCCTCTCTCACTGGTCCTATTCAACATAGTATTGGAAGTTCTGGCCAGGACACTCAGGCAGGAGAAAGAAATAAAGGGTATTCAATTAGGAAAAGGGTAAGTCAAATTGTCTCTGTTTGCAGATGACATGATTGTATATTTAGAAAACCCCATTGTCTCAGCCCAAAATCTCCTTAAGCTGATAAGCAACTAGAGCGTCTCAGGATACAAAATCAATGTGCAAAAATCACAAGCATTCCTATACACCAATACTCGACAAACAGAGAGCCAAATTGTGAGTGAACTCCCCTTCACAATTGCTACACAGAGAATAAAATACCTAGGAATACAACTTACAAGGGATGGGAAGGACCTCTTCAAGGAGAACTACAAACCTCTATCATAGAAAGTAAGAGAGGACACAAACAAATGCAAAAACATTCCATGCTCATGGATAGGAAGAATCAGTATCATGAAAAGGGCTATACTGCCCAAAGTAATTTGTAGATTCAATGCTATCCCCATCAAGCTACCATTGACTTTCTTCACAGAATTGGAAAAGACTACTTTAAATTTCATATGGAACCATAAAAGAGCCTGCATAGCCAATACTAAGCAAAAAGAACAAAGCTTGAAGCATCACACTACCTAACCTCAAACTATACTACAAGGCTAAAGTAACCAAAACAGCATGGTACTGGTACCAAAATAGATATATAGACCAATGGAACAGAACAGAGGCCTCAGAAATAACACCACACATCTACAACCACCTGATCTTTGACAAAAACAAGCGATGGGGAAAAGATTCCCTATTTAATAAATGGTGTTGGGAAAACTGGCTAGCCATATGCAGAAAGCTGAAACTGGATCTCTTCCTTACCCCCTTATGTAAAAATTAACTCAAGATGGATTAAAGACTTAAACATAAGACCTAAAACCATAAAAACCCTAGAAGCAAACCTAGGCAATAGCATTCAGGACATAGGCATGGGCATAGTCTTCATGACTAAAACACCAAAAGCAATGGCAACAAAAGCCAAAATAGAAAAATGGGATCTAATTAAACTAAAGAGCTTCTGCACAGCAAAAAAAAAAAAAAAAAGAAAAAGAAAAAAGAAAAAAATTATCATCAGAGTGAACAGGCAACCTGCAGAATGGGAGAAAAATTTTGAAATCTATTCATCTGACAAAGGGCTAATATCCAGAATCTACAAAGAACTTAAACAAATCTACAAGAAAAGAAAAAACAACTTCATCAAAAAGTGGGTGAAGGATATGAACACACACTTCTCAAAAAAGACATTTATGCAGACAACAAACATGAAGAAAACCTCATCAACACTGGTCATTAGAGAAATGCAAATCAAAACCACAATCAAATACCATCTCACATCAGTTAGAATGGCAATCATTAAAAAGTCAAGAAACAACAGATGATGGAGAGGATGTGGAGAAATAGGAATGCTTTTATACTGTTGGTGGGAGTTTAAATTAGTTCAACCACTGTGGAAGACAGTGTGGCGATTCCTCAAGGATCTAGAACTAGAACTACCATTTGACCCAGCCATCCCATTACTGGGTATATACCCAAAGAATTATAAATCATTCTACTATAAAGATACACTCACACATATATTTATTGCAGCACTGTTCACAATAGCAAAGACTTGGAACCAACCCAAATGCCCATCAATGATAGACTGGATATAGGAAATGTGTCACATATACACTATGGAATACTATGCAGCCATAAAAAGGATGAGTTCATGTCCTTTTCAAGGACATGGATGAAGTTGGAAACCATCATTCTCAGCAAACTAACACAAGAACAGAAAACCAAATAGCGCATGTTCTCACTCATAAGCAGGATTTGAACTATGAGAACACATGGACACAGGGAGGGTAACATCACACACATGGGGGCCTGGCATGGGGATGGGGGGCTAGGGGAGGGATAGCATTAAGGGAAATACCTAATGTAAATGACGGACGATTTGTTGATGGGTGCAGCAAACCACCATGGCATGTGTATACCTATGTAACAAACCTGCATGCTCTGCACATATATCCCAGAGCTTAAAGTATAATAATAATACAAAAATAAATATTTGATAGTGGGCAATTTATAAAGAAAAGACATTTAAACAGCTTATCAATTTTCAGGCTGTACAGGAGGGATGCTGGCATCTGCTTGGCATCTGGTGGGGCCTCAAGGAACTTACAATCATGGTAGAAGGCAAAGGGGGAGCCAGTACTTCACATGGCCAGAGCAGAAGGAAGAGAGTGAGTGGGGGATGGGATAAACACTTCAAAATGATAAGATCTCATGAGAACTCACTCACTATCACAAGAACAGCACCAAGGGCATGTTGCTAAACTATTCATGAAGGTTCCACCTCCATGATTCAATCACCTCCCCTCAGACCCCACCTCTAACACTGGGGATTACAATTCCACATGAGATTTGGGTAGTGACACAGATCCAAATCATATCAAACATTACGGGTTGAAAATTATTCTAAGTGCTTTTACATGTATACATTTATCAAGTCTTTAAAACAACTACATAAGGTAGTCACTAATATTATCATTCCTAGTTTTAAAGATTATAAAACTGAGGCACAGAGAGTTTATCTGGTACCAGAGTCCATGGTCATAATCATAATGCAGTATTGCATATTTTTCAAATAACATGTGCTTCTATATTCTCCTCCATCACTTGAGAACATTACCTCTGGTGGGTAGAATAATGACTGCTGTGGACACCTTGATTTTAGCCTCATGAGACTCGCTGCAGACTTCTGACCTATAGAGCTGTAAAATAATAGGTTTGTGTTAAGTCACTAAATCTACAATAATTTTTTATAGTGGCAATAGGAAATAGAAATCCACTACTATGGTGAGTATCTCTTAATGATTGGTCTGTTTCTCAGGTTTGCTGGGATGAAAGAAAGCTCAAAAATCCATGATTAGAAAAGCTCTGAGGTCCTTTTAGCTCTGAGATCATATACACATATATGATGTATATTTTGTAGCCACATGTGATAAATTCCCATCTTAACAGGCAGCCTTTAGGATGAGGCTTCATGAAAGGCTCTGACAAAAACAAGAGCAACACATTCCAATTATATCTGTGAGATAATACCAGGAACTTACAGTCAAATTAAGTGAAATTGATATACAGGGTCAATATTTTTATGTAGTCATATATATTCTGCAAAATTATTTAAAACATTAATAGAGGTATCAGCATAAACAAACAGGTTAATGAGATTTCTTCATGAGAAAAAAGAAGCTGCATCGATTTATATTTATTTATGAATTAAAAGATCTCTAGACTGGAGTCAGATCCTATTAGATGATAGTCTTAATTCAAAACGTGAATATATTTGAGAACACCATGTAAGTTGTTTTTTTTTTTTTTTTTTCTAATACAAATGGTCTTGCTCCAAGAAGGGTTAGTGCTTTAATAGTCCTTCTTCCATGTTTAGGATTTGTGTGTGCAAGTGTGTCTTTAATAACCTAAGATGATTGATTGGAACCAAAACAGACATGCATTGTATCAAAGGTGAGATGAGACAGACAAAGATGAGCTAATTGAGCCAGTTTCAATCTATAACATTACTAAGCAAAGTCTAAATCATGATATAATAAGGAGATTAATCTAGAAAAAAGCAGAGGATTATGTTAAATTCACAGAAGGAAAAAATATTTGTGCATAATTCTTTGTATAATCATTTGATGAGCTTCTTGAAAATTTCAAAATAACAGAAAATTTTGAGCCATTCTTACAGCAATATTTAGCTGACATAACTGATTTTGACATTGTCTTATATTTAGGTTGCATATGAAGGGAGTTTTCTCACTTACCTTCAGGGATATCAGGAGCAGGTTCAGAAATGAACAAATTGGCAAACACTTAGAGAGGTACTTGCTCAGGATCACATAAATTACAGTGTTTTATAATGCCTTACACAACACTGAAATCATTCAGAGAGTATCATGACAAGAAGCTAAATCTCAGCGGAACTTAAAAAACGTATTTTTAACATCTTAGAATTTCCAGCCCATGTGGAAAAGTAGATTCCATTTCCTAAAAAGACTATAATAACTGTGTGACTATTAGAACAGAGTTGCTTGTGTAGCTCAGCTGGTTTTTCCTGAAACTTATTACTGTACAAATCAAAATTGACTGTATGCATTTTACAAAAACATTGTGTTGTCTCGAAGTAGCATCTTCCATCAGAGGTGTGAGGTTAGGAAGTGCACTACAGGGGGTTAACAGTTGTTTATAAAACATGAATTTATAAAGCGTATATTGCATAATTGCAAAGGGGCAAAAGAGTGATCCCAAAAAACGGAAGTGAATATGGTTTTTCAAAGATCTGTTTAGACAAGCAAGACACGAATATAAAAGCAGGATGGAGAAAAATGAAGCACACAAACAAGTATATAATAATGTAACCTGGGCTATGGCCTTGAGTGCTGAGGAAAGAGAAGGTGGGGCAGATCAATGGAAGCTCAGTTAGTGAGAAAAGGCTGCTGAAGAGCAGGTCTGGAGTGGTCAGGCTGTGGCGTTCACAGGAGAGAAAGAAGCGCCTTCCAGGCAGATGAGAATGAAAATACTAATGGACATGTATTGTGTCAAAAATAGTCCTAGGTGCTAACAAAATATCACTGAGTAAAACAAACAAAATCTCCTTCCCTCATAGTTTACATTCTGTAAAAATAAGTAAAATGAATAGTTTTTTGTTGTTGTTTTTGTCTTTTTTTGTTTTTTACAGACAGGGTCTTACGCAGTTGCCCAGGCTAGAGTATAGTGGCACAATCATAGTTCACTTGGCTTCAAACACCTGGGCTCAAGTGTTTTTCCTGCCTCAGCCTCCTGAGAAGCTAGGATATAGATGTGAATCACCATGCCCAGCTAATTAAAAAAAATTGTAGATCTAGGTTCTTGCTAGGTTGCCCAGGCTGGTCTCGATATCCTGGTCTTAAGTGATTTTCCTACCTTGGCCTCCCAAATTGCTGGTATTATGGGCATGAGCCACTGCATCTGACCAAAATGAATGGTTTTTAGATGATGATAAGTGCTATGGAGAAAATAAAGCAGAAAAGATGATTTGGGACCATTGGGTGGGGGAACAACTTTAAATAAACTAATTAGGGTAGGGCTCACTCAGAATATGACATTGGTGTGAGATCATATGGAGATGTAAGAGCAGAGTGTTCAGGCAGAATGATCAGGCCCTGCGGCAAAATCATGCCTGATGTTTAAACAAGAATGGGCAGGAAAATGAGCTAAAGCAAGATGAATAAAACGGAGAATTGCAGGAGATGAGGCCAGAAAATGACAAAAGCCAGATAGTGTGAGATCACCTGGGTCATTTTAAGGACTTAGATGTTTACCCTGCATGACAGAGGGAGGCATTGCAGAGATAAAACAGAGGAGTAACATGAACTGGTTTATGTTTAATAGGATCACTCTGAATGATGTGCTGAGAATAGACTGTATGGGGTGAAAGTGGAAGGGGGAGCACAGGTGGCAAATGAGAAAGCTGCTGCAATAACCCATGAGATAGAAGCTGGTGGCTTTGATCTCAGTGGTAGTTGTTGTGGAGCTTCTGAAAAGTGGTCAACAAATCTATTATTTTGCAGGTAGAACTAACAGATTTTGCTGATAGATTAAAAATGTGGGAGAGAAGAGGGAGAGAAAGAAACAGAGATAATAAAGGAGAGAAGGAGAGAGAACATGAATGGAAATGAATTCCAAGCAACTGGAAAGATGGAGTTGACATGACCTGAAATGAGGAAGACTGCAGGAAGAGCAAGTTTGCAGTAAATATAAAATGCTTAGTTAAGGGCATGCTAAGTTGATGATGACTGTAGACATTCAGGTGGAGATGTGATTGGATACAAGTCTACAACTGAGGAAAGTTACATGAGGGAGATATAAATTTGCCAGTTATATGTACACATTGTATTTAAAGCCTTGGAATTGCATAAAGTCACTAAGGATTTAGTATAGATAAAATAAAGGTTCAAGTAACCAACTCTAGGACCCTCCAATGCTTTGGGGTTAAAGAGATTAGGGGAAAATGGCACATGCGATAGAAAGCAAGCAGCTAATTAGAGGCAGGAGAAAAGCCAGGAGGATTCAGTGCTCTGGAAGCCCAATGAAAAAACTACTTCAAGGAAAAAAAGACATTATGTCCAATGTTACTGAAAGGTTAAGTTGAGACTTGAGAATGTTTCATTATATTTGGTTATGTTGAGCTTATTGGTAGCTGAAAGACTTGGCAAGTTCTGATTACATAAATGTAGTCATCATTTTCCTATGGCATATCTGCCTGGGGATAAAATATGGTTCTGTTAATAATTTCAATAATAAAAGTCTCAGGCTTCTGGTGGTTTAAAAATCTGATGACCAATGTTTTGGTACACTCACCTTCAGAAGGGGGAGATTAATATTTTTCCTTTTGAGTGGGAGCTGGCCTTCATAACTTTCTCCTGTCACGTGACCAAAGTGAAAGCATGTGAAGTCCAATGGGACATAAAAAAAATTGTAGCTTTCTCCTGGACTTGACTGCAATCTCATGAGAAAGACATCAGAACTATCTAGATAAGCCACTCCCAAATTTATGACCCACAGAAACAGAGAATAAATCTTTATTGTTTTGAGACACCCAGTTTTGGGATAACTTGTTATTGTAGAAATAGATAACTAATACAGATTTGGGTGCCTGGAAGTGGGGTGCTGTCATAGCACATATCTAAAAATGTGGATTAACTTTGAGACTAACTAATGTGCAGGAGCTAGAAAGAATTTGAGAAGAGTGAAAGCTAATGTACCCTGACCAGGCTATTAGTAGAAGTCCGGACTTTTGAGAAGACTGTCAACAAGTCTCCAAGGAAAGTGAGAAATTTCTTCTTGGAAACTGGAGGAAAGGGGCCCTTGTTATACGGTGGCAGACACATTAGCAATATTGACACCTGCAATAATATGGAACGTATAAAATGTATCTAATAAACTAAATGGACTAGCTAAGGACATTTCTACACAGAATGTTGATTTTGCTGCTTAATTTCTTCTTTCTGCTTATAGTAAAATTTGAGAGGAGAGAGATGTTATAGAAAGTCCACTAAGTAAAAAGAAGCCAATGTCTCTGGTTTTAAAAATTCTTAGCCTCTAAAGGAGGCAAAAGATGTTAAAATTAGGAAACAGCTTCAGGGAAAATATCAAATCAAGGGCTCCACCAGGTCTAACAATGATGATAAAGGTGCAGCCATAAAATCTCTTATTAAGACATCAGAAAGATCAATGGAAATGCCTCAGAATGTCATTTTGTCAGGGAAAAAAGGCCTTTAAAAGATTTGAATGTCTCAGAACTCCCCTCAATCAAACATTATGGCTTCTAAGAAGCTTAAATATACTGTCCTTCAGCAAAAGTCTTAGATAGAGAAGGGCTTATCTTGTTTTGTAGATGTAGCTTTCTCTAATGAATTGGAGCCTAATAATATTCACAGGAGACCCACATGTTTTTAAAAGAATTTTATCAGCAGAAACACTGCCAGCTTGAACAGAAGGGGGTAGAAACAGCACTAAATAAATGGACTCCCCAAATTCTACTGACAGGAAGTAGGCTCAGAAAACTACTCAGCTACAAACACGATACCTTCCGTGAAAAAGAAAGGAAGACTCAGAAAGCAGAAAGGAGAGTGGAACCAAGAGCCATAGATAATTATTCCCTGTCCTTTTGTATTCCACTCAAGAAACAACTCATCCCAGATTTGATGTCAGAATTGGTATAAACCAGTGACTCCTGTTTATTTTCCATGTTCACTTATTTGAACAGGAGTGCCTACAGCAGTTATCTTGTGCCTATCCCACCACTGAAAATAGAGTATGGGGAGGGAGCGAGAACTTTTCTCTTTAGTTCACTGGTCTTCAGATCAAGAGAAAATACATCTGAGAAGCTTTGTTCACACCTCAATCTCATTTACATAACCACATCTGGGATTTCAAGCTATTAGTGTATTGAGATTCTTGTGGGGGGTGGTATGAATATATTTCGCATGTGGGAGAAATATAAATAAGATGTAGTCAGAGTATGAATAGTGAATTTTCAATATGTCTATGGCTTTCTTTGCTACTGCTCTCTTTAGGAAATAGAGTTTAATACTCCTCCCTTGAATGTGAACTGAACTTTGTGACTCATTTCTAATAAATAGAGTATAGTGGAAGTGACAGGGTGTGACTTCAGAGACGAGAATATAAAAGGCATTGTAGCTTCCTCTTTTTTCTCACTTGGATCATTTGCCTGGGGAAAGCCAATTGCTGTATCATAGGAGCACTCAAGCAGCTCTATGGAGAGGCATAGGATGTAGTGATGACTGAGGCCTCCAGCCAAACACCACTGAGTCTGGAAGCAGATCATCCAGCTCTAGTCAAGGCTTCAGGTGGCTGAAGCCTCAACTGACACTTTATTGCCACTTCATGAGAAACACTGAGCCAGAAACCACTAAAATTCATGATCTGCAGAAACGATGGGATGATAAATGTTTGTTGTTTTACGTTACAAAGTTTTGGGGCAAATTATTGTGCAGCAAGACATAATCAATACAAGGTTCCTCACCCTCCTTAAGAACCACTGGAACCCTAGCCCCTAAATTTTCCTTTCTGGTTTAAGAGACTAGTGGGAGGGGTGTGTGCCTGTGTGGGAGGGGACTGAGGCACAATCCAGGGATCCTGAATAACATTATCCCTCATGCTTCCATCTGGCCTTCCTCTTGTGGTCATGGGAGGCTTCATTCTCTGCCATCATCTGCCACTGGCATAGCGATATTCTTTTATCTTGTGCCAATACTCATCCCGCTGAGCTGGAGAAAGGCTACTCCTCCTCCAGAATGTGCTGCATTCTGTTATTAAAGTCACAGAAGAGAACACTTTTTTTTTTTACATATTTATTTTCCAGCCAGGCCTCTAAGATTGACACCTTTTTATTTGCCTGCTTTAGGTTTAAGCCCCTTCTTTCCTAGGAAGCTGACATACTTAGTTCCCGAAAAGCAAGGCTAGGTGGAGGGCAATCTGAGAGACAACACACCCTGAAGCACTCAGCATCCTCTCTGCTCTCTGCCTGCCAGCCACTGTTCATATCAGGGGTCTGCATATCCCCTCCTTCCATGTAATCCATCTTATCTCCAAGCTTAATGCCTGTATGGTTAAAACAAGGATGGTAAAGATCGTTTTTTAAAGTTTAAGAACTTAAGACATAGATGTTATTTGAGTGATATGATATAAAATATCTTACTACATATTTTCTTCATAGGGTAAAGTTTACCATTGTCATGAAGTTATTTATAATGATATCTAATGTTGTTTCTTGATGTAAAATGTCCTCAAGGGACCAATGGGAAAATAGTCACTCAGGGTTTCATGGATATCTCTGTGATACAACACCAAGCAATATGATCAAAATGACAACCCTTTAATTCTCCTGGGAAAAATGAACAAAAGTGACTTCTTACACAAATGTTGACAAACTTTGGGGCATTTGACTTTGCCATCATTACTGCCAAGGGTTATGCTATGGGTCAAAATTCAGCCACAATCATCTATAGGGGCTGCCCAGGGGTCTGTGAGCCGGCTTGGCATGAGAAGCCTACTCACATGGATGGTCTACACTGCATAAACTTTCTAAGGCAGGATCTCGTTTTACCAGTTAATTGTGAGACACAGTAAGGTAAGAGAATGCTAGAGAAAGGCATAGATTCAGAAACAGAGTCAAAAGAACAGTGGATTATGCAGAAGAACCCTTGGCACCTGCAGAGTAGAAGCAGAGCAGGGAGTAGAGTTAAGGGAAAGATGGACAGTGAGAGCTCTGTGGAGAGATGGGCTTCACCCTGTCTGCAAGTGTCAATTCTCTATGAGGCTTTATGGCACTATGGATGAGACTGATTTCCCATTTTTCTTACTTCTCACATGGCTTTACATTTAAAATTCTATCATTAGAAATAACCTGGGCATTTGGTTATTTTAGATGATGCGAATTGAGCACCAGTCAGCTCTTTCTTAGGGCCACCCATTAGCCTCATTGTGTCCAGTTTGTCTTCCATGTGCCTCCCCAGGTCCTCATAAAAATGACCCCTGGCTGGCCAGTCCTCTACCTCTATATCCAACTAGTAACAGTGAATGCCATTTATTGAGTGGGGCACTGTTTCTACCATATGTCATCCCCAATCCTTACATTGACCCAATAGTTTCCTTACTGAATCAACACATATTTATTTTAGGATTTAGGATCCCCAGTTTTAAAATGAGGAAACTGAAGCTCAAAAAGACCTTGGACTGGCCCAAGGTCACAGAGTTAATAAATGCCAGAGCTGGGATTCAAACTAAGAACTATCTGGCTCCAGTGATCCATCATTAAACCAATACTTTCCAAACCTGGCTCCAGATGAGAGTTGATTCATTCAGCTAGTAAATATTGAACAACCAATAGCAGTCACTGATCTAGGCACTAAGGATTCAGCAGTGAAGAAAACAGATAAAAATCCCTGTCTTCTTGGAGCCTATAACCTAAAAGTTGGAGAAAACAAATAAAATTGTTAGCTGAGGGCCCTAAAAACAAAGATTTCTAGGTGTTAGTCCCAAAGATAGTGCTTTTGCAGGTCAGGTGGTTGGGCTATGAAAACTACATTTTTAACAAGAATTCCAGCTGACATTTTGATACTTAGTCTTGGTTTGACTCTCCTGATCTTAAGAAAGCTGATACCTGAAAATGTTTAAATTCATTGTGGGTATGCCATTTAGGTCCTAGTATACTTGAATGCTCCTTACATAGTGTTTTCTTTAAATTAAATTTCAAGAGAAATAGTAAGATTCTCTTAAAATTACAGATTAACCCTGGGTAAGGCAATGCATACTGATCATTTATAGGGATCCTGCACAAGCACACATTTCTTTTTTTAATATTTTATATTTTTTTATTTTATTATTATTATACTTTAAGTTTTAGGGTACATGTGCACAATGTGCAGGTTAGTTACATATGTATACATGTGCCATGCTGGTGTGCTGCATCCATTAACACGTCATTTACATTAGGTATATCTCCTAATGCTATCCCTCCCCCCTCCCCCCACCCCACAACAGTCCCCAGAGTGTGATGTTCCCCTTCCTGTGTCCATGTGTTCTCATTGTTCAATTCCCACCTATGAGTGAGAACATGTGGTGTTTGGTTTTTTGTCCTTGTGATAGTTTACTGAGAATGATGATTTCCAATTTCATCCATGTCCCTACAAAGGACATGAACTCATCATTTTTTATGGCTGCATAATATTCCATGGTGTATATGTGCCACATTTTCTTAATCTAGTCTATCATTGTTGGACATTTGGGTTGGTTCCAAGTCTTTGCTATTGTGAATAGTGTCGCAATAAACATATGTGTGCATGTGTCTTTATAGCAGCATGATTTATAGTCTTTTGGGTATATACCCAGTAATGGGATGGCTGGGTCAAATGGTATTTCTAGTTCTAGATCCCTGAGGAATCACCACACTGACTTCCACCATGGTTGAACTAGTTTACAGTCCCACCAACAGTGCAAAAGTGTTCCTATTTCTCTACATCCTCTCCAGCACCTGTTGTTTCCTGACTTTTTAATGATCGACATTCTAACTGGTGTGAGATGGTATCTCATTGTGGTTTTGATTTGCATTTCTCTGATGGACAAGCACACATTTCTAAACATCAGATTAGTATTGGAGAGAGACTTAAAAGAGCCTTATACACTTACTAGCAAGAAAAGCACTAATTTTAAAGGAATAATCACAAGGTTTTCATAAAGGGATCTCTACTGGCTTGTTATCACTTTGAAATTTTGACTTTATAGGCACAATACATAAGAAGAAATAATGAGATTTGGAGGCCTGATCTTGGAAACACTAAATTTTTAGGTAGGGCATGGGGTGAGAGAAGACGGGCTTGAATCTAGCGATGAGGGTGGAAGGCAAGGAGTGGGGACAAGGGAGGTGAGAAGGACAAGTCGGAACATCTGTGAGAGGCCATTGGGTGCTGATACATGCTTTGACTTACTATGGGAAGTGATATGAAGTTATTTCATCCCAAACTGGGAAGGAGGAATCAGGCAATTAGAGCACATGGCTGCTCTGGGAAGAGGAATAGCAACTATCAAGTTAATTCATTTGCTCAGGGAATAAAGGACCCTGGTGAGTCACTGGTTCTAAGGAGGGTTTGCTTTGTTGTAAACAGGTAATTTCAAGGTCCAGAGCTGAAGACATGAGCCTTTGGGAGTAACCCTACTCTTCCTCTGATATTGTTCCCTGCATTTCCTGGATCTCCAGCCTTCTCTGATATTAGGTTGGTAAAAAAGCAATTGTGGTTTTTGCCATTGTAGAAGGTGTCATAGAAATGTGCTTGGCCTGTTCTAAGTGTGACCTGTCTTTGAAGTGCAACAGTGGGATGCTCAAATTGGGCCAGTGCCGTAGAAAAAATATTCTCAAACCCTGATACTAAAAGACTGCATTTGCCATTGTTTTTCTCTCCTTCAGCCAGGACTTAGAGTATATGTTGAATAACAACTATGCAAGAAATTACCAGCATGAGTCAGCCTTATTACAGATGAACAGTTCATCGCTAATGTATTTAACTGAAGTTCTTCTTGTTCTAATGAATTAACTGCACTTAAATGGCCTGCAGCTGAGAACTTGTTTGGGGAAAATGGCTTGGCTGCAAATCCCATCTGTAATCACCCCTCTAAAACAGTTAATACTTGTGCAATATTTAAATCAGGGATACTTTCCAATTCCATTATCAGAACATCTTAAAGGAATGTAAACAATTTGTGATTTTTTTTTTAATATGGCAATACACAATGCATGCAGATGACCATTAGGGATTAATAAAAATAAATGTAAAAGGCCTCTGTGATTGGGATCTCTTTTCCCCTTTAGACTGCAACTGCAGTATTTCTGTGCAGCCTAATTACTTTGCCTGAGAAAATTCCAGCTGATTACTCTATCTACAAGGCACAAAATCACATTGTAGATCAGCTCTAAATCTTGTGAAGTCAAACAACTGTTATTTGATTTATCCACAGTTTGGAGAAAAGAGATACACATGTCTAAAGTGATTCTTTGGAGTTAATATCAGAAGTGCCAGAAGATCATCTAATGTGCAGTTCATCATGTAGTGATTTGAACAGCATTTGGGAGCCTCATGTCACTTCATTGAAGGAACACCTATAAATAAACACTGCTTAAAGTGTTTTGCCTATGAGCTAACAATGTCAGTGATGTCTACAGAGAGCTAAACCACTTTAAGAATCCACAGCAACTTCTTTTGGTCGCTGAACACAGATTACAGTTCTTTCTTGTCATATCCTATTTTTAAGAGGGCGCAGCCAGGCTACACTGACCTTGAGCACAAAAAGACTCACTTTCAATGATTCTGGGGTTTTAATAAGATGCAGAAACATAGATGCTATTCAAACTTGGCCAAGATCTTAACACGACATTGTACCAGTTTTAACTTCAGTTAAAAAAAAAAAAAGAGTCTGAAGATTGGATGGAGTCCAGAGAGGAAAACAAGAGTGATAAGTAAAGGGTAGGAAAAGTAATTGTTCCTAGAAAAATATAAAAGGATTGGGACTTTTTATTCTGAGGAAGATGGGAGCTGGAAAGTTCTTTAAAAATCATCTTCTTTTCCATGACAAAGTATTATAAAGCTAGATTGAAAAGTTGTATATAGAGGTAGTGCATTATATATACAAATACATATAATCTAACATATAAAATTAGATAATATATAGCATATGTTAATATATAGATATTAACATATTTATGTATATATATATTTTAGAGAGCACAAGGAAGATGTATTTTCTGGTTTGAAGTTTTTCATATGCAAAAAAAAGCCACTGAGGGTGATAATGATTCCCTTTTCCCCTTATTGTTCTTTAAAAATCAGTGGTTTCAGAATCAGGACTGACAATCACTGGGTTATCTCCACAATTAACTTTTGGTCTTATTTCAGTCTTGGTGCAATTTCCCCTAGACATTTACTCCTGTCTCCTACCAGAGGCTTACTGACTGTGATAATTTTTTTTTTCTAATCCTGTCTGTGGAAGTATATATATTTTTTCTTCAGATTTTTCATCTACTTAATATATTAGGTGTAAAATACTTGATGTAGCTTTATGAAGCATGTTGCTGTGAAATTCTGCATATCTACACTTGTTCAGTCAAACCATACATTTGGGAACACCATTCTCCTTCATTTTACCTACTGCAAACTAGCAAAAGGAATATCTTTAACTTGCTGGTCCACTGAGTTTCCTTTCTGACTTCTCTTGCCATGGAGATAGATACACAGGCTGTAAAAGTATTAGTGATTAATTCTGCCTATGCTACATAATTGAATTCTCACCTAGGTAAAGGTCTTTTGACAACACCATTATATAATGTAATTAGTCAAATAGCTTTTATAAACTGGGAAGGGAAGAGATTAATTTCTCTTTGAATGAAATATGTGTCGAGATCATTATGAATAAAGGGCATCTATCTATCTATCTATCTGCCTGTCTGGGGAAGATATGTATATTTGTTGAATTAATGAACTGTTTTGAAAATAGTGTTTTTGAAACACAAATTACCCTCAAATCACATATACTGGTAGAAGTTCATTTTGGCTATTATGCTGATTTCTGCCTTTTCTCAGAGGGTCACCAGAGTGTTTTGAGTTCAATAAAGACATTTGTTTTTCATCTTGAATGGGTAATCAACTCCACCTTCGCTCTTCCCATAACCATGAGGCAAAATAGTCAAGGATATTTGCCTACCAATGAAAAATCACTCAATAGCAGTAGCTCAAGTATGATTCCATAAATAATAAATCAAAGGCTCCCACTATATCAACCCCTTTTGTACCCTATTGAATCATTGCACACTTTAAACTCTTCTGTGGTGTGTTTAACAAATCTTTAATCATGTCCCAAAGTATTACTCATAATTTAGTCTGAAACACTTAGCAGTTTCATAAAGTTTTGCATTCTGACTCCAAAGAGAACTCTGAGAACAAAACTGAAATGTAAAATGTGTTTTCTGTAAGTGGAAGCGATATGTATTCATAGATTACTAAACGTTTTTATACTTCTTTCCATTTAATAGTTAAGGCTTTCTTCCCTGCTCTTGGCTATTAATTTTTGTGGTAGCCAACAGATACTAAGCCCCTTCCTGCTCACTTATAATGAAGTCTATAGATAAGAAAGAAGAAAATAGAAGATACTTGTATATGGACCTATCTGGTGTCCTCGAGTGTTTGAGTGTTCCCGTTAATAACTTTGTAGGTGTAGAATTCAGACTATTAAGAACATGGCACTGCCATGACTGGCTGGCTATGCAAGCTCTCCCATAGTAGTTGCAAAGACAACTATTCTAGGAAGTAGGGTAAATATCACTAGCCATCAAGAAATCATGTGTGTCTATTAAAGCAGCTGCTCAGTTGATTATCTCTTCTCTTTCCTTTATCTCTGTTTCCCTTGCTCCCAACTTCTATTCCATTCTCAGTCTTAGCAATTCAGCAAACTTCACATCTTCTTTTACCTCTCTCCTAGCCCAGCATCCTTTCCTAAGGTGTTGATTGTCAGCAGATCCAGCCCCTCAGACTGGAAGCACTTGTTCCTTTTGTTTCTGCTCCATGCAGACAAGTTGACTAAAGAGAAGTAGGAGTGATGAGAATTATGACTGAGATCTGTCCCATTGTTCTATATCCATCTACTGCACAGCTTGCTTCTCATGCTTTAATCTACATTCTTAATTTAGAAACCATCTCATATTTGTGTCTGTGAATAAAAGTTGAAGGCAAAAATTTTTTTTGAAAACATTTTTAAAAGAATGATAAATAAGATTTCTGAAAACACTTTAGTCTTTAACATCAGGTGGTATATTTAATGTAGTCTATTAGTGCTCCCTTGCTACATAAAAATTTACATTACTATCTCACAGTTTCCATGGGTCAGGAGTCTGGGTGTGGCTCAGTTGGGTCCTCTGCTCAGGATCTCACAAATCTGCAATCAAGGTGTCAGCCAGGGATGGGGTCTTATTGTGGTCTGGGGGTGCTCTTCCAAGCTCATGTGGTTGTAGGAGTGGAGCTCTCAGCTCCTATGCCACCCCATAGGAGTTTTGAAGATTTCCAAATCTCTTGGAAATTTTCAACATGGCTGTTGCTTTCTTAAGGCCAGCAGGATAGTATTTCTTTGACTTTCTTCCATCTCTGACCTTGATACCCTTTTAGTGGCTCACCAGACAAGGTCAAGCTTACCCAGAATAATCTCCTTATTGATTAACTTAAAGTTAACTGATTAGGGGCCTTGATTACATCTGCTAAATCTCTCATCTATGTCATGAAATATAACATAATCATTGGAATATGTCTTTTTTGTATATCCTATTGGTAAGAAGCAAGTTACTGATACTATCCACATTCAAAGGATGGGTAATTCTACAAAGGTGTGGACCACAGGGGGTCATTTGAGAATTCTGCCAACCACAGGGAGGAATCAAGAGGTTCAATAATTTTCCTATTTTTTCCCTGCCATCCTTGCAACAATTGCCCCTTCCCAAAGCACACATAACAATTATTTCTACCCTCCACATCATCAAGAATGACTTCAATATCCATTTCCACAAAGACTTCAACATATTATCTTCACATTTCTTTTATTTATCCAACTCTAAAGACTTCCCTTGAATATCAGTCAAGCTGCACCCTTTCCTTGTCTTAATCCTCATCATCAACTGTACCAAATCAGAAATGTTAAATGCAAATATCCCACTTTCTAACCTCAAACTCTTATCCATCATGTTCTTCATGTCCTCACTCCAACCACACAGTCAGTACAGACTAAATACAGGGAGTCAAGGGACCTATGACTTCTCCATTGTCTTCCAGATTCTCAGCCACCTCTTGGCTCTCTCACTTTCCTAACCAGCCTAGACCACCTAGTTCATTACTTCAGTCACTCTCTCATCAACATTCTCAATTACCTTGAGAACCCCAGAATTTCCACTGTACCTCTAAGGCTGCAAAGCATTGGTGGAGAAATCAACTAAATGTATCCCTTAGAGTCATTACAAACTAATTATAGGCAAGCCTCTTGATTACCTGAAAGTTTTAACTTCTATTTGTTCTCTCTCCTACTCCCCTCATGGATGCTGTATCTTTGGCATTCTATTCAAATCTCCTACCCAACTCCCATATCCTTTAATTTAAGCAAACATCCTCTTTTGAGGATGACCGCCATGTCCTCTAAGGTCATTAATTATCCTCTTTATCTTCAATACAGTCAATCTTCCTTCCCTTCTTAATCTTTACCTTCTTCCTATGAATATTTTATCTGCTACATAAGAATGCAACACCTCATGCCCCATCCTGATCTATTACCATAGCTCTCCTTCAAATCCTCATTAGCACCCACTGAGTTTGAGGAAATTAACTCCTCACTGGTCTCCAGTATTTGCCACTGCTAGAACACTGCATATAAACTGAAAATATCACTTTGTTGCCACCTAAAGATCTGTAATAATTCTCCTTTGCTTATAAAACAAAAAGTACATGATAGCATATAGGGCCCTCCAAATACATCTCTTCTAATACTCTACCTGTCCTATACTCTCACTTTATATGCTAATGTTAGTGAACCTCACCCTCCAGCTTTAATTCTGTGGGAGTTTGCAGTATTTGTGCAAAATATTTATGGCTCATACTTGTGAAAGGAAAATACTTCCCTAATTCATTATGTTAGCTTGGCTATATGACTTTAGCCAATAAAATGTGGGTGAAAGTGTCTGTTGACATGTCAAAGAATTAAGTGCCACTGAATCATTTAACCATTTTGTTTTTCCCCCTTGTTGTGAGGCTGGGTGTCCCAAATTAGAGGCTGCTCTTTCAGTTTGGGTCCCAAAATAAAGAGGATGTGGAGCAGCCAACAAACAAACAACATTGATGTAAGAAATACACTTTTGTTGTTGTAAGCCATTAAAGATTGAGGGTTATTGTAGTACAGTCTAGCAAAATCTAATACAAAAATTGATGCTTCCATGACAAAACCTAAAATATGTGGCTTTGGATTCTGGGTCATGTGTGGGTGTTGCCTAACTGAGGAAATGTGTTTTGTCACTATACTCCCAGACTCCACTCTGTAAAATGGTCACCCATAATAACTCAGAAGTCCGAAGTAATGTATCTAATGAATGTGTGGCTTTAGGAAAATAAAGAGGGAAAAAGACTGTTGGTAACATGGGTGTTATTGGCTACATTTGTCAAAGTACCATAAAAAAAAGATGAGCTCAGAAAAGAACCAGCTGATTTGCACAGAGTTAAAAGGAATATAGAAAATCCAGAAATTATGTTATGTGCAGAGTTTGAAGATACATTTGATTGTCATTTTCAACTAGAGAGATACAAATTTAGGTTGGTGAAAGCCAAGGACCAATCAAAATTCAGCCTGATGATATGGTCTGAATGAAGGGTGTGGCAAACAATGTTCCTGCTACAATTTCTAAATTGATTTGGAGAATGCAGTTAATCTTGGGCCCCAAAACTTTTAAAAAAGGAAGCAGGTATAGAATGCCGTTGAGTCTTTAAGAAGGGCACATTCTCCAGTGCCATCTTCTGATGTAGCCAATGATGATAAAAGAAAGAGAATGGGCCTCCCAAAGAGTGGAGCCAAAGGTCACAGAGGATGATGAACTGGAGAGCAACTCCTAGGCTGTAGAACTCGGGCCCCATCAAGAAACCTTTAGTTCTCCAGCATAGGGACCTATTGTAACATCTGCCTCATGAATTTTTTGAATGCTATTGACAGTGGCTGATGAATGTCTCCTGTTTTCTTCTCTCCAAATGGGAGAGCATAATCTTCCTGTTCCACTATTACATACGGGATATATGAGGAAATACAATTTATCTTTTTAGTTCACAGGTCACTAGATTGAGAAGAGTCACGTCCAGATTCGATACAAAAATTACCAAGAGATCCTAGATTTTGAGCCTGGATGAGACTTCTGGGAGAGGGAGCAGACTTAGCACGCACAATGGAGAGATATGAATATTTGTGACCTAGACACCTGTACTTTATTTGTTTGAAATATTTGCTGTTACTGCTTATAGGATGCCTATACTTCCTTGCCTCATTGAAATCAGGCTTGGACATATGACTGTTTTTGGTGAACAAGATATGAGAGGAAATGAATTCCTGAGCAGCTTTAGGGAGCCACTGTGTCATTTGGCTATTTTCTCTTTACCTCTCCCTTGAGGCAAGTATGTCTTAGGTGGGTACTGCTTTTTCAGCCTGGGGCTCACAATGAAGAAGATTGGAAGGAGATACAGCCAAAATGCGATAGACATTAATGTAAGCAAAACAAACAAACAGAAAACAAATCTATGTTGAGATTCTGGAATTTGCTCCAGGGTAATCTAGCGAAAGCTGATTTATACACCCTCTTTGCATCTTGGCTTTGATGCTTTCTTTGTCTGCAACTGCATTCCTATTATTCTTTGTCTATTTCACACATATTGTCTAAGACTTAACTCATTTAGAAAGTTTTCTTTGAACTCCCAGACAAGGATAAAAGCCTCTCAAGCCTCCCAGGGCACCTATGTATGCTTTTCCATTTAAACCTACCATATGATTTGAAAACCATTAGTTATGGAAAGTCAGAAAACGTGGTCTTAATCTTTATAGTACTACTTCAAAATGGCACAGTGTCTATGATGGCTTTGTGATGTGTCAACCTGTCTAGGCTGAACTGCATTTTCCAGAATTTTCTTTCTTGTATATTTCCTGTTAGGGTGGGCAACAAGGAGATCCTTGGAAAGTTTGGAAGGTGGAAGGGAGGCAGCTGCCATTTTGTGGCTCATAAATGTGGCTCAACTGCTGACTCACCTCTAGCATGAAGCAGAGCTGGGCCTGCAATTGTTCTGCCTTCCTCTGGTCCTCCTTCAATTTCTTTGTTTCTTAGGTCAGGTGTGTGGCAGGAGGGCAGTGGTGGGGAGAATATTTAGTACTGCCATGAAGGGTCCCAGCTTCTGTGAGATACTGTCATTACCAAAGTCAGAGATCACAAAAACAGATAAGGTTTCATTTTGTTCTTAAGGAGTTCTGTTGCCAAAATATCAGGTGTTTGGTTTAAGTCTCATTGCTCGCTGCACAGAAAGCCAGTCACTGAGACAGTAAGTATTGCCAGAGAAGAAGGCTTTTTTGGCTACTACAGCCAAGGAGATGCAAGGTCATTCTCAAATCTATCTCCTCAACTGGCTAAATTTAGGGGTTAATATAGCAGGGAAAAACTATAACTACATATGGGCAAATGGTAATTAGGTAGGGCTATGGAAGAGGAGTTGGTCAGCAGCAGGCATCAGGTGGTCAGTTATGCAATCATGCCAGGTGAGAGGTCTGGAGTATCACTACTCTCTGGGAGACCTGATAGTTGGTTTCCTGACAAAGGAGCTCAGATAAGACAAATTTAAGTTGCTCAAGTTTTAAGACTGGAAAGGTCAATTTCTATGTTTGTTCAAAAGAGACTATAAACATCAGTTCCATGGGACAGTTGGGCTGGTTTCAGTTCCAGCCTGCTTGTGATCTTCCTTTCCTGAATGTCTGTCCTATGAATCCCAAGCTCTTGAATCAGACTCAGAGACAAGGTTCCTATAGAGATTTGATTTAATAGGCTTCCCAAATTATTTTGTAAGCCAATTCCATGTAACAAATACATACATATGGTGTGTGTATATGTGTTTATAAATATGCACACATACATATAATGGCCTGGGGTGGTTTGGGAAGTATGTAACACTCAAAATCAAAAAACTGAAAACAAAGGGAAGGAGTAAAACAACATGAATCTGTAGTTGTAAAGCTTTCTGAGAGGAAGCCCAAATAGGGCTCTGTTAAATGGGATAAAGATGTTGGCCTTTCTTTTAAGGCCAATAGGAAGGCACCAAAGTATTTGAAGCAGGAGGTCAATATGATCATAGTTGTTTTTAGAAAACGTGACTCTGCTGCAAAATGGAGAACTGATTGAGTACTAAGCACACATTACACAGGTAGAAGAGTTAGGTGGCTCTGGGGTCATCCAGTCAAGGGATAAGAGTAGTTTAAGCCAAGTTATTGATAGTGGAGATAGAGAGTGTTAGATATTTAAGAGATAATTAGTAAGTATAGTTGGTAGGATTCAGTGATGGTTTACATATAAAGGATAGAGGAAAAGAAATTCTCAAGGAAGGCTTTTGGCTTTTAGGTTATGTAACAGGATGAATGGTAGTGTCATTAACTGAGATGACTAAGTATGAGTGAATAATAAAAATGTACAGACTATGATGTGTTTGCATTGCAAATGCATTCAAGTGAAGTTAACAAATAAGTAGCTATGTTCTAGGCACTGTATCAGTCAGGTTTCAACTAGAGAAGCAGAACCAGTAGGAGATACACCTACATAATACATGTTATTCCATCTGTCTGTAATGTCCTCTTGCCCACTCCACATGACTTAATTAATGTCTATTCCTTTTTCAAAAATCAGGCCAGGCTGGGCATGATGGCTAATGCCTGTAATCTCAGCACTTTGGGAGGCTGAGGTGAGAGGATCACTTGAGCCCAGGAGTTCAAGATCAGTCTGGGTAACACAGCAAAACCCCATCTCTACAAAATAATTTTAAAATTAGCCTGGTGTGGTGGCATGTACCTGTGGTCCCAGCTACTTGGGAGGCTGAGGCAGGAAGATCACCTGAGCCTGGGAGTTTGAGGCTGCAGTGAGCCATGAATGTACAACTGCACTCCAGCCTAGGCCACAGAGCAAGACCCTGTCTAAAACAATAACAAAAACAGAAACAAATAATAAATCAGGTCAGTTATTAGTTTTGATTATTAAGCAACATATCAAGCTTTTTAAAAAGTGAGAAGTTCACATTATTGCCCCACCCAAGGTAGGATGGCATTACAAAATTATTCTTTATGACATTTTCTTTGAATTTCCTTAAAGAGTTAATTCCCTTCCTGGATTTCAGTTCAGATTTGCTCATAACTCTCCTAAAATGTAGCCATTGTTTATTATGGCACTGTCATGTAGGAACATTTTGTGGAAGAGATTAGGGAATTGAGCTCAAAGATAAAACCACATAAACAATAATATGCATAATACTTTAACACGAACAAAGTGATTGATTATTAATGTTTTCTTATACTTCTGTAAGCTACTTGAGGGCAAGAACTTTATTTTGTTGTTCATTTTAGTGTTCTGAAAATAACTAGTATCTTGTTTTGCACATGGTAGATGTTCAATAAATGTTTGGTATATTCCATTTGTTTCTGTTATAGCATGTATTACAATCTGTTTTTACCTTTATTTTCTTATTTGCTTTCATGTTTATTTGTGGCCACCCATGAATAGAAGGCAAGTTCCATGAAGAAGTAAGCTTGTCTGCTTTGTTTACTGCTATATCATTAGTTCTTTGGACAGTGTCTGGCACTTAACAGATATTTGTTAAATGAATAAATAACATGTATAAAAATATGTGGGTTGTAATACATGCTACATAAATTTAAAAATACATTTTGGAATATGTACACGTTCAAAGTGAGGAAAAACTGCTAATTTCTTTTCAAATCAGCTTTGTAGGGCCCAAGGGAAAACTTATTCTTTGCCCTCTGAAGGTTTGCTGAAAAATCAACCCACAAAAGGCAGATTAATAGGAGAAAAGGCACACACATTTATTTCATGTGTATACCCAGGAGCCTTCAGAATGAAGACCAAAAGATACAGAGGAAATTGTCCATTTTTATGCTTAGGTTTAATAAAGCATGGGCAGCATGTGGAAATATGATTGGACAAAAAGGTCTTGCTCCAGACAAAATGAGAGTTCCTCCCTTCCCACAACTCCCTATGACAAAGGGGTAAGAACTAATGCAAATAGGCTGAGTAGGGAAATCCACCAAGGCCTGACTGTCTAGATTCTTCTTGGCCAACACTCTGAGCACTTATTCCTTCCTTCTGGATGTGGGGCAGGACCTTCTCTGTAAAGGTGGTCTTATGACCTGTAGTCAAACAAGGAAGGTCAGATCATTTCTTAATGGACAATTCTTACACAGAAAGCCAGAGGGAATGTTAGTGTGATATTTTTATGCTTTATGGCTGGCTTTGGAGGGAAGGGGTTCTGGTTTCTATGATCCAGAAAGAGGGATTCTAGTTTCCATGGCTAGCCTCATGGGAGAATGACTGAGAGACAGGAGGACAGGAGAAGGTCAGGGAGAAACTTTTGCTTCTGAGGCCTTTATTTTAGGGTATTATCTTCTGAGCCACAACAGTTTCTCTTCCAATTAATAATAATTTTTTTAAAAAATCCATGCAAGAGGAGTACAGGACTTGAGAAACCATCATGAGAAAATTCTATAGGCATGACTATTTCTCTCTAGTTTAAAAAATAAATCTAATGCAGCATAAATAAACATGTCATATTGAATGACACAAAGCATTATCCAAAGCACAGGGGGTGTCTTAGAAGGTAAGTTTAGTGATATTGTAATATGATTACATCGTTTTGAAGTTTCATTACTTTTTCATCTGAATGAATATAAAACCTAGAATATTAATACAATGAAGACTGGCAGTTGATGACCCTACAGAGACTGCTCTGAGTTGCTGATAAAACATAGATTGTGGTACCTCCAATCTCAGAGTCATTTGCAGGTGTCTTGTCTGTAATCAGAATTTGCAAGTAATGGAGTATGAGCTCTTCTCTGGCCATTGTTATTCAAAACCATCACCTGCCAGTGTCTACAATCTTAAATGATCTGTCTCATCAATCAAACCTCCCCTTCCTATGGTCACAGTACTCGAGGATCAACAAAGCATGTGAAATCAGCACTTTACGTGCTCCTTGAGAGGGCGCTGCTTCAGGCAAGATGAGAGTCCCTCCTTTCCCACAACTCCCCATGACAATTTACAGCCCATTCTGCATTTGACTTCTTCAAATACCTTCCTTCAGATATAATGAGGTCCCCTGGGGTTGAAAGGTGAAAAGGGATTTTGAGGAATGCCATTTTCTTTTCTGATGCCTTGGTGTCTGAGTGCCATGTGGAAGATTTAATACCAACTCTATTCCTCCGATGCATATGACAATATAATATCCTCTAATTTCATCTGTTATGTCTTTGTACAAGCAGGAAAAATATTCTTTACAGCAGGACTACAAAATTACACACATTACAATTGAATATTCGGTATTAAAATAGGTTTTCCTGCTTGTTAGGCAAAAGAAGAACTGAAAGTTGTTTTCATTTTTATTTGGTACTTTATATACTGTGGGGCTGAAAGAGCTGGATTGGGTAATTTTACAGGTCCTTAAATATACATGGCTCATGGATATTTGATAGGAATATGGTGATGCAAAAGTTCTTTCAAGTAAACAATGGATGACTCCAATCTAAATCATTTTTTAGTGATATTAAGGGGAAAGATAAAGGGTAATTGAATTGCCTTTAAAAAAAAAATCAGCATCTGTTTTGCTTTTTACCACTTTTAGCCATCCAAAGTTGACCACAGTTGTGATCAATCCATATAGTATTCACTGAAGTGAATTTTTTAAGTACATGAAACTACCTGGCTTCATGTCTGTCCAAATGTGACCATTTGTATTGCAAAAATAGGAGCTGCATTATTTGCAGAATGCCGTACACTCCATGTCCACTAGTAAATAAAAGCTCAATGCAACTGAAAGTGGCTTTCCATCATTAAAAAATAAAACCATATATTCAGCATCCACCTGACCTTCCACTGGGGTATGACTTATTTACTTTATACCACCTGCTTATAAAGAATTCTTCATTCTCAGTAACCGATAATGGCACAGCCCACCTGATAGATGGCAAGTGGACATATAAGCAAATATGTACTCTTTGTTTTTCTCAAATATGATGCTGCATGTTCATGAGACGTGTCCCTCCTTCCTGTGGGAATAATCTGTGATAACCCATTCTTGCCCACTTTTCCTTGTGGAAAAAAAGGCAGGTGACAGCACTCAAATCTAGATGCTCAAAGCAGAATTTTATCCCACTAAAACTGGCTTTCCTAGATGGGAATGGAGCTTACCATCTTGATCTCACAAAAGGCCCTGAATCAACAAACACAGTTAGAGTAGTGCCCTAACACACCTTTTTCCTTTCATCACCAAGGTGCCTGATATTATTCATCTTATCATACAAAGAGATGATTAACTTGTATCTTTGAATAAAGAATGCATTGCACAACGTGCATGCACACACACACGCATACACACACAATGTGAATAATAATTTAAGGATAGCTGCTTTCTCACTGACTTTGTCACTGGGTTCACTACCAACCTTACAACTACACAGAAACACACAATATACTTGAGAAGAGGGGAAATATTTATTTTCTTGGTCCCAGCAGAGCTTGTGAGTAATAGCATAGGCAGCACTCTACATATATTTCTCTTGGCTTAATATGAGGCATAAGAATAGACTAAGTGACAGAAAGAAATATAAAATGTAACAAATGTTACAAGTTATGAAAACCTTGGTTTTGAGTCTGATGGAGGAGAGTACCAATTAATACTCTCAGAGAAATAGAGGACAATGACTTCACCCATCCTTAGTCCTTTCCCTTATCTTTCTTGGCCATAACTAAAAAGTGACTAAATAGAACAAATTAACAGCTTTCACACTCCAAATCAACAATGCATTATGTTATGTAGTGCACTGTAAATCACTGGAAAATTAATAGGTTTTCTTGTATTCACCATCACCAAACTATATCTATGTCATTATGTAAAACTCTTCCATGTTTTTGCTTGTCCTCAAAACTAAAAGTGTTACTAGAAAGAAAAGGGTCCTATCCAGACCCCAAGAGAGAGGATTCTTGGATCTCACTCAATAATTCAGAGTCCATAGAATGAAATGAAAGCAAGGTTATTAAGAAACTAAAGGAATAAAGAATGGCCACTCCAATAAAGAATGGCCACTCCATAGTATAAATGTACTCCAACTGAGTACATTTATAGTTTTTTTTTATTATAAGCTAAACAAGGTGTGGATTATTCATCAGTTTTCTGGGAAGGGGGTGGGCAGTTCCTAGAACTGAGGGTCCCTCCCCTTTTTCAACCATATAGGGTAACTTGCTGACATTGCTATGGCATTTGTAAATTGTCATGGCTCTGGGGAGAGTGTCTTTTATCATGCTAATGCATTATAATTAGCATATAATGAGAAGTGAGGATGACCAGATGTTACTTTCATGGCCATCTTAGTTTTGGTGGGTTTTGGTGGGCTTATTTACCACATCCTGCTTTATCAGCAGAGTCATTGTGACCTGTATCTTGTGCCAACCTCCTGTCTTGTCCTGTGACTAGGAATGCCTAACCTCCTGGGAATGCAGCCCAGTAGGTCTCAGCTTTATTTACCCAGCCTCTACTCAAGATGGAGTCACTCTGGTTAGAATGCCTCTGACAAGAGTACATCTTTTGTATTGTGTACAAGGTCTTTCTAATTCATGTTCCTACCTGAATCTGCCTCTCTACTGCTGCTGCTTGAAATAAGTACAAAGAATGAGGTTCAGGCCTCAAGTGTTAATGTGTCCTGCTATGACCAGGCCCAGACAAAACAGTAAGGGAAACTCAGCATGTCAACCTAAGTATGTCCTCGGTGAATTCTCTTCTTCCAGAATCCCACTTTAGATATTTTTCCCATCACTGGGTTCACTTGTTCTATAGCAAAGTCCTCACTTTTAGCTGTCAATTTGCTACAATGACAAAGGAATAAAAGAATCATACGCTTTTAGAGCCAGAGAAATTAGAGACAATCAGGGGCCTCATTTTCGGACGAAGTTATTGAAGTTGAGCCAATGACAGTATTAACAGTCAAGATTAGAAAACTATATCTCCTGACTCCATGAACACAGTGGCATCTGTTAACATGCAGTCACATATGACCCAGTGTGACAGCAGGGCTAAATGTCTACTAGTTTAAATGTATCATGAGGATTTAGTATTTTGTTCTATTCCAGACCATAGGTCTGTCTGAGCACATCTGTATTAGTCTTCAGAATATTAAAACATCTCAATTTCTTCTAATAAAGCTTTGAACTGCCCTTCACCTGTGTCATTTATTCAATCAATGTACAACAAAGCCCACTGAAAAGTGTACTAGGTACTGAAAATAAATAGGTACATTGTACACTTCATACTCTGAGATAGATCAGAAGAAACAAGGACAAAAAATGTTAAGAGGTAGGAAATTAAAAGAATCCATATATGACAGAATCTATTTTATTTTTTTAATAAAAAAATATGTGGTCTCATGTTGAGAATGAGGGTGATGGGACATAGTTGGAGGTTTAGAAAAATAGAAGAATCTATTTTTTAATAGAAAATATGTGGTCTTACATTGAGAATGAGGGTGATGGGGTACAGTTGGAAGTTTAAAAAAAATAGAAGAAACTGTTTTGAAGATGAGAAAGAACATCTTAGGCATTAGGGGTGATTTAAAGATGACCCAGCAGAGCAAAGATTCTGCTCTGCTCTCAACTCTGGAACAGAACAAGAGGAAAAGAACATTGTCCTTGCAAAGTTCCATTGATATTGTAAGTCCAAATATGTTGCCAAAGTCCAATATACACTCATGTGACTAAGGAATTGTTTTTAGACCTTGAGAGAGTACACGAAATGTTTAGTCATCAGCTAGCAATTTAGTTCAGGAGAAGATGGGAGAGGAAATAAAATTTAGGGGTTAATTATGAAGCAGAAGAAAAGGTATTCGAGGATCTGTAAATCAACATGAGCTTCAAGGGAAGATTCAGTAGAAATTAAGAAAAGAGTGTGATAGGTAACTGTGGTCTAAGGGAGGTGGATTTTAGAAGTTCAAGATGATGACAAATTATGGCTCTGAGAATGGCTTATTGAGGTAGAGAATGGTGAAATACATTTAGGAAGAATTTTTAAAACTATATAATAGGGTACTAAATAGGCCACAAATGTGACCTGGACATGCATTTAGAACATTAAGAACACAAACAGTGACCTGGAAGTTGGTGAATGTCAGCTAGGAGGATAAGAAGAAAGTACATCTATTATTTATTTATATATCAGGTACTATGCTAATAAGTGGAATATGATAAATGAGAGCTTATAGCTTACATTGCAGTCATAAACAAGTGAATTTTCAAATATCATATTTTAAGATAGTGACAATTACTATAAAACTGAAGCATGGTAATAAAGAATGACTGAATGGGGGTCCCACTGGAAAAGGAACATCTCCTTAAGGAGGTGACATTTGAGCTTAGGCATGAGAAGAAGCTGGCCATGCTGAGATCTGGGGAAAACATTCTACCCAGAGGTAAAACATGTAGAAAATGTCCAAGACAGGAAAAGTTTGATGTATTTAAGAAAGAAGACAGCCAGAATGGCTAAAATGTAATGAATAAAGTCAGAAAAAAAGTGAGGGTCAGATCTCTGGGGCATTATTGTCCATGAGAAGAAATTTAAATGTCATTCTAGGTACAATTGGAAGCCATTAGTAGCTTCCAGTGGATGCAATTAACTTCAAAGTGGCAAGGATTATTAAACAAAAGTGAAAAGTCATAGTCTCAAAATGACAGAGGAGAGCTAACAGAATATTGTACTTTCTGCTTGTTCTATGATATTGAGGGAAAATGGGAAGAGGTGGGGAGACACAGGAGAATTAAGAGTCCATTATATTCCCCTGCAACCTTCTTTGATATAGAGAGTGTTCAGCCATCAGTTAGGTATCATGGCAGTTACTTAGGACAATGAGCCAAACTAAAAGTCACAATGAAACCTAATTCATTTACTGCAAAAGTAGAAACAAGAGCCACCAGCTTCCCAATGTTCCCTTTTTTCCACAGAACAGCACCAGGCAAGAGGTAGGTTGATGCAGCACAGATAAGGAAAATCATCTCACCATAGAGAATCCCCAAACAAAAGGTTTCTGCCATTTTATGGACCCATGGGTTTGGGGAAGAGAAAGATAGAAAGTCTTGGCGTGGTGAATGCTGAGTTAAAGTGAAGAAAAGTGCCTTAGCCCAAGGTCCCCTAGAAAGATCCCTCCAAATGGAGACCCCTGGACTAGGAATGCAGATATTGCACGTGAGCATGTCTGGGTAGGGGAAGGGGGTGGTTGTGTGTGTGGGCAGGGGATGGTGTACTTGACTATAAATCTCTCCAGAAAACTCTAACCCACTGACTGTGCAACAAGTCTGGACTAGGGAGGGCAGCTTCTCTCCATGAGGCTGACAGACAAAGCCTGGTTGGGTCTGAAAAATCACAGATTGTGGCCTGGAGCAGGAATCCTTAAAGATAAACCTACTGTTCAGTTAAGATGGGAAAGTAGGAGAAATATTCTGAGAAAAACCTGAGACAGGAGACCGTTAAGAAAGGAAGGAAACATCTAATAATATGTTGGTATTGAGACTGCCTTTGCAAACATTATGATAGAAGGAGAAATCTGGCATAATTGACTCCACTTTTTTTCTAACCTCACAGGCTAAGCATCTTTGCTCATCCCAAGCCGACTATGGGAAGAATTTAGCTTACAGTTTAATTCTAAAACAAAGACAGTAACAACCCTGCTGTTATTTGGATCTGTGTTCCCACGCAAATCTCATGTTGAATCGTAACCCCCAATGCTAGAGGAGGGGCCTGGTGGAAAGTGACTAGATTATGGGGGCAGAGTTTTCGTGAATGGGGTAGTACCATCTCCCCTTGGTACTGTATAATGAGTAATTTCTCATGAGATGTGGTTGTTTAAAAGTGCGTAGCACCTCTGTCCTCTCTCTCTTCCTCCTGCCCCAGCCACGTGACATGTTGGCTCCCACTTTGCCTTCTGCTTTGATTGTAAGTTCTCTGAGGCCTCCCCAGAAGCCAAGCAGATGCTGCCATGCTTCCAGTACAGCCTGCGGAACCATGAGCCAACTAAACGTGTTTTCTTCATATAAATTACCCAGTCTAGGGAATTCTTTATAGGAGTGCGAGAATGGACTAATACAGGTTCCTTCCTGAACTAACCTCCTTCTTGCTCAAAGACTGAAACTGTCTTTGTAGAATTAAAAAATAAAAAAAGTCACAAGGTTAAAATTGTAATAGGGGCCTAAATTCTGCTAAGATGTAGACATAGTTAAACTCTATCCAGCCATTGTCTCTTCTGCTAGGATGCAGGCATAAACTCTAACCAGTCATTGTTTTATAACTTGCTTTATTAAAACCACTTACTAATCATGAGTCATGTAGCCAATGACCACACAATTTAAAACTTCCCCAACTGCCCCTATGAATAATGTTGCTATTGTAAAACCTAACACTGGTAATCGAGATGGTTTTCAGAGCTTGCATTCTGTATGAACCAACTGATCCCACCTGGAATGGTAAACCCCCTACCTAGAAACTGACTCAGTACAAGAAGACAGCTCTAACACCCTAACTGTTTCATCCCCAACCCAACCAATGACCATTCTCCATTGCCTAGTCCTCTGCCCACCAAACTGTCCTTGAAAAACCTCAGCCTCCAAATTCTTGGAGAGGCTAATTTGAGTAATAAATTCCCACCCTTCCACTTGGCTAGATCTGCATTTCATAAACTCTTTCTCTACGGCAATACCACTGTCTCAGTGAATTGGCTTTCTGTGCAGTGGGTAAGAAGAACTTGTCAGGTGATTACAGTCTGATGGCATTTCTGAGATGTTCCTTTCTTGGGAAGAAATAAGAGTTATTTGCATTAAACTGGTTTACTAGAAATGGGATTTGGACTTTCTGTGACAACCCCAATACTTTTCTCATTTTTGAGAAAAGGTCTCCTTCATCTTTGATTCTCTGGCATTAGCATAGTTTAAAAAAATGCTCAATTCACAATAAATGAAATCAATGAATGAATCAATGACTCTTGGCCTCTGTAAAACTGCTCTACAGACAAGTCTTTAAAGTGATATTATCAGGGTCACAAACTCAAATGCCTTGTAAAGCCAAGCAAGTAAGGTAAATGTGTCACTCAGCCAAGTGTAAGACATGAGGATAAGAAAAGTAGTGAACAGTAATATCCATGATCTGCCTGAAAGTATTCAAGTCCAATGAAAATAACAACAAAAACAATATTGTACAAACAAAAGTAGTTGTACTGATCTTTTCTATCTGGAGGCTGTCTCTGCAGAACTTATTACCCTAAGGTTAATTTCTCAGAATAGCAGAAGATAAGGACTTACTAACAACCCAAAGTACACCAACTTTTCCCTCTATTCAACAATTTCTTATTCATTCAATAAATATATGTTTTTGAGCATCTACTGTAGGCCAAGTACTATTCTAAATGTTGGAGAGACTACCATATACAAAACAGACAGAAATTTCTGCCCTCACAGTAGTTACAATCTAAAGATACAAGACACACAATTAACAAAATAAATAACATAGTACACTAGGTGCTGATAAGAAGGATGGTGAAAAATAAAACACAGAAAGATTGAGAGGGGATGTGAGGGAAGTAATGCAGGAGAGTTTTTCATCTTAAATATAGTGGTCAAAGAAGACCACATGGAGAAGACGCCTCTGGAAGAAAAAGCCCAGAAGTGAGGAAAAGCTATGAGACTGTTCCGGAAAAGGTGTGCCAGTGGAGGGAATGGACAGTGTACAGTGTTTGAAGGCGGGAGAGTGTGTGTCATGTTTGAGCAGTAGGATGAAGTCCAGTGTAATCAAAGCTGACTGTGGAGTGGAGAAGCAAAAGAGCAAGTTAGAGAGCTAGGAGGGGACCAGGCCTTGTGTGGTTTTGTGGGTTGCTGGCAGTACTTTGGCTTTTGGCTCAAGAGAGATGGGAAGCCATGGAGAGTTTTGAGTAGAGGTGATGAGATCTGACCTATGTTTTAAACAGGATTATGCTGGCATAGGATAGCAAATTGATGGGGTCAAGAGTAGTGGCAGACATACTAATAAGAAAGCTGTTAAAATAATCCAAGCAAGAGATGACTAGTTTGGATTGTGGTGGCAATAATAAGAACTCCAGTCATATTGGAGCATATTTTGAGGGTAGAGCTGAGAGGATTTGTTAATAGACTCAATGTGTAGCATAAGAAAAGAAGAGGACTCAAGGACAGTGCTAAACTTTTTAAGATTTTTTTGCTGGGCACGGTGGCTCACGCCTGTAATCCCAGCACTTTGGGAGACCGAGGTGGGCAGATCACAGGGTCAGGAGATCGAGACCATCCTGGCTAACATGGTGAAACCCTGTCTCTACTAAAAATACAAAAAAATAGCTGGGCGTGGTGGCAGGCGCCTGTAGTCCCAGCTACTCAGGAGGCTGAGGCAGGAGAATGACATGAACCTGGGAGGTGGAGCTTGCAGTGAGCCGCATTCACCCCACTGCACTCCAGCTTGGGTGACACAGCGAGACTCCATCTCAAAAAAAAAAAAAAAAAAAAAAAAAAAGAGTTTTTGAGCATTGTTTTTTTTGGCTTTAACCAAGATAAGGATGATCTAGGTGGAGGAAGTTGGGAAGGAAGATAAGATGTTCAGTATAGTACATTTTTAACTTTGAGCATACATATGGCCTTCTGTAACATGACACACCTGTAGTGAGATAGCCAGTTCTATGGAACTTCAGCTAGCATGCAGTAACCAATGCCAAGTGACAATATTAGTTATTGTGTCATATGTCATTATATCTCAAAGATCCATCTACCCATCAATGGTATAACTTAAAGTTTATTCCAACTGCTTCTCTCTGGCTGACTTAAAAGGTTAATTGTTGTCTAACAAATCTGATGTTTATACCTTCATATTTTTTAAGATGTAATTCTTACTAAGAACTTGTAAAGTTCTTACTTTTTTCATAAATGTAAGTATCTTAGTCTCTTTTGTGTGGCTACAATAGAATACTTGAGGCCAGGAAATTTATAAAGAAAATAGACTTACTTAGCTAATGGTTCTGCAGGCTGGAAAGTTCAAAAGCACAGCTCTAACTTCTGGTGAGAGCTTACACTGTGTGTCACAACATGATGGACAAGGTCAAAGGGGGAAGCGTGAGAAAAGAGAACACTCAAGGGGCATCCTGGCTTTATAATAAACCGCTTTGTTTTTTGAGACAGAATTTTGCTCTGTTGCCCAGGTTGGAGCAGTGGTGCAATCTCAGCTCACTTTGCCCTCTGCTTCTGGATTCAAGCGATTCTCTTGCCTCAGCCTCCCAAGTAGCTGTGATTACAGGCACATGCCACCACATCCAGCTAATTTTTGTATTTTTAGTAGCGATTGAGTTTCACCATGCTGGCCAGGCTGGTCTCGAACTCCTAACCTCAGATGATCTACCTGCCTCGGCCTCCCAAAGTGCTGGGATTACAGGTGTGAGTCACTGCACCTGGCCCACAACCCACTCCTCAGGGAACTAATTCCATTGTCTCAGAACTAATCCCATCTTGCCAGAGTGTGAATGCACTACTGCTAGAACAGCTGTAAGCCATTCACGAGGGATTCATTCCCTACTCCAACCCAGATACTTCCCGTTAGCCTCCACCTCCTAATACCACTAGGTTGGGGATAAAATTTCAACACTAGTTTTGGTCACACTATATCCAAACATAGCAGTAAGTATATTCTCTATGTTAATGTGTACTGAGCATAGAAGAGAATACTTGTCAGCTTTTGTCCCTTACCTCTACCCCGCCCCAACCCCCCAAGAGATGAACAACTGTATAAAATGTCATATGCTACATTCAAGGACATAGGTGATGTTGCTATTTGTAGGCACAGAAATGCCATCTTCAAGGTTAATGATAAAGAATTGTGTTTTATCTTTTTCAGAATATTATAATACTTATCACTGGATACAAGATAGTGTGCTAAGATGAAAAGAATTCTGGATGAGAAATCAAGAGATCTAAATTCAGGTGCTGACAGTCTCACATCATGCAAATTATTTTTCATCTTCAGCCAAATATTCAAAATGAAGGAATAGGGAACTAGATAGCTTCTAAGATACTCCAGCCTCAATAATAAAAGAATAGGTTAGAGTTTGACTACACCCAAATGTAACTTATCCATTTCAACAAGAGACTCGTAGAACCAAAACCCCATGTGTGTTAGACAAGGCATTGGTTTTGGTGCCAACTTAGGAAACATTTTAGAAGACAGGTAGACTTGTTTGCCTTCTTCAAATTAAAACAAAGAGGTTTCCACTTAGTCCTGTTACTGCCACTGGCTCTACTCCTGCTTCTCTTGGTGAAGATCAACCTATTTCAGAGTCCTAGCAGCAGCCAGACACTTACCAGGATGTGCCTCTGCCTACTCTCATCCCTGGAGAAACTGTCTCAGAAATGTTTCTTGGTCAACATTCATGCCCGTGTTATCTATATGGACCAATCTGCTTTGTTTCCTTCTTCTCCTAAAAAATTCAAATCAAACAAAACAAAACCCTGCTGTCAGGAAGGAATCTGGCAAGTTAGTTCACCGCTAAGTGTCACTATGCTTACCAAAAAAAGACTAGGGAGAGATTCCTATCTCCTAACTGTGTTAGGGAATCAATCGCTCCCATTGCCAAGAAGAGGTCTGGGCTGGGGCACACCTGGATGGCAAATGAGATAGTAATAGTTTTGGATATTAGGAGATAGTGCTAGGGGGCATCAAATATAAGAGCAATAATGCCTTATATCATACTTTGCTTCACAATATTGATTATGTATATTCCTTCACTTAAGAGCTTCCAAAACTGTGCTAAAGAGAAGGATAGGCAGATAGTACCCCATTTTACAGATGAAAAAACCGAAGTTATGACGTTCAACTTATTTCAGGTACTCAAATTGATTAGGGTATGTGAAGCAATCTGGTCTAACAAGCTCCTAAATCCAAATAGCTTAACAAATAAAAATTTCACACTCATGCACAGTCCAATGTACATATGTTTGCAACTGGGGGAGGCATTCCATTAGGACATTCAGGGATCCAGCATCCTGCCATCTTGTGACTGCCGCCTCCTGCAGGTAATCTCCACAATGCCTTCTTCATTCAGTCAGTATACAGGGAGAAATACAGCTATTTTTATGGGCCAGACATGGCAATGGCAAACGTCACTTCCACCCACATTTCACTGGCCAGCCCTCAGTAGCATGGCCACACTGAACAGCAAAGGAGGTTGGCAAAAGCAGTCTAGCTTGTGCCCAAGAGGAAAATGAGACCAGTTTTGTCAAGCATGTAACCGTCTCTGCCACAATCAGTAACAGATCACAGGACATGCCCCTAGTTAATGTTCTTTACATCAGACCACTTTACTTTTGCTAGTAGTCACTCCTAGTCCCAATTTTAGATTTTTTTGTTCAATTTCTCAGCAGAGGAAACATATCTAGAAGAGAGGGCATATTCATAAATTCCATTTATTTCACCATCCACCAAGTCATTCTATAAGTCACAGTTTCTCTCAAGAGGATTTAAGAAACAGATAACAGAGAAGCAAAACAAGTTTTGACCATATCTGAGAATCTGAATGCTGACAGAGACACTTCAATGCCACAAGTTTGTCATTACTCTATTAAGTTTTGTGATAATGATTTAACACAAATTTTAGCAAGGTATTTTGCCCAGACCTGTGATTTGTAGATAGGAGGTCTACAGGTGAACAGAACAAAAATCCCCTCTTGCCATTTCAACCCCTTCTGGGGGGTTCGGTAAACCCTTCCTGCTAGGGATGTTCAGGGAAACCACAAATGCTGTCCCAGAACACCTGCTTACCACGTTTCTCCCTTTTCCTGGGCTTCCACGCTCCCTGATGGCCTCCAAAACTGCAGTGCTTCCTCCCCAGACTTTCTCATCTGGTTTCCAGTATCAGGTCTCATGCAGGTGTGTGTAATTTTACCCAAGGCTCCTAAATAGAACTTTCCTAATTTGTGACTTGGCCAGCTTTGTGTTTCCTTTCTCTGGCTTTTAAAGAGCTCTTGGGTTCAAAGGATGAAAGTAGAATATGCAGATGAGAAGTAGAATTTCAAGCCAGAGGGGAGAAGTTCACATATATATTACACGTAATTTTTAGGAGGAAACATCTTGTCCTTACCAGGCTAAGGCCGTTTTAATTTTCACTAGCCTTGGGCACCTGGGCAAGTGATTATCTGCAGAGTCAGATCCAAGGTTTAAGGATCCTGGCCTTTTCTGCCACAGAGCCCTGAGTCTTGCTCTGGCATTTATTCCCTGTTATAAAGGTTAAAGGGGAGAGAACTTTTCCCTCTGTCACCCCATGTGAAGCAAAGGGAATCTCTGTCTGCTCTTGGGACTACGCTTTTTATGGCTCTGTCAGGCTGTTTTGGTTTTGACAGATTTAAATGGCAATATTATTACTTCTTATTATTACTAGAAACAACACTGTCAAATCCTTTTTGTTACTTTTTTCATAAGTTCTAGGAATTAGTTTTCTTGTAGCTGCAGCCTCTGATGTTAAAATAACATTTACTGTGAAGCTTTCATCAAATTTTCAGAACACCTCTATTATATTGAATTGGTTGCTGCTAGATTGTCATGGAGAGGTTGGAGAAAAAAAAAGGATCAGTACTTCCAAGTGGGGTGTCACTTTCCCATAACTCTCTCAGCAAAAAATAGCCTTCCCACCAGCCTTCTGGACACTGAGGGTTAAATAATCAATAAGTTTTTAACCCAAAACTTAAAGTGAAAATTTCTTTCTTGCCCATTGTCCTTTTCTAATGGGCTAGAGACAAATTTGTGAAATAGGCAAAATTTGTCTTTGGACTTCTTCCTAAAGCCACTTCCTCAGCCATGTTACGGGCCAACAGTTTTCTTTGAGTTGTTCATACTTCTCCTCACAACCCATTTCTCAATTCCCTCAAACTCTGCCTGTCCTCTCCCTAAAGTGCCCATTTCCATTCATTTAAAGGCAGTTTTTGAGCCTCCACTGTATTTAGACATGTTACTTTGTACTAGAGATATAAAGATAATCAAGTATCATCCCTACCTGTGAAGACCTGAAAGTCTAGCAAGAGGAAGGGCAGACTCCAGAACAATTATACGAAAAGTTCGAGAGCAGACATTAAGGTGCCATGAAAGCACAGAGGCCAGGACAACTAACTCTCCCTGTGAGCCAGGAGTAGGGATTCCAGAGTAGAAACAGCTGAGCCGGGCATTTAACGATGAATAGGAAAAGCAGGCTGGGCGCAGTGGCTCACACCTGCAATCCCAACACTTAGGGAGGCTGAGGCAGGATATCACTTGAGCCCAGGGGTTCGAGGCCAGCTTGGGAAACAAAGTGAACCCCTGCATCTCTCAAAAAACTTAGCTGGGTATGGTGGTGCATAGCTGTAGTCCCAACTACTCCAGAGGCTGAGATGAGAGGATTATTTGAGCCCAGGAGGTCGATGCTGCAGTGAGCTGTGATTGCACTGTTGCACTCCAGCCTGGGTGATAGAGAGATACACTGTCTCAAAAAATGATAATAATAAAAAAGCAGAAAAAAAATGCATGAAGAGAGAAGAGCATGTTGTAGGGTTATCTATTAGAATAAAGTACCCAGGAGAGAAACTTAAAACTCTGTCTTCTAACAAATCCCACCTAACAAATTACATTTTATTTAATACAGACCAGTGGTTCTTAATACTATTTTATAGCCCAGATACACATAAGAGATAGACATGCTATAGCTGTTAACAGTAGCTCTGTGATCTGCAACAGATCAGAGAGTATCTGCTTCTCTGCAGGAGGAAGCATCATGGGGTATAGTTCAGAAAAATCCTCAGGAGTGACTTTGGTGACCGTGGTTAAGAATCACAGGCGCAGACACTCCCAAAAGGGTGATCATTATGTTTTACCTTTCCCTGCTAAATTTATAATTAAAAAATAACTGAGAGCGGTGGCTGACACCTGTAATCCCAGCAGTTTGGGAGGCCAAGTCAGGAGGATGACTTGAGCCCAGGAGGTTGAGGCCCAATAAGCCATGATCACACCATTGTACTCCAGCCTGGGTGACAGAAGGAGACTTATCTCAAAAAACAAAAAGAAAAACAAAAAGCCCAGTGTGATAAAAATAGAAATAAAAATTTCAAAAAAATAAAAGAAGTCTCCTCAAGGATAAGTAGCCTTCTCATATGGTTTAAAATATATCCTCTTAAAAATAAACAATGCCTCTATTAGCAGTTCCTATGCAGAACTTGTTTTTTAAAGATTTACCTCCAAAATTCATTCTTTGGGAGAGCACCCTTTAAGGATTGTAGCGTGAACAATTGGTATTAGAAATCTTTTAAGGTAAGTTATTATATTTCTAATAAAGTAATGGATACAGCAGAAACAACATTCTAGAGGATTTAGCTTGATATCATTCTCAACTGAAATGAGGATTTTCTCTCATGTGCTTCAACTCTGAATAAAAATGAATGCACCCTCCCTGGAGATGCATTACTATATGGAGGAGTTGGGGCAGAGGGAATAGTCTGAGATGAACAGATAAAGATGTTCCAAAATACGAAGGTCTCTGGAACAGTTGTTTTTTATGTTGTCTCATGGCAAGATGAGTGTAGGGGCTACACAGTGATCAGGCAGTAAATTTAGAGCCAAAAAAAAGGAGACACTTCACAGGGCATGTAGTTTGCTTCTGGGAATCTCTGACATGGAAGGTCAAGGAATTAAATACTGGAGTTGGATTTATGCTAGGGCTGACTGTTTTTATGGCCAATACAACATTTATTGGTATGCTAAGATAAAGTTAATCAAGTCTTGAGCTTCATGGTGGGGAAGCAAAGATTACCTCTCAAGAGTTAGGAAGAGATCTTCCCCCAAACACTGCAAAATACACACTTGCCTGATCATTTAGTGTTCTCTTCTCTCTGGAGGTTATTAGAAGTTCAGGTGATATTTAATGAAAATGTGGGCTCCTAAGAAAAAATGAAAAGCTTTCTGAAGTTGTCACATTTCGGGGGGTGCATTGCTCAGGAATTTTTCGTTTTTAAATAATGTTTCACAAGGCAGAGCATGTCTTAATTTTATGCCTAATTCTTTGTGTAATCAAAAGCAATATTTCAACTCACCTGCTCTGACTTCTTTATCTTTAACATTGGGGTGTTGTACATTTTAGGGATAGATGGATGGTTAGATTAAGCTAAGATTTATAATCTGTTGTTCTTAAAGTGTATCCTTCTGTCTAGTTTTCACTTATGAATGATCATTTTTAGAGAGGAGAGTTAGCATAATGTCAGGTTGACAATCTGCAATAATCTTTGGTCAGTGGTTGGGGAAAGACAATGAATTTATAGTTTGGATTTTTGCAAAGAGATAAAACAAAGTATTATCACATGGTAATTACTAGTTATTTTTAGGTCAACATTTCAGAGTTTGGTTTACTTGGCTTAGAGACAGTGGTGAATGTTGAAGAGGTATAGTGTAGCCACAAATGAGCAGTGTAATGTCGTGGAAAATGTCACAAGGGTTCAAATCCTGGCCCTGCCACTCAATCTGTATGTGACCTTGGCCAGTCATTCAACCTCTCTTAATCTCAGTGTCTTCCTCTACAAAGCAGGGATATTAAGTTATCTTGCAATGTTGAGTTAAAGATTAGACTTGGCCAGGCACAGTGACTCACATCTGTAATCCCAGCAATTTGGGAGGCTGTGGCAGGAGGATCGCTTGAAGCCAGAGGTGTCAGACCAGCCTAGGCAACCAAGCGAGACTGTCTCTACAAAAAATAAAATAAAAAATTAGCCAGGTGCAGTGGTGTGCATCTGTAGTTACAGCTACTCAGGAGGCTGAGGTGGGAGGATTGCTTGAGCCCAGCAATTTGAGAGAGGCTGCAGTGAGCTATGATCATGCCCTTCTACTACATCCTGGGCACCAGAGTGTGACCCTGTCTCTGGTTCTCATTTGGGGCAAATTTATCTCCCGGGGCCATGTGACAATGTCTAGAGACATTTTGGCTGTCACTGCCTGGGAAAGAAGTGTTACAAGAATCTAACGGGTAGAAGCCAGGGATGACACTAGACATCTGATATCACACAGGACAGGCTCCCACCCGCAACCCCAACAAAGAATTATCTGGTTCAAATGTCAACAGTGTTGTTTGAGAAACTCTGAACTTAATATATACTAAGTGATTAGAATCATGCCTGCCAGAAATAAGAATAATAACTGTTATGGGTGGAATTGTGTTCACCAAAATTCACAGATTGAAGCCCTAGTCCCTAGAATTTTACAATGCAACAGTGTTTGGAGATGAGCTCTTTAAAGGGGTAATTAAGTTAAAAGGGGGCCGTTAGCACCAACCCTAATCCGATATGACTGGTATCCTAATAAGAGGAGATTAGGACACAGAGACACCAGGGGTGCTTATGCACAGAGTCTATCTGAGGACACAGCAAGCCATGAAGACAGGCTTCAGAAAAAAATAAACCTGTTGACACCTTGATCCTGAACTTCTTGCCTCCAGAACTGTAGGAGGTAAATTTCTCTTGTTTCAGCCACCCAGCCTGTGTTTTTTCTAATGGCAGCCCTAACAAACTAATAGAGTTACTGCTATTATTATCATTATTATTAAAAAGAAAGCATTTGGTCACGAAAAGCATTATTACAAAACTCAGAAAAAAATATTAACTCTTTATTGATATTCTATTAGATTGGTGCAAAAGTAATTGTGGTTTTCAACACAGCCAAAAGCCCTGTTAGTAAAAGAGTAAGTAGAGATGGTAAAAGCAAATTTTTTAAATAAAGGCAATGCTTAGCCACAGATGAGGCAAAGTTCAGCATTAGTAGGGATCAGCGTAGTAAGAATTTATCTAAGCAGAATTTACACAGGTAATGCACTCTGAATGTTTATTTATATTACTTTAGCCCAAAATGACCAGAATCTGACATTGTGAACATCTAGGTGGCTGCTAAAGTCAGATTCCTGAGTGAGATCTGTATGGGGCACAAAGCCAGCAAATGAATATTATGATTAAAAGTTAATTTTCTGGTCCCAAGCACCAGGGGAAACACCAATCCCGAAGCACCTCGCTGGGCATCTGTTGGGTGGAAGGGCTCTTTGTGTCTTGCAATTCTATGATGCCCCAGAAAAATAGACTTCTTCATGCTCTTAACCTCTAGCGCATACCTGCATCTGAAAAACTAACGTCTTATTCCTCTGATAATGAGAAGCAGCATGAAAAGACAAACCAGCCGGGTGAGGTGACTCACGCCTGTAATCCCAGCAGTTTGGTTGGCCAAGGTGGGCGGATCACCTGAGGTCAGGAGTTCAAGACCAGCCTGGCCAACATGGTGAAACCCTGTCTCTAATAAAAATACAAAAATTAGCCAGGTGTGGTGGTATGTGCCTGTAATCCTAACTACTCAGGAGGCTGAGGCTGGAGAATTGCTTGAACCCAGTGGGTGGAGGGTGCAGTAAGCTGAGATCATGCTGCTGCACTCCAGCCTGGGCAACAGAGCAAGACTCTGTCTCAAAAAAAAAAAAAAAAAGAAAGAAAGAAAGAAAAAAGAAAGAAAAGACAAACCAAGGCAAATAACCTTTCTCCAGAAACCCAAAGAAGAGCTTGCCTGACCAATGCTCCCTTAAACATTTCCCCAAGCCTTCCTTTGACTTGTTCTTTCCAAGAAGAAGTTTATCTCAGACATCAGGTATAAGGGGGGAGAATGTCACTGACAATTAGTGAACATTAGGTGATCTTTTTATGAGGATGAGCCATTGCTGCTGTCACCATGTGCTTGTACTTATTAGAAGAAAATGGTAATTATGTTAATCCGCAGCTCAAGAGGAGAACATAAAACTTGTGCAGGTCTCACTCCCATTTTACTAGAGACAATGAGCAGAGAACATTAAGGGCAATACCAAGGGTAGCCACATGGCAATTTAAGATAATTCTAAAAGGTATTCCCCTTGGTAGGCACATGGGATGTTCATATTCTTATTGAAAGCTGGCTCTTTGAAAACTGAACAAGGTAGCACTTTGTTCTAGCAGGCAGAGCTCAGCACAGCAGGCTGGTTAAATTTCAGCCTTATACATTCCCTTCTCCAGATGTCCTTGTACAGTGAATCAGAAGGTTGGATTATTTTGTATCCATGGTGCTTACAGCTCTAACATCCTCAGTTCATAAGTGGAGAAACTGAGGTCTAGAGAAATCAGGTGATGTACCAACCACAAGCAACTAGTTAGTCATGCAAGGGGCCTCAGGATGCAAGTGTTATGACTTCCAAGACATGGCTCTTTGCATTCTACCGTGTGCAGAGCACTCATCTTGGAGGATCTTCCCTCTCAGGAGAGAGTCAAGATACAGGGGACCACTAAAACTACGTGTCTATTCTAGAACATGTATCCTCCTTTGTTATCATTTCCTAGTTATATCTGCCTGTGTTTTGTATGCCTCCCTTCCCGCCATCCCCGACCAGTCTCTATCTAGTATATTGATGAAGATTGGATAATAATCAATAAATGTTTTTGATATGTAATAAATCCATGGTATAGATTACTATTTAGGTTTTACTTAATAAGCCTAAAATGTTCACTTTTGGTCTTGGCCAAATCCATCAAATCTCAAATTTTCTTTTAATTAGAGAAAATGAATACATTAAACAGATGGAGTAATAAAGTCTAATGAGAGTTTGAACAGAGAGGGAGGAAGAAAGGCACTAAATTTGATAAGAATGTAACAGAGCTGAAACTATGAAAATAGAGAAATAGATGAAATAAGAGTAAAGAAAAAGTAAAGATTTGAGACCACATAAATCCTGGTCCAAGATAGAGATTGTTTGCTTGTCATTTATGACCCTGGACAAGTTACATGGCTTCTCTGTTTTTTTCACCTTTAAAAGGGAAACTTTCTGAGTTGTTCTAAACATTGATGAAAATATACAAAAGTTACCTAGCATCTTTTGTACAAATGAGTAGTGAGGTGGATTGCAAATATGGCCCTTCTTTGTATCACATCCTTTGCAAGGCACTTTGCAGCCTGTCCCACCAAACCCTGGCAGTAATTCCCCACCTGGTGAACTGAGCTTTCTCTCACCTTCCAGTTGGTGAATTGAGGCTTTTTACTTGCTTTGGGTTTTCACTTGCTTTGGGCTAATAGACATTATGTCAGTTTCCAGTCAAGGTTACTTCTTCCTTTCTTGAACTCTTCTGACCACATGTGATTCTATTTGGGCTATGATGCTGGAAGATGAGAGAAATGAAGCCCAGTCTCGCCATCACTCCATCCGATAGCCAGACAGCCCTTAATTGCTGACTTGCCTTGCTGACATACATTTTACTGCATTGGGTGCCTGGCCAAGGCCAGAAGAACTACAAGAGAAAACCAACCTAAACTGTCCACCCGCAGAAATAGGAACTAAATAAATGAATGTTGTCTTAATTACTAAGTTTGGGATCATCAGTTATGTGGCAATAATGAACTGATTTAAGTAGTATTTATGTTACGGTGTTTAAATTCTCGAGGATCTTACCTTAAGTTTAAACAACCCTAGGTTTCATAATTTCCTGAAATCCAAAAGAGATATCTGCAGAATTTTTTTATTTTTTTATTTTTTTACTCAAGGACAGAAGCATCCTTACTCAAACTTTTTAATTTGGCTCTGAAAGCATTGGTTTTGTCCAAAATGTCAGAAAGTACCTTCAATAAACTACTACAGCAAAGAGTAGATACAAATCATAACAAAAAAGACTGGAAGTCCAGGCTGAATCTTGGAAAAGAAAAAATCTCTCTTAAAAAGACTTCAGAAAGGATTTAAAGGAGTGGTGGAATTACTGTAGAATGATTTGTTGATAGTCTATAGATTTTAGTTATAACATACTCATTTTTTTCTCTCTCTCACACACAAACACACAAACACACAAGCACATACACACACAGAGTCATGCTTTCTCCTTGCAACAACTTTTTCAAGGGCAGTCATTAGACAACTGTACTCTTTGTCCCTTTTCTCCAGGAAACAGCATCAACGCCATTCATTGTCCCCAAAATGTTTTCCATTTAGTCCTAGTGTCAGAAACAACCCCATTTATCTACCTTGACACTGACCTCTTGATCTTCAGATGAATTCTGACCAAGTGCACCTTGGCCTTCCACTCAGATTGAGGCTCCATAAGGATGTTTTGCCATGGTCTCCACACCAGATGTCTGCCTAATGGGCAAACTGGGTTTGGTTTGCAGACAGAGATAGAGACTCCTGAAAGCAATTCGCCTTGGCTCTCTCTGGGAAATAAGGGTCCAGACATCACAGAGGATAAGAAAATCAGGTCACATGTGATGGGAACTTGAACAGAGGCAACAGTAGCTTTTTATATCTGTGTTTATAGATTTTTTTTCCTGCAGAAATAGCTTTCAAGAGCAGCAGGCATAAGGAAGTTTGGCAAAAGAAAGTTTTTTTCTTTTCAGCAAATTGCTCCTGGATATATCTTTGGCTGGAGTTTGGACCAAAGTCAGTTTTACCTTTAGGTTTTGATAAAGAAATTGAGTTATGAAAGAAAAGGTGTTATGGTTTATTATCTCAAATGCAAATGCAAGTAATCACACAACAGAGATGCAGGAGAACATTTTTCCCCCAATTATTTTACATAGTTATGAAGATTTCACTAAAAAGTAAATTATATTTACTTTGAGGGAGGAAAATATAAACAGAGAATTACACCATTTAAGATAATGAATAGACCTTAAGACCCTAGCATTTTATAGATTAAGAAACTGAGGTTCTAATAATTGAAGCTGCACAGCAAATACACAGCAGAAAAGCAGACAAATTTAGAGACATGGAGTTGGCCAAAGTTCATTATGCAAATTGGAACACAGTGACTTACTTTATCAACTGTTTCTTAGAGAAATTGGCAAACACCTTTTCTAAGTTGTAGCGATAGCATCTAAATTTTCTCCCCTTGGTGCCGGCAGACCATGCCTGACCAGCAGAGAGCTCTGGCTGGGCAGTCCCCATGGCAATGCACCAGCTTGCCTGCTCCCTCCCCACACTACACCTTCCCCCCAGGCCCAAGTCAACCAGCTAATTGCTCTGCTGGCATGTGTGTGTGAGGGCAGGTTTTGCCTTCCTTGCCCCACCAGTGTGTGTGTGTGTGTGTGTGTGTGTGTGTGTGAGTGAACCCTGCCTTATCAGCACTGGAGGGAGTATAGTGTGCACCCCCACCCCCATGGGACCACCATTACAGTTGGAGTCTTGGCAGGCACAGAGCCAGCCAGTCTCGACCCTGCCAGCACCATGACCTTGAGCCAACACTGCCAAGGGATGAAACTTGTCACAGAGAACAGTGGACCCTGCCCGCCTTCAGCAGTCACGCCTGCCTGTGGCACACAAGAGTGCACAGAGACCTGTGTCCAGCAGTGCCCCACCCTTGTGCCAATAGCACTGCCAACACGACTGTGTGCACAGTTGCCACCAAGGGCCCCCCAGGCTCTCCTGAGCCAGCTGCCTCTGCCACTGTGGTGAACTCCTGCACGGAGGCAGGCACCTTGGCACCTACTAGCACCCTGCCACAGCTGAAGAGGATACACCCCACCAGGCTGCCACATTCGCTGCTGCTGGCATGTGTGAAAAAGGATGGATTATGCTGCTATTGCACCGTGAAACACTCTGGCTGACACCACCCATTGGAGGGTAGTAACCAGCAGTCTAGGAGCACATCAGCACCCCAAGCAGAGTGAATTCCTGACCTCAAGGAGCCAGAGAACAAAGTTGGTGCCCAATACAAGACCCCCAGAGTTACAGCACACAGTCCAGGAGTTGGGAGCTGAGGAGTGACCCCATAAAATTTTCCAGAAATAAACCCAGTCAGCTGAATCCACTTTATACCACAACCAGACACTCAAGGTCATCATAAAGGATAAAAGAAAAAAAAAAAACAAAACATCCAAAGCTCAGCAATGTCAAAGATCAAAGAAACATCAACCCACAAAGGTGAAAAAGAACCAACACATGAACCCTAACAACTCAGAAAGCCAGGGTACCTTCTTTCCTCCAAACAATCACACCACCTCTCTACAAGGGTTCTGAACCAGCTGAAATGACAGAAATAGAATTCAGAATAAAGATAGAAAGAAAGATCTTCAAGATGTAGGAGCATATTGAAACCCAATCCAAGGAAGCTAAAAATAACAATAAAACAATACAGGAGATGAAATATAAAATAGCCAGTATAGAAAAGAGCATAACTGACCTGATAGTGCTGAAAAACACACTACAAGAATTTCATAATGCAATCACAAGTATTAATAGCAGAATAGACCAGCTGGAGGAAAGAACCTCAGAGCCTGAAGATTGGCTTTCTGAAATAAGTCAGCCAGACAAGAATAGAGAAAAAGGAATAAAAAGAAGCAAATAAAACCTCTGAGAAATATGGGATTATGTAAAGAGACAAAATCTACAACTCACTGGTGTCCCTGAAAGAGTTGGAGAGTGTAGGCAACTTAGAAAACATGTTTCAGGATATCGTCCATGAGAACTTTCCCAACTCACATAGGCAGGCAAACATTCAAGTTCAGGAAATGCAGAGAACCCCATTAAGATACTTCACAAGAAGATCATCCCCAAGACACATAATCATTTGATTACCCAAGGTTGAAATAAAAGAAAAAAAATGTTAAAAGCATCTAGAGAGAAAGTTTAGGTCACCTACAAAGGGAAGCCTATAAGACAAATAGAGGACCTCTTAGCAGAAACTCTACAAGCCAGAAGATACTGGGGGACACAGCTAAGGCTGTTTTTAGAGGAAAATTCACAGTACTGAATGTCCACATCAAAATGTTAGAAAGATCTCAAGTTAACAATCCAACATCACAGCTAAAAGAACTGGAGAAACAAGAGAAAACCAACCCCAAAGCTAGCAGAAGAGAAGGAATAACCCAAATCAGAGTTGAACTGAAGGAGATTGAGACGTGAAAAATCATTCAAAAGTCAATGAATCCAGGATTTGTTTTTTAGAAAAAATGAATAAAATATATAGACAAGTAGCTAGACTAATAAAAAAGAGAAGATCCAAATAAACACAATTAAAAACAACAAAAGGGGTATTACCACTGACCCTACAGAAATACAAATAACCATCAGGGAATATTATGAACATCCCTATGCACATAGCCTAGAAAATCTGGAATAAACAGATAAAATCCTGGACACATACACCCTCCCAAGACCAAGCCAGGATGAAGTTGAATCCCTAAACAGGCCAATAATGAGCTCCAAGATTGAATCAGTTATAAATAGCCTACCAACCAAAAAAAGCCCCGGACCTAATGAGTTCACAGCCAAATTCTACCAGATGTACAAAGAAGATCTGGTACCATTACTACTGAAACTACTCCAAAAAATTGGCCTCATTCTATGAGGCCAGCATCATCCTGATACCAAAACCTGGCAGAGACACAACAAAGAAAGAAAACTTCAGGCAAATATCCTTGATAAATATCAATGCAAAAATCCTTAACAAAATCATGGCAAACCAATTCCAGCAGTACATCAAAAAGCTTATCCACCATGATCAACTAGGCTTTATCCCTAGACTGCCAGGCTGGCTTAACATATGCAAATCAATAAATATGATTCATCACAGAAACAGAACTAAATTCAAAAACCATATGATTATCTCAATAGATGCCAAAAAGTATTTCAATAAAATTCAACACCCTTCATGTTAAAAACTCCCAATAAACTAGGTATTGAAGGAAAATACCTTAAAATAATAAGAGCTATCTATAACAAACCCACAGCCAACATCATATTGAATGGGCAAAAGCTGGAAGCCCTCCAGTTGAAAACTGGCACAAGATAAGGATGTCCTGTTTCACCACCCCTCTTCAACATAGTACTGGAAGTCCTGGCCAGAGCAATCAGGCAAGAAAAATAAATAAAAGGCATCCAAATAGGAAGAGAGGAAGTCAAGCTACCCCTGGGTGCAGATGACATGATTCTATATCTAGAAAACTCCACAGTCTCAACCCAAAAACTTCATAAGCTGATAAAGAACTTCAGCAAGGTATCAGGATACAAAATCAATGTACAAAAATCACCAGCATTCCTATAATCCAAAAACAGTCAAGCCTACAGCCAAATCAGCAATGCAGTCCCATAAACAATTGCCACAAAAAGAATAAAATACCTAGGAATATGCTAACCAGAGAGGTGAAAAGATCTCTACAAGAAGAACTACACAACACTGCTCAAAGAAGTCAGAGATGACACACACAAATGGAAAAACATTCCATGATCATGGATAGTTAGAATTAATATCGTAAAAATGACCTTACTGCCCAAAGCAATTGATAGATTCAGTGCTACTCCTATTAAACTACCAATGACATTCTTCACAGATCTAGAAAAAAACTATTTAAAAATTCACATGGAACTAAAAAAGATCCAGAATAGCCAAGGCAATCCTAAGTAAAACAAACAAAGCAGGAGGCCTCATGCTACCCGACTTCAAACTACACTACAGTGCCACATTAACCAAAAGATCATAATACTGGTACATAAACAGACACACAGACAAATAGAACAGAATAGAGAGCCCAGAAGTAAGGCTGCACACCTACAACTATCTGAACTTTGACAAAGTTGACAAAACAAGCAATGACAAAAGAACTCTCTCTTCAATAGATGGTACTGGGATAACTGGCTAGCCATATGCAGAAGATTGAAACTGGACCCCTTCCTTACATCATATACAAAAATTAACTCAACATGAATTAAAGACTTAAAGGTATAACCCAAACCTATAGAGCCCTGGAAGACAAATGAGGCAATACAATTCTGGATATAGGAATAAGCAAGGATTTCATGACAAAGATGCCAAAAGCAATTGAGAAAAAAAGGAAAAATTGACAAATGGGATCTAACTAAAGAGCTTCTGCACAGCAAAGGAAACTCAACAGAGTGAATAGAAAACCCACAGAATGGGAGAAAATATTTGCAAACTATGCATCTGACAAAAGTCTAATATCCAGCATCTATAAGTGACTTCAAGAAATTTACAAGATAAAAAACAACCCCACTAAAAATGGGCAAAGTACATGAACAGACACTTTTCAAAAGAAGACACACATGCGGCCAATAGGCATACAAAAAAAAAGATCTACATCCCTGATCATTAGAGAAATACAAATTAAAATCACAGTGTGATACCATCTCATATCAGTCAGAATGGCTGTTATTAAGAAGTCAAGAAATAGCAAATGCCAGCGAGGTTGAAGAGAAAAAGGAACACTTATACACTGTTGGTAGGAGTGTACATTTGTTCAACTATTGTGGAAAGCAGTGTGGCAATTCCTCAAAGACTTAAAATAGAAATATTGTTAGACCCAGAAATCCCATTACTAGATATATACCCAAAGGAATATAAATCATTCTATTCCAAAGACACATGCACTTGTGTGTTCATTGCAGCACTGTTCACAATAGCAAAGACATTGAATAAACCTAAATGCCCATCAATAGTAGACTGAATAAAGAAAATGTGATACATATATACCATGGAACACTATGCAGCTAAAAAAAGAACAAGATCATGTCCTTTGCAGGAACATGGATGGAGTTGGAGGCCATCATCCTTAGCAAACTAACACAAGAACAGAAAAACAAATTCTGCATTTTCTTACTTATGAGTGGGAGTTAAATGATGAGAACACATGGACACATAAAGAGGACCAATAAAATTGGGGCCTACTGGAGCAGGGAGGGTGAGAGGAGGGAGATTAGTAAAAATAACTAATGGATACTAGACTTAATACCTAGGTGATGAAATAATCTGTGCAACAAACACCCATGAGAAGTTTACCCATATAACAAACTGACACATGTACCCCTGAGCCTAAAATTAAACTTAAAGATAAATGAATAAATAAATTTTTTCCCCTCACCAGCTTTTCCTTTCTATCAACAATGTCTGAATATTCCTTGAGCTATCAACAACTAATTCTAAATTAACTATAATCTGTTTACCGCAGAAACCAATACTCTACCTCATGCAGTCAATTTTACACATAATTATGTGGTGTTTCTCACTAGTCCTTCCCCTCACAAAGCTGAAACTCTTGAATTAGTAGTAAGAATAACTCATATAGGACTCATCTTCTAATATTATCACAAAAAGTTATACAATACTATACATTGTAGTTTTCTTCCAGATCCACAGAATGGTTGCAAGTGTCAGGGCCAAGGGAAAATTTCCCCTTTGCTTTCTGAAGTTTCACTGAAAAATCAATTCACATAAGGCAGATCAATGGGAGAAAAGGCATACATAATTATTCGCATGCACACCAGAGCTTTCAGAATGAGGAACTAAAGATACAGGGGAAATTGTCCATTTTTATGCTTAGGTTCAACAAAGTATGGTCAGCCATGTAGAAATATGATTGGACAAAATGGGTATGACCTAATCCTAATAGACTGAGTGAGGACTCCCAGCAAGATTGTTCTTAGCCTCTCTGGGCAGCATTATTTCCTACAGAGTTTGAAGCAGTACCCTCTCTGGAATGGGGGTTCTTATGATCTACAGTCAAACAAGGTAAGTAAGATCACTTCTTTATGGCCAGTTTTTACACAGAAAGGCAAGGAGTGAAAGGAAGTTCAAATAATAGCCTTAGCTTTTATAACTAGCATTGGGGAAAATACATTCTGATTTCTACGTCCCATCTTGGGTGAGAAAGCATTCTAGTTTCTGTGGCTAGCCTCTGGGTAGAATGGGACTGACAGACAAGAGGGAAGGAGAAGGTCAGAGAAAAACTTTTGCTTCTGAGGCTGCTTTGGAGGCTTCATTTTGGGTATTGTTTCCTGAGTTCCAACACAGGATTAGGATTTGTACTGATCCACCTGGTGTTTTACAAGGCCCTGCGTAATATAGCCTTTGCCTATATCATGTATGTCATACCTTTCCATGGTACTCCAGCAACTCTGGCCTTATTTCAATTCCCAGAGTCCATCAAGCTCAAAACTTAGGGCCTTCCAGCTTGCTACAGTATTCCTGCAACCTACAAGATTCTTCCCCACCCACACTGGTGGGCTGGCTTCTTGTCATTCCTCATGCATCAGCTCACATGTCTGCTCTTTAGAGTGGCTTTCTCAAACAGCCCTATCTAAATCTTCCTCCTTGCCCAATATTCTGTACTATAGCAACCTGTTATTTTACATTTGTCCTTAAAACAGTGGTTCTACACCTAGAGTGATTTTGCCTCCTCCAATATATTTGGCATTATTTGGATACATTTTTGGTGGTCCCAGCAGTGGGGAAGAAAGGGCTGACAGTCTTTTGAAGTGAAAATAGCAAAAAGCCATACAGAAAATATATATTCCAAATTTAGCAGGAGAGAGCAACTTATGAGACATCAGTGAAGTATTTTTTCTCATTAAAATCAAGAGACTTTCTTCAGGATTTGATACATAATTTGTTCTGATCAAAGAAGTAAGCAAAATGCTATGCACATCTAATCCATGTCATTAAATTTTCTTGAGTATGTACCCCAATAAATGCATAAATATTTATTTACAACTTATATACGTATAATACTGGCATTAGATTACATAATAAGGAACAACATTTACTTAGACTTGAGTTCATTATGGAGCACAATCAAATGACATTCATTGATGCTGAATATAAAACCACATTCCAAAAGACCTCCTTGAAAATTTTTTTAAATTCTGGTAACTTCTTGTAAGTCTCACTCCATTGCCTTTTTTTCCCTTGTAAAATTTACCAAGAGAATATGCTAGAAAGGCAGATTGTCATCCCTATCAATTAGTCTTTGTTCCCTTATACTTGCATTATAATCTTCAATCAGTGTTGTTTTTATTTGGGAAGCTAGATGTACATCTTTGAGGATCAGTTTAGTTAAATCCGGACAATAAAATTGATCCACTTAACTGAGCAAGTATAAATTGCACACTATAGCAGCACCCTAAAAGCAAACAAGGATGCCACTGTTAATCTGTCTGTGTGGCAAAACTAGTGTTTTTTCTTTTAGGCACCTCACATAGTACCATGTATGACATGTGATCCCCTGAAAGTAGGAAAAAGAGGAGAATGTGCTAATGGGATTCCACCCATAATTTTGTTCCTTTCCCTGAATAAAAAAAATTAAGAGAAGTTTTAATATTTTTTCCTATGCTCCAGAGGATTCTCTTCCATAACCCAGGAGGTACATGCTCCTGGATTATGGAAGACAATCCAGTAATGGAAGATAAGATCTAGGTCTCATTGCTTATAGCATAGAAAGCCAATCATGGAGACAACAAGTATTGCCAGGGAAGAAGGCTCTTTTGGGTGCTACAGCTGAGGAGATAGGAGATGAGTCTCAAATCCATCTTCTCAACTGGTTAGATTTAGAGATTTATATAGCAGGAAAGAAATGTAATTACATGTGGGAAAATAGGAACTAAGGAGTGGAGCTGGTCAACAATAAGCATGTGGTTCATTAGGCAGCCTGGATGGGTGAGGGGTCTGCTTCTCATTGTCCAGATAACGGTGATCTGGAAAGTTTCAGTTCCTTGATACTATCTGGGAGGCCTGATTGTCAGATTTCTGAGAAAGGAACTCAGATAAGGCAAATGAAAATTTATTAAGTTTTATGACTAGGGAGGTCAGCTTTTATGTTTATTCAAAGAAACCAAAAACAACAGTTTTATGTTTTACTTTTTAGTCCTTAAAACAGTGGTTCTACATCTAGAGTGATTTTGCTTTCAAGTTTAACAGTCTTAGAGAAGATGGGCCAGTGAGGCTGGCACTATTTTAGATGTACCAGAGCAGGACCAGGAATGTGAAGAGAACTGAGACTTAGTCAAAAGATGAGATTATTTGTGGGTGGCAAAATCACATTTTTCTTTTTAACATAGTATCTTGAGTTTCTGACCTTTTATTTGTTGTTGTTGTTGTTGTTGTTGTTGTTGTTGTTGTTAAAGGTCTCACACAAAATCTGGCCCAATCATATTACAGTCAAGAGGGATTTGTAGTCTTGAAAGGGCCACCAGCCACATGTATCTTAAAGGAAACACATGATCTTATAAGCAACCTGTCCTAGGGTCAGCATGGAATAAGGGAGATTAGGCAGATAGGGCCACTTCACCTTTGCCCATTGCTACCCTCAAATAAACCTAGTGCAAAATGTGCAGTGTGACAGGCCAGCACTGATGAGATTGGAAGGCATGGGATATGCATTTCTGACTCTTACTAATTCAAGGCCCTTGAGGGCATTATGCACTTTGTTAAATATATCAGCATGTTGTATACCCTAATACTGTTTTACCCCTTTTTAATAAATACTTTATTTTTGCTCTTTGCTCAAGCCTCAAAATAAAGAGCTCCTTTATAGATTTCCTTTATATATTCTAAGCCAGAATTTCTTTGACAGAAGACTAACCTTGCCATATGTAGGCCCTGTAGTAATAGCAACAGAAGCAACTGACCTTTAGTACCAGAATAGACCTTCCATGGAACCAGTTATGCCACCCTGGTGCTGGACTTATAAATAGCAGTTGTTCATCACCTATGTATTTCATGATTTGATGGGAAATTATGAGTCCAGTTGGTAACACCTGTGCTATGTACAAAAGACTTAGAGTCTTAATCAATAACACATTCACAGATGTTCTGAAATTCAGTACTCAGTAGGTGATTCCTATTATCCTCCACAAATAGAAAGTCATACACAAGATTATTAAAATATATAAAAGATACGATTCAGTAAACTACCACCTGGAAGAATCAGAATGTGTGTGGCAGGGGAAGGGAACAGGGAAAGTATAAGGTAGAAATTCTTAAATATAAGGAAATGACAGCAATTTCTGTCTTAACCTCTTCAGCTCTGGTTGCTAAGTTACCATGACATACCACTGTGTGTGCTTTTCAGTTTTTGGTCCTGGACTTGACAGTTTGATTAATTCTCTGGAGTGCAAAATGTGCACATTGAATATTTAAAAATTACACATGCATGCACACACACACACACCCACTCACCCAGCACCCCATTATTACTTCTGATTTATAAAATCTGTTTTACAATTAAATTGACATATGTAGGTGGAAACCTAAAGTGACGCTTCATTTTGGGAAGAGAAAATCCTCCACTAGGTGATATTTCTTGAAATTTTCTTCATAACACAATTCACTTTTTCCTAAGAGTAGGCACTTCTCCCTCTTAATGTGTTCATTTAAACCTTGACTTCATGTCTAAGAAATATGAAAAAATAAGGCAAGTGTTATTTAATAATTGTCATTGCTTTTCCTTCTTCTGTATGTCTATGTGATTGTGTTCAAAGGTGTCCATAAATATTACTCTAAGCTGGTGACTAGTGGGCTGTGTGTTGTCAGAAGGATCTATAAGGGAATATGTCAGTGTCAGCGAGCTAGACCAGCCAGGCTCAAAATCCCAGGGCCCTGCATTGAAGATAATGTAAAAAAAAATTAAGTATACCAAAAATGCTTTTGTTTTATTCTTCAGTATTGCAGTGCAGTGGCTCAGTTTTCAAAAGACATTGTGTATTCCTCTCCCAGTCTGTATGTGAACTTCCCTGTTTTTAGTTTTGAAACAAGAATGACAACTTTAAATTCTTATCACTAAAACCAAATGAGTTTTTATAACACCGATAAGAAACGATTCAAAGCAACGGGCATACCATGTGTGGGTAAATACAGGCAAGTCTATTTCAAATGCTGAACTGAAGCTACCTTTATTACCACAGCTGCACTGTTATCCAAAGTCAGGCAGCTGACTTCCAGAAAGCAGCAAAACAAGTTAGAAGTTAGAATCTATGGCTAATCAGGTAACAAGGAGAAATCTGGCCGGTTTAGTCTTCGTTTGACTTTGTTATTTCATTGCTACCTAAGTAGGATATGGTTGCCCTTCTGATGACTGATCTGAGTATGCGATGGAGTCTTTATCTCAATTGTTAACAGATAAGGAGGGGTTGGTAAAATCCTAAATTGTTTTCTTAGACTATAAACTTATCTGCATGTAATTTTTTTTTTGAGACAGGGTCTCACTCTGTTGCCCAGGCTGGAGTACAGTGGCACAATCTCGGCTCACTGCAACCTCCACCTCCCAGGCTCAAGCAATCCTCCCACCTCAGCCTCCAGAATAGCTGGAACTCCAGGCACATACCATGACAACCCACTGATTTTTTGTAGTTTTAGTAGACACAAGGTTTTTCCATGTTGCCCCGGCTGATCTCAAACTCCTAGACTCAAGCAATCTACCCACCTCAGCCTCCCAAAGTGCTGGGATTACAGGCATGAGCCACCACGATTGGCCACCTGCATCTATTCTTTCTCTTCATTCTTCCTACTACAATAGCTAAAGTTTCCTTCCAGTTATCACAGCTCAATTCCTTCTTTTTGTTCTGAACCCCATTCTTTCTCAACTTGTTACCAAAATGCCAAGGGTTTGGTCTAGATTCCGTTGCTCACCATACAGAAAGCCTATCACTGAAACAATGAGTATTGCCAGGGAAGAAGAATTTTTATTCAGGTGACATAAGCCAGAAAGATGGAAGCCAAATCTCAAATCCCTCTCTCCTAATTGACTAAAATTAGTGGTTTATATAGCAGGGAAGGAATGTAGCTTCCAGCTGGGGGTAGGGATACAACATAGAAATTAGGAAGGGCTTAAAAAGTGATCATGACAAATGAGGGGTCTGGCGGCTCACTGTCTGGATGGAGTGATCTAGTGAGTTTCAGGTCCTTGCCTAAGGATTGGTTTCCTGAGGAAGGAACTCAGAAGTAAGTTTCAAGTTTGAAGAGCAGAGAGGGTCACTTTCTATGTTTATTTTACAAAAAATAAACAAACAAACAAAAACCTGTAAACTTCAGTTCTATGGGACAATTGGTCTGGTTTCAAACTTCTCAGGAATATCACACTTACAGATAACCTCTCTTGGGATTGCATCATTAGTCTCTTTTACCTATCCTAGATCACTATGATTAGTAGATAAGCATGCTCCAGAATCTCCCAACTTTAAAAAAAGTCTTCCTTAATCTTTTCCCTTCCTTTCTTCTCTTGGCTTTCATATAACTCAGAGCACTAGTTTTCCTTTTACCTCATTGTCCTCTCTTTTTTAGTCTCCCTTGCGGGGTTCTTCTCCTCCACCCAATTTCTAAATGTTGGAGTTGTCAAGGGCTTTCTTTACCATCTCTTCTTAGATAATATATTTTACTCATATGTCTTTAAACTTCATGTATATGCTATGACTGCAAAAGTTTTCTCTCTAGGAGTTCAGCTGTCTAGAAAAATTCCAGGCACATATATTCAACTACATGTTTGACTCAAAGACTCACTAAAAACATCACTGAGATGGGAGAGTTTCCTTGACCCCTTCGATGGACTTGCAATAGGGGTGTGGCTTGTTTACTCAAACCCCTTTCGGGAGGGGGAGCGTGCAGGTGAGTGGGTGCAGGAGCTGAGTGAGTGCCAGCAGGAACAAACCCCATACCAGCTCACATCAGTGTCTAGGGGTTGCCTGCAGCCTCTAGAGCCCTAGAGTGTGTGTTACAAACAATGCTCTTTTAGCATTTGCCATCCATGGATGCCTAAGTGTTAACCAGCACAGTTGAGAGTCAGTGTGACAGCCTCTTTGGGTTCTCACACCCAGTGCATCCCAAATTCTTGTCCAGTTTCCAAGAGGAATGAGGCCACATGGACTTCAAGGATAGTGAATGCAGAGATTTTGTTGAGTGGTGGAAGTGGCTCTCAGTGTGATGGGGAGCTAGAAAGGGGATGGAGTGGGAAGATAATCTTCCCCTGGAGTTCAGCTGTCCCTGGCCAAACTCCTCTCTGACCTTTCCTGGCTGAACTCCTCTCTGACCGTAGCCTCCAATATCCAGATGGCTCTTCTCCTCTTGACATTCAGACACTTCTCTTCTCTTCTTCTCTGCCATGCCACTCTGCTCTTCTGCCAGTAGAGCTTGGGATTTTTATGGGTAAAGGGTGGGGTGCAGGCTGGACCAATGTGGTTTTGGAAAAGGCAACATTTGGGAGGGAAAACAGGAATGCATGTTCTCATTTAGGGCCATGGGTCCTGGCCTGAGGGTGGAGTCATTGCTAGAGACCCCACTCTCTTCTACCCAGTATTTCCCTGTCTCCTATCCATATCATCATGTCCAAACACAAACTCTTGATTTCTGTTTCTCCTAAAAAACTGTTCCTCTGTAGCTGAGTATATGCCTGTAGTTCTAGCTACTCAAGAAGCTGAGGCAGGGGAATCACTTCAGTCCAAGAATTTGAGGCTGCAGTGTGCTATGTTAGTGCCTGTGAATAGCCACTGCACTCCAGCCTGGGAGACATAGTGAAACCTCACCTCATGAAACAAACAAGCAAAAATGTTGCTCTCTCAATCTTCCACATTTTAGTACAAGATATTGTCACTCACTCAGTTGCTCAAGTAAGAATGCTAAAGGTACCCCTGATTGCTTCTTGTACTGTATATCCTACATCCAAACCAGTGAAAGCCCTATCAATCCTACCTGTGAAATACATTTCAAATGTGTCCAGTTTTGGTGTGGGTATTGTAATAACCTAAATGGCCTTCCTGCTTCCACTCTTTCTCCATTCCCCATTGCAGAATCACATATTTGAAATATATTATTCCCTATTTAAAATGTCCTGTTATTCCTTATTTAAAATTCTGCAATGGCTTCACACCATATTTAGAATTTTTTTCCATTTTCCTTACCTTCAAAATCTGCATGTTTTGTTCTACGCCTACCTCTCCAAGCCTCATGCTCAGACTCCCTTCCAACTGTCCTCCAACTGCTCTCCTGATTCCTATCTCAGAGCCTTTCCACTTGCAATTCTGCCTAGGACACCAACTATCATCCTCACGCCATGTTATAAAACTGGCTTCTTCTCAATTAAAACAGAAGAGTCTGTAGCTGCCTTATTTAGATTAATCCCCTCTGTATTTCCTACCGAAGTTCACAGTTTATTCTTCATAATGAGTAATGCAACTTCTATGAATATTTATTTGTTTATTTGTTTAGTAGCTTTCTTCTCATTAAACTATATGTTTTATGAGCACAAAAACTATGCATTACTCATCGTCATATCTCCAGTGCCTAACACAGAGCCTAGTAAAATATCTGCTGGCCAAATAAATGAATGATTGTTGTTACCATAGCTGAGTCCTAAGCTCATAGTGATCACTGCATGACAGCCAATGAGTTGCCAGACTTATTGTGTTGTGGCAGGAAAAGTGACTTTATTTCAGAGAGCCAGTAAACTGAGAAGAAGGTGGACTACCACTCTAAAGAACCATCTTAAAGGCATGAATCTCAAACTTCTTTTTATTTTGGGGAAGAGGGAACAAAAAGGGGGTAGAGGTCAGGAGGTAACTGGTGACCACAGACCTCTGGGCATCAGCAAGAGTCTGACTGTGTGGCAGAATTTCTTTATCCTTGGTCAGGTTACAATGCTTCTGTAAATCTTTAACATAACATTGTTATTTGTGAATACACCCTCCTAATCTCTTTGGGGATTTGTTTTGGGAAGGGATTATTATCATCCTTGCTTTAAGTGAAACTAGAAACTAAATTCCTTCCAGAGTTAGCATGGCCTATGTGCAGGAAACAGTAAAGGCAGTTAGCTTTTGAGGTTAGCAGCAAGATGGAGTCCACCATGTTAGATTTCTCTCACTGCTATGTTGCAAACAGACATGGGAAATACTAGGGAGGTAAAAAAGATATGAAATGACGACATAAATCACCTAGAAGAAAAAAAAGGCTTTAGTTAAACAATGAGACCCTCTTTGAGTTCCTGAGGGTTGTTGAGGCAACACTCAATTATCACTTATGATTGTGAATATGGGCCCACTTCCCTGTGAGGGAAGAGCCATATTACTAGCCCAAAGATAATCTGTGCAAATATATGCATTTACTTGACCAGACTTGGACCACTATGTGTGGCAAAGTTATAATTGTCTAATTTGCCTCCCACTCAATCTCATCTTATTATTGAGAAAATACAGCAAAGTATGCAAATTTTCAGAAGTACAAAAAAATGGTCTAGGTTCTTGACTCTAGGATGTGCCACATTTAATAAAGAATTTCCATGTACCATAGCTCAGATGAAGTACTGAGGCAGAATGACAAGGCCACATGGAGAAAAGTTGATATGGTGTTGAATCCATCAAATCCTTGTATACACAAGATCAGAGAGAGACGTCTTAAATTTTCAAAGGGAAGAAAACTAACTTCTCCTGAGCAGTTAGTTTATCTCTTTCCCCTCTTTTGACATGCTTCTATCAAACACTTTTAAATATGAAACATAATTGACAGCTATAATGGAAAGAGGGTAGTGGTCTGCAAGTTAGGTCGCAAGTTTTTAAAGGGAAAGGGTTGAAGGTTGCAGGAGAGTTGCACTTGGGGAGTCATATTTTTCACTTATTGTTTGTGATAAGGGAGAACCACAGACTGCTTCAAATTGTACGGAATAAACTCTGCTCCTAATAGGAAGGTAGCCAAGAAGCAGAAAAGGCCAGCCATTCTACATAAAAGGCTATAATGCACTGGAAATTGGGTTTGAGTGTGTGTACCACGAACCCAAAATATCTGAGATAGGTCTCAGTCAATTTAGAATGTTTATTTTTCTAAGGTTAAGGACACACCTGTGACAGCTTCCGGAAGTCCTGATGACATGTGCCCAAGGTGCTTGGGGTGCAGTTTGCTTGTATGTATTTTAGGGAGATATAAGACATCAATCAATATGTGTAAGATGTACACATATTCTGTAAGATGTTAGTTCAGAAAGGCGGAATAACTCAAAGGTGGGGGCCGGCTGCCAGGTCATAGGTAGATAAGAGACAAAAGGATGCATTCTTTTGAGTTATTGGTCCGTCTTTCACTGAATACACAATTTAGTTTGGCTCAGTGAATCTGCATTTTTACATAAACAATCAGGCAGATAAAGCAATCAGATATGCATTTGTCTCAGGTGAGCAGAGGGATGACTTTCTTGCACCTGTGAAGATAAACTATCCGTTTACATTGCCAGGGTGAAATTCAACAGAACTGCTTTAGGGTAAAGGTCTTGAAGCACACAAGAAACATCCTTGTGGACAAATTATCAGGGAGGTATGTTGCTTTTTTAATCTTTGTATCTATCTTATTTAGGAACAAAATGGGAGGCAGGTTTGCCTGACATCGTTCCCAGCTTGACTTTCCCCTTGGCTTAGTGGGTTTGGGGTCCTGAGATTTCTTTTCCTTTCACAGTACCTTATTTAGCACTCCTTCTAGTGATCTATTATAAAAGGAGGAGTCTGGAAGCAATCAATAAGGGGAATAAACCAGAATCTACTTCCTCATTTAGGTGAAGGGATCTGGCTTTCCTAAAGAAGGAAGGAAACAATGCAGGAAGGAAGGAAATGAAAAACAGATGGAGTCCATAGACTTATTCTGGAATATACATGAGAACTAAAGCAGCAGCAGATTAAAGTATTGCTAAATATGATCTATAACTGGATACGTAAGTAAATTTCATACAGTATGTGGCTTATACTCTCAAGAAAATTCATAAAAACAGACCTCTGAAGGAAATCAAAATATTTTACCCCCAAAGATAAGTATTTGACATATTTTTAAATGGCTGCCACAGAGCCAACAGAGAAGTGACATTGCAAAGCTGTCTTTTGTAGGGGAAATTTGCATTTGTAGAGAATCTCCATTAGTGTAGTCAGGCTTTCTCTATGTTTCCTGGATCTAGGAGAGGTTGAGAGTCTGATATTTTTAAAAGTCTAGGAAACATTTATCATTTATTATCTTTAAAGGAGGCTTCCTCTATGTAGGAAGGCCACCTTTGCTAGCCAAGTCCCTTCCTTTCTCCCTCCCATAACTTGTCTAGCCACTAAAACCTGCTTCTGGTTATGCCCTGAGTCCCCATTCTTTCTATAATCTCAAGGTAGTACATAAGCTTCTGTAACTTATTCTTGAGTTGGGTCTTCATTCTGAAGGCCCCGGTGTATACAAATTAAATAAATTTGTGCCAGGCGAGGTGGCTCACGCCTCTAATCCCAGCACTTTGAGAGGCCGAGATGGGCGGATCATGAGGTCAGGAAATTGAGACCATCCTGGCTAACACAGTGAAACCCCATCTCTATTAAAAATACAAAAAATTAGCCAGGCGTGGTGGCAGGCACCTGTAGTCCCAGCTACTCGGGAGGCTGAGGCAGGAGAACGGTGTGAACTCGGGGGTGGATCTTGCAGTGAGCCTAGATCGCGCCACCACACTCCAGCCTGGGTGACAGAGCAAGACTCCAACTCAAAAAATAAACAAATAAATAAATAAATTTTTATGCCCTTTCCTTCTATTAATCAATCATGTCAGTAATTTTTCAGCAAACCTTTAGGAAACCAAAAGCCTGTCTGGCCCCCACACTTTAAAATAACAGATGAGAATTGATTTATAAAAAACTTAACAGAAAATTGAAATTTAAAAGATGCTAGGTGAAAGGCAGAAATAAAAAAAGAACTAAAAGAGATAAAGCATGACTACACCCTAAGTAAAAACACAATAGGATAATTAAATTAATATTAATTGCAATAAAGAGCAGAATCAGCACCGGGTTACATTAAACTGTGGATGGCATACTGAAGATACTCTTCCAGCATGTGGACAGAACAGAAATAGTAAGAGAGTGCACACATGGAAGACAGAGATTGGAGATCAAAGATGAAGATAGCTGATGTTCAATAAGAGATAACAGAATATATGAAAGAGAAGAAATAAAATAAAGGCATAATCAAAGTCAATTTTCTCAAGTTCAAAAGAGGCATAAAACTGAAAATCAAAATAGTTAAGGAAACCAACAAAATTTTACCCTGAAATATACTTCTTTGACTTCCTTCAAGGTGGCTCTTCAAAGGGCCTGAAAAAAAACAAGAATAACCCTGTAAAACTGTCTTTTGTGCAGGAGATTTGCATCTGTAGAGGAAATAAAGTGGAATCAACAGCAGATGCAAACAGTCTTTCTCTGAGGCTTCCCTTTGTCTGGATCTAGGAAAGATGAACGAAGAGTCTGACACCTTTGAAGGTCTGACAGAGAAACATTTACCACAGGCTACCGTCTATTTCTTCTGAGGGCACTACTTGTGAGGTTTTATCTGCCCAACACAGAAGCCTTTGCCCCAAGCCTTTTCTCCTCTTCTCTGCCTCGTATAACCTGTCTTGCCACCTTAACCTCTTTTGCCAAGCTCTAAGTCCCCATTCTTTCTGTATCTCAACATGGTATAAAAACATCAACCAGGCCTGGTGCGGTGGCTCACGCCTGTAATCCCATCACTTTGGGAGGCCGAGGTGGGCGGATCATGAGGTCAGGAGCTCAAGACCAGCCTGGCCAACATGGTGAAACTCCGTCTCTACTAAAAATACAAAAATTAGCCGGGCACAGTGGTGTGCGCCTGTAATCCTAGGTACTCGGGAGTCTGAGGCAGAAGAATCATTGAACCTGGGAGGCGGAGGTTGCAGTGAGCCGAGATCACGCCACTGCACTCCAGCCTGGATGACAGAGCAAGACTCTGTCTCTTAAAAAAAAAAAAAAAAAAAAAAAATTCAACCATCTGGAAATTTCTTTGAGTTTTTCATGTTTGCATGACTCTTGTGCCTGTATGCATTGTTAATAAAATCTGAATGCCTTTTTTTTTCCTATTAATCCATTATGAGTTTGTTTTATAGACTCAAATCAATCCTTTCGGGGAAAAATGTAATATCCTCTACAATAGCTACCAAGCAAAATTAACAAAATGAGATGCACAGGTAAACATATCCTTATAAAAGGTATTGAACTTAAAAAGATCAAGGCAATCAGCACCTCCCACCCCCACTTCCAGTTTTTTCTCTCCCAGACAAGCTCACCTGCTGTTATCATCAGATTCTCCCATTTTTCTCCTTTGCATTTTTTTTTTAATATATCAACATGGTCTTTAACCCCTAGTGAGCCATCTGGATCCCGGTTTGCATTAGGTATTGAGGGGGACTCAGGAGGAGGAAGGGGAGAAGAGGTGGACAGGAAGAGGAAAGATGCAAAGTAGGAGAAACAGAGGGGAAGACCTAACTTGGAAAGACTTCCTGGAATTTGAAAGCCCCTCCCCTCAGGGAAGGGCTTTTCCTTTTCTTGGTTTCCCTCCCCTTCTTGGTTTGCAAACCAATCAGCGAGGGTGCAGAGCCAATGAGGTCCTTTACTTGATGATGTCACGCACAGAGTGCTTGACTGCTTTCTGTTCTCTGCTGGAGGAGGGGAGACAACTGCCTCAGGAAGCATAGAAGACTCTGCACCTGCCTGCTGACTCATATCTATAATCCCAGCGCTTTTGGAGGCAGAGGCGGATGATCATCTGAGGTCAGGAGTTTGAGACCAGCCTGGCTAACATGGTGAAACCCCACCTCTACTAAAAATACAAAAAAATTAACCGGGCATGGTGGTAGGCACCTGTAATCCCAGCTACTCAGGAGGTTGAGGCAGGGGAGTCACTTGAACCTGGGAGGCAGAGGTTTCAGTGAGCCAAGATCATGCCATTGCACTCCAGCCTGCCCAACAAGAGTGAAACTCTGTCAAAAGAAGAAGAAGAAGAAGAAGAAGAAGAAGAAGAAGAAGAAGAAGAAGAAGAAGAAGAAGAAGAAGAAGAAGGAGGAGGAGGAGGAGGAGGAGGAGGAGGAGGAGGAGGAGGAGGAGGAGGAGGAAAGAAGGAAGAAGAAGAAGAAGAAGGAGAAGGAGAAGAAAGAAGAAGAAAGAAGAAGAAAGAAGAAGAAGAAAGATTATGCACCGAGGGGTGTGTTTACCTTATGAGCCAGGAAGCCAGAGAGGCTGAAAGGCTTTAGTCACACAGCGAATTTGAGGACCTAGGTGCCCTACTGAGTGCGCTGAACTTTAAAGAATGGAAAGGTAACTGAAAATTTTTGGTTGTCAAGCAGAAATAAATGTAGGAAAGATGATTTTATGGTGGAAACAAATCAGAATTCTGATAAAACAAAGCTGGGAGTGCTGGTGATAACACAGACAGCATTGATCCTCCCATCTTGCAGGCATGGTGACAGCTTCAAGGACAGATACTGTGCTCCCCACGATGCAAACCAGTATTGGGATAGCCCACCAGGGGCTGCAGATCAATTCCTTAGCCCCAGTTTCTGCAATGAGCTGGGCAGCAGAAACTGAGAGGGGCTTTGAATCAGTGAATTCCTTGATAGAGGTCTCTTGGTAGTAGTGAAGCAGCTACGTTGTCTGGGGTATATACCCTGGGGTTAGTAATCTTGCGCCAGGAAAATATAGGACACGGACACACACGAGTTTAGGAGCAGAGGTTTAACATGCAGAAGAGAAGAGAAAGAGAAACATATCTCTCTATAGAGAGAGAGGGGTCTCCCGGAAGAAAAGACTGGCTGGCAGCGGATGCACGTGATTTTATAGTCCAGCTTGAGGAGGTGGTGTCTGATTTACGTAGTGCTCACAGATTGGTTTAATCAGGTGTGACGTTTACATAGCGCTGGGAAGGCTGGTCGCCCCACCCTAATCTAATTATGCAAATAATTCTCCTTGGATGGTGCCGTATTGTCTGCTCCTTACTGTACACATAGCTGGCAGAGAAGGGAAGATGGATACGCCATCTCGAACATGTCTAGTCCCTAGTTCCTGCCTTCATTCACCTGTGCAAGCTCCCAGCTTGCTTATCTGTCTGCAGCTTGACTTTACAGGCTCCTCTTTGTTAGAAAATGATTTGGGGCTGCTTTTCATTAAACAGAAAAGCCTTACCGAGGACGCCCATACCCTTACTATCTGCCTAAGTGATTTCTTCTTAACTCCTGTAGCAGTAGGTACCATTAAGCTAGGAAATATAGAGGCAGAGGAAGAGCTGAATCATAGATGGAAAGATAGGTCTTGGAAGTCATAAAACTATTATTCCTCTAGATAATTTTAGACTTGCTATAAAGTCCCCCAACCTCATTCCTGACTCAAGTGAACCTGATGTCTGGAACACAACTAAAGGAATAGATTCCTGTGTTTTCTAGTGTCTCCCAGTCCAGCCAAACTGCCTCTATTTTGCCAAAAATAAACCAAAAATCAAAAAACAAAAAAAACTGTCTTGAGGCTGTGGGCGAAAGTGCTGATTTGGCTTCGAAAACACTGGAAGTATAAAAGTGGCTATAAAAGGAACAAGAGAATGGCAACATCTGCTGGAGTCGCCAAAACTGGGAAGAAGGTATGGTGAGACACCCAAGCTGGCAGAGTGAAGAATGCAGGAACCGGAAGAGTCAAGGACTGGAGGTGAGTTGCAGCCATCTCATAGCTCAGTGTCTTTGGAAAGGATGAAAACACCAAGGAGAGAGACTGAGAAGAGCCTAGGAAATAAACCAACAAACCCTCGTACAAAGAGGAAGACTCTCTCCTAGTTTTGTATCTAAGCCTTCTAAGCCCAATTTATCTCGTCTTAAAAATATATATATATGACAATCCCTCCATCAAATAGAACTCCTGGGTGAAGCAAAACTATAATACTTTCCTTTCACTCAGGCAGCAGTCAAATATAATGATGATGGAAATAATAGCTCTAGACTTATAGCATAAGAGGCAGCTAGGAAAGAGGAGAAGAAAAAAAGATTGAGGCCTGTGCCACATTTTCTTTATCCAGTCTATTATTAATGGACATTTGGGTTGGTTCCAAGTCTTTGCTATTGTGAATAGTGCCGCAATAAACATACATGTGCATGTGTCTTTATAGTAGAATGATTTATAATCCTTTGGGTATACATCCAGTAACGGTATTGCTGGGTCAAGTGGTATTTCTAGTTCTAGATCCTTGAGGAATCGCCACACTGCCTTTCACAATGGTTGAACTAATTTACACTCCCACCAACAGTGTAAAAGTGTTCCTGTTTCTCCACATCCTGTCCAGCATCTGTTGTTTCCTGACTTTTTAATGATCGCCATTCTAACTGGTGTGAGATGGCATCATTCTCAGCAAACTATCACAAGAACAGAAAACCAAACACCGCATATGCTCACTCATATGTGGCAGTTGAACAATGTGAACACATGGACACAGGGAGGGGAACATCACACACTGGGGCCTGTCAGCGGGGTGCAGGTCTAGGGGAGGGATAACATAAGGAGAAATACCTAATGTAGATGACGGGTTGATGGGTGCAGCAAACCACCAAGGCACGTGTATACCTATGTAACAAAACTGCATATTCTGCACATGTACCCCAGAACTTAAAAGTATAATTAAAAAAAGAAAAAATAATAAAAGAATGTATCTCACATTGTCCCATACTAAAAAAAAAAAAAAAATAATAAGAATGAGACCAAAGTGGAATTCCGTTGGTGATTTAAGGAGACAGGTGTAGTCATAGACCACTAGAAAAAATACGAAAGGAAAACTTGAAAGGAAAATATGAAAGGAAAAATCCTGTTGCCAAAAGCAATAAGATTTCAGATCTGCACTCCAAGAGAAAGGAAATAGAGGGAAATCCAGTTCTCAAGCAGGAGAGGAGTTGGTTGGAAATGAAAGAAGAAGCAAAACAGAACTCCACTTCTCTCACACGATTCTGGAACATTCTAGAACTGTACTATCCAATGTGTAACCCATATGTAGTAATATAAATAATAAATTAAATTAAACTAATTAATAGTAGCCACATTTCAAGTATTCAGTAGCCACATGTGGTTGGTTGCTACTATAACTACTGTATTGGACAGTGCAGATAAAAGACTTTCCTGCCATCATAGAAAAGTCTTTTGGACAAATCTGTTCTAAAGCAAATTAGACCTCTCTCTAGACAAGAGAAATTAAATTTCTGTATGAGCATCAGATGACAAATCAGTTACAGTTCACCTGAAAGTAAGAGGAATAAGTGTCATAAGAACATGATCAGACAGTACATTGCTTAAATATATTTATTTTCCTGTAAAGAAAGATATTTAAATATGTCTTCTTGTGTAACTTAGAGATAAATGAAGTCAAAGAACTCAAATATGGGAAAATTGTGGTATAAAAGCTGAAGTAAACCATGAAACTAGTTAAATATAGAAGTAAAACTACAGACTTATAAATATAAATTAAATACAGTTGAAATATCAAGAATGATTCCTAACAAAGAAGATGTATAATGTGTACAATATTGGTATCTGTATTCTGATCTACAGTCTCAGATCAGAAAAAAAAATGTGTGTAGGGAACTGGTGCTGAGGATGCAGAGAGAGTAAAAGCATGCTTTTTTCCTAATTTGGTGTAGGTGGAAAGCAGTATATTATTTCCTTTGACAGACTGATGTATTGAGAAAGTTTGTGATTTTAAATATTTGTAAATGCATCCTATTAAGACACTATGTATATATTTTAATTTATTATGGGAAATAGAAAAAAAACAAGTAAAGGACATTTATAAAACACTATAGTAAAAGAAACAGAAGAAAGCATAAAACCCAAAAGCATAAAAGATATTTATGACATGTCACAATTTAGAAGGCATAGGCTCATATTAATTAAAACTATCAAAACAGAATTTATATAGCCTTTACAAGAAACACAACTGTAAATGAATTTCAATAAAAAGGTAAAAAATGGAACAAAGATGTATCAGGCAATACAAAAGAACACTGGAGCTATCACATGCATCAAAATAGAAATCAATTCCAGGAAGCAATAAATGGACATAAATGGTAATTTTATTTTGATAGAAAAATCCACAGTGATGATATAAACGTTATGAACCTTCATACACAAAGTAACATAGAATGTAAATATAGCTGAATGTTTTTAAACACGTAGGGAAAAATTTGACAGAACAATAGTAGTGGGGAGTTTTTAAGACATCTTTTATTGTTTGACAGATCATTTAGGGGAAAAGAGTAAATGAAAGTAATGACTAATTATTCAGCTGAAAGTATCTCTTGAGTACTTGTGCCAGGCTCTAATGACACAATAGTGAGAAGGACGAATATAGTACGTGTACTGTACAGTGTAATATATATGGAAAAGCTTATTCATAAAGATACATGTATATTAAGGATGTGTATAAAGGATTTGCCTACATATATTTATAATCTCTGGACAATATATTGCCTTTTAAGCATTCATGGAAAATTATTTAAAATGAAAAGAGATGAGGAAAACAGGAAACTTTCAGTTATTATAACAGTAAGATTTTCTCACCATCCTGTTGTAAAAATGTAGATGGATTACAAACAATTAGAGTGACAAAGCTTTATTGACCTGGAAAAAAGTCAATATTTCTAAATAACTAAAATAAAATATGATAATTGCAATCTCATATAATTTAGGAATTAAGAATAATGAGAACTCTGTATTCAGTATGACCACTTATAGCATATGGTCAAATCTATGCTGAGAGGAAAATCCATATTCTAAAATGCTTATTAAAAATAAATGAACCAATCATTTTATTCTAAATTCTCAAAAGAGATCAAGAAAATATAACAGAGAATTTACAGTTAAAAATAGAAAACAGTGAATTAGAAAACAAAAAGTGTAATAGTGATATATAATAGCACAAAATATATAAATAAATAAGAGTAATTTGTAAAAGCACAAAAACTACATAAAGAAATATATATGTATATACATAGATGCCTATGTAAAAATCTTCTTACACATATATCAAGGAATAGGTTCTTATATATTACTTAGAAATAAATCGGACAAGTCATATACATTATCTATGTGAATAAAATTTCAGAAAAACCCCATAAGCCGTGATGTGTATAAATGGAGATATATATCATATTTCTGGAAGGGAAAACCCAGCATTGGAGAGATAATCATTTCTTACTACAATATTCTGTACCTAAAATAAATGAAAAATATAGAAGTAGAAATTCAGAGAGCGAAAAATAGAAATAAATAAATGAATGAAAAATGTCAACAGGATTTTTTTGGGGGATGTTTGGGGACTGTCGGTAGGGCTATTGAAAAATTTATCTAAGAACAAATAGATAAGAACAGTGAACTAAAATGCCATTTTAATTTTATTGTGATTATAGGTGTCTGTGCACTCGTCTGTGCACTTAGAGCTGAACAAGTTGAGTTTATTACTCATCACATCATGGGTGATTGTACCCAATGGAGATTAACAGGGCACCTTGGTAAGAGGATATTATAAAGGACAGATGACCAAATTTGGGCTTTATTTGGGTAATTTGGGCTTCAGTTGGGTGATTTGGAGGACAGTCTAAGAAAAGAGAGGTTTATGTTTGATTTAGTGCTGTTAGAAACTGGGGAAAATTCTATAATTGGCTGTCTTAACAAATCTTAGCTAAAGACATATGGGCTAGAGTGACACAAAAGCTAAGACTGGTCTAGAAAACAGTAACATTCAATCATATTTGCTAGGAGAGGGAGGTGTTTGGTATTTTGTGGTCTGCTAAATGGCAGTGACTGTGCTTACATAATATTTTGCGGTGGTTTTATTTTGTCTCACTTTATTATGGCCTCACAATGACTTTGTCTAAATTTGATGGTCTTTGAGATTATTTATGTCCAAGAAGAAAACAACATAGCCTAACTTCTAGTACCAGGCCTACTTCTGTCCACTCTGTGGCCTTGTAATTGTCAGATCAGTTCCTGCATTTCAAAGCCTGCTTTTTCTCTTTCTTGCAATCATATTTAAACTTAACTCTGCCATATCTATTTTTTAAACTTTTAATGGTATTCTTTTTTTTTTCTTTTCTTTCCAAGACAGAGTCTCACTCTGTTGCCCAGGCTGGAGTGCACTGGCACAGTCACAGCTCACTGCAGCCTCAACCTCCTGAGCTCAAGTGATCTTCTTGCCTCAGCCTCCAGAGTAGCTGGGACTACAGGGTCACATCACCACACCTAGCTAATTTTTTTTTTTTTGGAGAGATGAGGGTCTCACTATGTTGCCTAGGCTGGTCTTGAACTCCTGGTCTCAAGCAAACTGCCCGCCCCAGCCTCCCAAATTGCTGGGATTACAAGTGTGAGCCACCAGTGCCCAGCCTTTATAAACTTTTACAATTCTTATTTCTCTTTTTTTCTGACTCCTTCTTGAAATTACATAATTTGTCTCTGTTCTTTCAGTGCTGACCCTTAAAATGTTTAACAGTCTTGGCCAGGCTCGGTGGCTCATGCCTGTAATCCCAGCACTTTGGGAGGCCAAGGTGGGTGGATCACCTGAGGTCAGGAGTTTGAGACCAGCCTGGCCAACATGGTGAAACCTCATCTCTACTAAAAATACAAAAAAACTAGCCAGACATGGTGGCGGGTACCTGTAATCTCAGCTATTCAGGAGGCTGAGGCAGGATAATCGCTTGAACTTGGGATGCAGAGGTTGCACTGAGCTGAGATTGTGCCACTGCACTCCAGCCTGGGCAAGAGAGCAAGACTCCATCTCAAAAAGAAAAAAAATGTTTAATAGTCTTTAGGTAAAAATCTAAAGTTAGCCACAATCTCTATTCCTATGGTTGATATTTTGTAATATTTTAACTCCAATTTACTCTCATTTTCCATATTATTGCTTCTACTATTTTAGTTTTTTCTCACTTTGAGACACAACAAACTAGGTCATTAGTAATTTTGTGAATAGCCAATCCTCATTTAAATTCTATCAACATATTTCCAGTTCTTTACTCACACTCATTTTTTGTATCACCTTGCTTTCTTCTGGTTCCATTTTATTTCCTATTTAATGAAATAGATCCTTTTAGAAGTTATTTTACTTGGGGTTTGTAAGTGTGTGAATATTTTGTTTGTCAGAAAATACTTTTTATTTTGCTCTCCACTGCCACATGATAACCTATCAGGGTACAGAATTTCTATTGAAAGCAATTTTATTATTTTTTTCCAGCAGTTTGGAGATAGTATTGTACTGCCTTTGAGAATCTATTGGTGCTGATGTGAATCTGCTGTACAGAAAAAGTCATGCCATTACTTTTTAGTTGCTTTTAAGATTTTCCTCATCTTTGATAATTTCTCATTTCTTTTTATGAGTCTTCTAACTTTTGTAAACCTTGATGGGTTTTTTAATATGGTAGCAAACATAGATAACCCTCAAAATTGCGGATTTGTTTGTTCAACAAATATTTATTGAAAGATCATTACTTGCCAGGCAGTATTTCTATGATTTTGGATGCATAGAAACACTGGATAACACTAACAAATGCTCTATGTGTAAAATATTACATATAAAACAGGTTATCAAAAGAGACTTTTCCTGCTATCTATGTGTTTGGCCTTAAAATGCTGAGAACAGTAGTTGCCAGATAATCTATGTAGGCTGTACTAAGACTATGAAAGACTGATTTCATGACTCCTAGCTTACCAAAGATCTCCAGGTTTCATAAAACAAGGCTAAAAATTTATCATAAAGTTGAAGATTGGCAAAGAATATGTTCTTAGAGAGTTGCCCATGTTCTTCATGTGAGAGGAAGGGTGGCTCAAGAAAAGATCTCAAAGCAATTGACATGTCCACTGGAATGTGGGGTATTCAGTGAATAATGGCTCACACCTATACAAGTTTAAAAGTAGACAGCAAGCCGGTATACACTCTTATTGTGCAGTGAAAGAAGGAAGCTCCAATAGCAGAAAGCTGAACTTCCACTGACAGTGGGGGGAAGGGTATTTGGTATCTGTTGGACAGATGGGGAACCCACAGAAGGAAACCATACTTTAGTCTTCAAGTACAATTTTCTCCCTTTCTTCTTTTTGTTAATTTTTAATTTTTGTGGGAACATAGAAGTGTATATATTTATGGGGTACATGAGATACTTTACAGGCACGCAATGCATAATAATCACATCATGGTAAATGAAGTATCCATTCTCTCAAACATTTATCTTTTGTGTTACAAATGATCTAATGAAACTCTTTTAGTTATTTTTTAATGTACAATTAAATTATTATTGATTATAGTCACCCTGTTGTGCTATCAACTACTAGGTCTTATTCATTCTTTGTAACTACTTTTTGTACCAATAGAGTACAGGGGAGTTTTAAAGCAGTGACACTATTTTGTCTGATACTATAATGATGGATATATGTCATTATACATTTGTCAGAACACATAGAATGTATAAAAACTAAGGATGAGGTAAACTGTGGACTTAGGTAAATAATGAAGTGTCAATATTGGTTCATCAGTTATAGCAAATGTACCACACTGGTGGAGGATAATTGATGGTGGAGAAAGCTGAGTGGCAGAGGGGGAAAATGTTGGAACTCTCTCTACTTTGTGCTCAATTTTGCTGTGACCCTAAAAGTCTGTAAATTGAAAAAAAAAGCACACACAGATAAGATTAACAGAGTAGACATTGCAGAAGAAACAATTAGGAGGCTTGAAAACACAAGCTAGAAACAATTAGAGAGATTGAAAATATAATATTTCAATGTAATATCTATAATGGAAAATAGGGAGAAAAAGACTGAAAATACAAAAAGACTTCAGTGAACTGGTGATCAACATCATCAGCCAACTTGACCTTTTTGGTATTTATAGAATACTCCACCAAACAACTCAAAATATGTGTTATTTTCAAGTACATATAAAACATTTACCCAAATAGACCATATTAATGCCCATAAAGTATCAACAAATTGAAAAGAATTCAAGGAATATCTTGTATTCAAGGAGTATCTTGTATAGCCATGATGGAATTAAACTAAAAATAAATAACAGAAGATATCTGAATTTGGAAGCTGAATAACACAGTTCTAAATACCCTAGAGACCAGAGAAGACATTGAAATGCAAATCAAAAACTATTTTGAACTAAATGAAAATGAAAAGACACCATATCAAATTTTATGGAATGCATCTAAAGGAGTATTTAGAGGGAAATTTATGGAACTAAACATCTATATTAGTGGAGAAGAAAGGTCTCAAATCAACAACCTTAGCTTCCACTTAAAGAAACTAGAAAGCAAAGTGCAAATAAAACCCGAAGTAAGGAGGAGAAAGGAAATAATAAATATCAGAGCAAAGATGAATGAAATAAAAAAAACAGAAAGGCAATACAGAAAATCAAAGAAACTAAAATCTGATTCTTTGAGAAAATAAAATTTATAAACCTTTAGTCAGATGGATTAGGAAATAAAAATACACAAATTACAGAAACCTAAAATGAAAAAAGTGACATTGCTATAGTTGTTACTTACAGATATTTAAAAAGATAATAAAGGGATTATTATAAGCAACTTTATAGCCAATACAACGCCTTAAATGCAATGGGCAAACTGATTGAAAGACATCAACTACCAAAGCTCACTCAAGAAGAGATAGATAACCTGAATAACCTTCTATCTACTAAAAACATGAATTTGTCTTAAATGCCTTCCAAAAAAAACAAAGGATAAAACAAATCTACAGGCCCAAGGAAGTTCACAAGAGAATATTATTCAGTCATAAAAAGGGATCAAATACAATCCATGTTACAACATAATCACAAAAATATTACGCTATGTGAAAGAAACCAGATGAAAAATGCCACATATTGGTGGCTACCTTATAAAAGATCACATAGAGTTATATAAAATATCCAGAAGAGGTAAATCCTTAGAGACAGAAAACATACTGGTGGTTGCCAGGGCTTGTGGGGGCGGGGTAGGAAGGGGAGCAACTGATTATTTGATACAGGGTTTTCTTTTGGAGTGATGAAAATCTTTTGGATCTAGATAGAGGTGGTGGTTATACACATCATAAATACAGTAAATGCCACCAAATTGTTCACCTTAAAATGGTTAATTTTATATGATATGAATTCCACCCAAAAATAAGAAGCAGGCAGGGAGACTTACAGAATCTAAAAATATTAAAAAGTGGTATTATTTATAATAACATCAAAATATGAAGTAAGAATAAATCTAACAAAACATGCACCAGGTGTAAACCCTGAAAACTATAAGCATTGCTGAGAAAAATTAAAGAATTAAAGAGAAAGATAAAGCATGTGCCATGGACTGGAATTATCAATAATTTCAAAATGTCAACGTTTACCAAATTGGTCTATAGATTCAATACAATACCAATTGAAATTACAGCAGGCTTTCCAATACCAATTGAATAGCAAAGACTTGGAACCAACCCAAATGTCCAACAATGATAGACTGGATTAAGAAAATGTGGCACATATACACCATGGAATACTATGCAGCCATAAAAAATGATGAGTTCATGTCCTTTGTAGGGACATGGATGAAATTGGAAATCATCATTCTCAGTAAACTATCACAAGAACAAAAAACCAAACACCGCATATTCTCACTCATAGGTGGGAATTGAACAATGAGATCACATGGACACAGGAAGGGGAATATCACACTCTGGGGACTGTTGTGGGGTGGGGGGAGGGGGGAGGGATAGCATTGGGAGATATACCTAATGCTAGATGACGAGTTAGTGGGTGCAGCGCACCAGCATGGCACATGTATACATATGTAACTAACCTGCACAATGTGCACATGTACCCTAAAACTTAAAGTATAATAATAATAATAATAATAATAAAAGAAAGAAATTACAGTAGGGTAGGAATTGAAAAGCTGATTCTAAAATTCAGATGGTAAAACAAAGTACCTAGAACAGCCAAAACGATTAAAGAAAAAAAAAAAACTTCAGGGACTTACAGTACTTGACTTCATGAGTTTTAAATGTAGTCACTGTGATACTAACTTCAAGATTGGCAGATTGACCCACTGAACAAAATAGAGAGCTCAGAAATAAACTAACACGTATTTGGTCAGTTGATTTTTTGACAAAGTTGTAAAGGCAATTCAGTGGAGTAAGGATAGACTTTTCCACAAATAGTGCTGGAATAATTGGATGTATCTATGCAAAAAGGGCAACTTTAATCAATACTTCACATTATATTAAAAAAAAACTTTATGTGGACTATAGACCTAAATGTAAAACCTGAGTCTATACAACTACTAGAAGAAAACATTATATTTTTGTGACCCTGGGTTAGGCAGAGATTTCTTAAATATAACACCAAAAGGAGAATCTGAAAGGAAAAAAAATGGATAAATTGGACACCACAAAAGTTAAGAACTTTTGTTCTTTAAATGACAATAATAATAAAAAGACAAGTTACAGATGGGGGAAAATATTTGTAAATCATATATATAATAAACAGCTGGAATCCAGAAAATGTAAATAACTCTCAAACCTCAATAATTAAAAAACCAAACCGACAAAAAATGAGAAAAATATTTGAATGGATACTTTTTCAAGGAATATTTAAAGATGGCAAATAGACAAATGAAAAGATATTCAGCATTGTTCATCATAAGGAGAACACAAATGTAAGCCACATTAGACACCACTACACAGGTATTAGAATGTCAAAAATTATTAAGTTTCATGATATCAAGTGTTAGTAAGGATGTGAAGCCATTAGAACTCTCATAGACTGTTGCTGGGAATGCAACAGTTTACAGTTTGGCATATATATATGCTATATTATATATATATGCTATATTATATATGCTATATTATATATATAAAATATATTATATTATATATAATATTATATATATAATATATATTATATATATATGCTATATTATATATATATATATATATATGCTATATTTCACAGCCATTCCACTACTAGGTATTAATTCGGAGAAATAAAACATATGTGCATCCAAACTCCTGTACATGAATGTTCAGCTTATTTGTAATAACCCAAAATTGGGTTTGCAATAACCCAAAATTGTCTGTTACAAATAGGCAAACATGAATATCCATCAACAATTAATTTATAAACAAATTGTGCATATCCATACAATGTATAAATGTATACACACATACACAAACATATTCATAACAACAGAAAAAATATTCATGACAATTGTAGTTCTCTGTAACTGATCACATGGTCAGAGCTTGCATTTGTAACTACCCTCTTTCAGCACTCATTCTGTGTTCCCTTTGCCCTCAGAAAGCACCTCAACTGGTTGTGATTCTTAACCTGATGGGGTGACTCAGACCTTCGTTCTTGGAGGATCTGGGCCATTAGTAGTACTACCTAAATTGAATTGTAGTTTTTCTATTGACTTTAATCATAGGGCATGATAATACTAAGAGGTACCCTAAGGGATCTCCTATGTTATAGCCATATTCTTCCTTACCTCCGTTTATTTGCCTATTGATTCAGATTCATAAGGGAGTCCAAGTATCTGAGTGGCAGTCTTAACTTCTAGTTTAATTGAATCATTGTTCTGTGTTTTGGCAGAAACATTCCTTCTCTTGGAACTACCATCTCTAGGCCAGCAGAGCATAAATTCATGGGGAGAAAAAGCAAAAATTTAACTGGTGGGTCAATAGGGGTAACAGTCAGTGATGTCGCTTCCATTTCTATCTCTTAATTCTTGAACCCATGAATCCTGACTAAGGGAGAAACAATATCAAATGCTGAATGCTGATTTAGAGCATACATAGTCCCCTGGAGAACCTTGCCTGAGTCCTACAAGGTGTTGCCACCTAGCTGGTACTACAACTGAGTCTTCAAAAGGTTATTTCATCATTCTATCAAGCCATAGCTGCTTCAAAGTGATGGATAACTATGGTAAGACCATTGAATTCTATGAGCATGAGCTCATTGCTGCTTTTTATTTGTTCCAAAGTTTCTTCTTTGATCAGAAGCAATGCTATGTGGAGTACCGGCCATGCTGGTGAATAAGGCATTTTTTAAGTCCACAGATGGTAGTTTTGGCAGAAGTATTGCATGCCAAGGAGGCAATTCCATTTCTAGAGTAAGTGTTTATTCCAGGAGGAACAAAACTCTGCTCCTTCCATTATGGAAGCTCTCCAATGTAATAAACCTGCCACCAGGTAGCTGTCTGGTCACCCTAGGGAACAGAATAGTGACTTGTCGGGGATTCCTTAGGATGCTGGCTTTTTAAGCACCCAGCAATGGCTATAGCCAGTTCGGCTTTGGTAAATGAAAGTCCACGTTACTGAACCCATGCGTAACCTCCATCCCTGCCATGATGGCCACTTTGTTCATGAGCTCATTGGACAACAACAGGGATAGCTGGAGAAATAAACTGACTGATATCCACAGAACATGTCCTCTGCTGAGGTCATCATTTTGTGAACATTCACATGAAACACAAATATCTTCACTTTTTTTTGCTCATTCAAAGAAGTCCATCTATATACTTCTTCCACAAATTTCATTGCCATCAGTTTTCCAGTTATGTTCCTTCCAAGTTCTATCATGGTCACATCCAGCCAAACCATTGACCACAGCCCATAAATCAGTATATAATTGCATGCCTGGCCATTCCTCTTTCCAAGTAAAGTGCACAACCGGATGAACTGCTTGAAGTTCTGCCCACTGAGAGGATTTCCTTTTGCTACTGTCCTTCAGGGATGTCCCATAAATAGGCTTTAGTGCTGCAGCTCTCCATTGCAGCTGGTGCCTGAATATCATGCTGAACCATCCGTAAACCAGGCCTGAGTCTCTTCTTCCTCTATGAACTGGCTGTAGGGAATTCCCCATGAAACCATAGGTACAGGCTGGGAGAAATAAGGTAGTGTAGCAGGAGTGTGAACCATAAGGGTTTAGACATATTGCTTTCAGGGTCAGCTTGAGGCTGATTTCATACATAAAACTTCCATTTGATAAGGGAGTACCACTGTGAATGCCCAAACTTCATGGCTTGATGGATCAGATAATGCCCAGTTCATGCTGGGCAAATCAGGTTGCAACTTGGTGGCCCATGTTAAACATTTAGTCTCAAAGACCCAGGTGTAGAATAAAGCTGTTTCTCAAATAAAGAGTAGTTATCTACAGAGGATAGCAGGGCTTCACTTTAAAATTCTAAGGGATTGCACTGTGATTCACTTATAAGAGGCTGTAAATGCCTCCAAACAACAGTTCTTGCGATTGACACCTCAAACCCATTGACGCTGATGGATCATATGATTCAAGTGGCTGGTAGCTTGCATGGCAGCATGAACCTGTCACAGAACCTTCTGTTGTTTTAGGCTCCACTCAAAACTATCAGATTTTCAAGTTACTCTGTAAATGGGTTGGAGCAGCATGCTCAAATGAAAAATACATTGCCTCCAAAATCCAAGAGGCCCACTAGGCAGTGCACGTCTCTTTTGGCTGTAGGAGGGGAAAGATGTGACAACTTGTTCACCTTCGAAAGGATATCTTAATATGCCCCACCCCACTGGACCCTCAAACAATTCACTGAGTTAGAAATCCTGAATTTTTGTCAGATTTATTTTCTACCTTCTGACATGCAGATATTTTACCAGCAAGTTTAGGGTAGTTGTTACTTCTTGCTAACTATGTCCAATCAGCAAAATGTAAAGAACGAGTATGATGTCTTGTAGAAGGGAAAGCTGGTCAAGTTACCTATGACTAAATTATGACATAGAGCTGGACAGTTCATCCACCCCTGTGATAGGGCAGTAAAGGTGTACATTTGGCCTTTCCAGCTGAAACCAAATTCCTTCTGGCATTCTCTACTAACAGGTAAAGAGAAAAATGCATTTGCCAGACCAATAGCTGCATACCAAGTGCCGGGGGATGTGGTAAATTGCTCAAGCAATGAAACCAATTCTGCTACAGGAGCTGCAATTGGGGTCACCACCTGGTTAAGCTTAAAATAATTCACTATCATTCTCCAAGATCCACATGTCTTCTACACAGGCCAAATAGGTGAGTTGAATGGGGATGGGATGGGAGTCACCATCCCTACATTCTTCAACTTCTTAATGGTGGTACTAATTTTCTGTGACCCCTCCAGAAATGTGGCAATGCTTCTGTTTTATTTTCTTCCTAGGTAGAGGAAATTCTAGATGCTTCCACCTGGCCTTTCTAAACTTAACAGCTTTCACCCATAGGTCAAGGGAGTCAATGTGACAATTCTGCCAACTTCTGAGTATCTCTATCCAATTATGCCTTCCACATCTGAGGAAATAGTCACATCATGGGTCCAGGCGCCCACTGGGCCCACTGCAAGATGGACTCGTAGTAAAATTACATTGACTTCCTTACACCCCTGCTCTGATGGATAGAACAGTGATGTTTTAAGTTTCGTTGAATTAGTGCCACTTCAGAGCCAGAGTTTTGTAGTCCCTGAAAGGCCTGATTATTTCCTTTTTTCTAATGCAGTTACCCTGGTCAAAGGTTGTATGTCTTTCTGGAAAAGGCTAAGAGAATGATTAACAGTATAAATTTTGGCATTGTACTAGGGGCCTTCCTTAAAGAGACCTGTCTTCTCATTCACTTAAGGGTTCTGGGTCTGTAAAGTAGCTCAAGTCTGGGAATTAATTGGGGGGCTATGATTGCCTGTTTTTATGGCTCAAGTAAGACTTTTGTTCATTTAATCTATGACCCTTCTGCTTATGCAGATCAAGTAAGAATTTAATAGGCTCCCCATCTATTTCACTTCTGGACATACCTTGATCAACTCACCAACTCCATAGGTCTCTGTGTGTGACACTATTCTGATAACTGCATCCATTCTGCTGTCCATTATGGTAACAACACCCACTTTACCTTTTGCAGTTGAGTCCAGTCACTTGGCCCCTGCAACTTCAAAATTCAGTCTCCTCCACTGCATTTAGGCTTCCCAATTCAGTGACTGCAGTTCCCACTATAATTTCTGACCCACAGCGATTTATCACAGAGTATCACAGAGCCCCTCAAGGATGCTGGGGCTCCCCACACAAATTTGTTTCTCACAGTCATAATGCAAGGTATGTTCTCTGGACTCTCCCCATGTGGGTGAGCATGTCTTAAATGGCAAATGCACTCTAACATTTTAATCTCCCTTAGCCTTTGAATTCCTTCCTCTACAGTATCCCAAGGCAGTTATGGCATTTTAAGTGCATTTACTTTTGCTTCATATTTCAGCCAACCTACCAAATTGTTAGAACCCTTTCTGACTTCTAGAGCTGCAACCTTAAATCCATAATCTCTGCTTCATGGGGCCATATCAGTAAATTCACCCTGACTCAACTTTACATTTCTTCTACTGTTATCCCACATTCTTGATATCCATTTCATATTCCTTGCACTTCCGTTTGTATACACTGGAGAAATCACGTAGTTCTTTTGGAGTGTAATGCAATTTCTCATGAGTCACACTTTGTACCTTACCTTTAGGAGCTTGCTTGCTGGGACTTCAGGTTAGTTATAGGTCTAGAAGAAAAGAGGAGAAACATGGGGGTGATTCCTACAGAGAATCAGCAGTTTTGGAAGGCAGCTGCCTCAGTGGAGGCCATTACAGTTTCCTCAGGCAAAGCAGAGTTAATCTCCTTAGGAGTACAGCAGCTGCTTTCTACTGACAAAGATGCATCTGAATTTAGGAGTTCAATGTCTCCAGACTCATCTGGATCTTCCTATATGTCCCCATTCAAATTTTAGAATCTTGTTTCTTCCCAACCAATGCCTTTAATAGTAGACACTGAGAGCCTGGGAATTCAGTTTGTGTTGTAATTCAGCTACTTGCAGGATGAGATTCTGGGTTTAGTTTTCACCAATCTCAAGTGGGTGGCTATAGAAGATAAGAGTCTTTTTAAGGGAAGACATAGAATTTTAAGACATTTACACAGCACTTGGGCTGGGAATTCAAGTCAAGAGCTCATTTTTTTCTTTCTCTACTTTCTCTAGTAAAATTAGGAGCAACTAGCCAGTCTCATTATACACATTACTCTAACAAAAATATTCAAAGCTATCATATACATAGATCCCTGAAACCTTGTTTATAAGTATTTGATTAGGAGTATCCAGTGTTGATACTTTATGTATCTCTGTTGCTACATCATGCCATGAACTATCAGTGCCTTCTTTACTAATGGAAATAGTCATTGGTGCCTTTAAATCTAATTTATTCTATTTGTATTCAGATTCTAGAAATTTCAGGACCAATTCAGAAAATGCAGTTTTTTTTTTTTTTTGGAGATGGAATCTCGCTCTGTCACCCAAGCCGGAGTGCAGTGGGGCAATCTCAGCTCACTGCAACCTTCGTCTCCTGGGTTCAAGTGATTCTCCTGCCTCAATCTCTTGAATAGCTGGGGCTACAAGCACGTGCCACCACACCTGTCTAATTTTTTGTATTTTTTAGTAGAGATGAGGTTTCACCGTGTTAGCCAGGATGGTCTCGTCCTGACCTTGTGATCCACCCATCTCAGCCTCCCAAAGTGCTGGGATTACAGGCATGAGCCATCGTGCCAGGCCCAGAAAATGCATTCTTAAGATTCACTTCCTCTAGAAACATTCTCAGCCAATCCGTATTGATCAGGGTTCTGCAGAGAAACAGAACCAATAGGGTGTGTGTATGTGTGTGAGAGACAGTGAAGAGGGAGGGAGAGAGACAGAGAGAGAGAGAGAGACTTTAAATAATTGACTCTTGGGAGGCTGAGGCAGGCAGATTACCTGAGGTTGGGAGTTCAAGACCAGTCGGACCAACATGCAGAAACCCTGTCTCTACTAAAAAAAAAAAGAAAAAAAAATACAAAATTAGCTGGGTGTGGTGGTGCATGCCTATAATCCCAGCTACTTGGGAGGCTGAGGCAGGAGAATCACTTGAACCCAGGAGGCGGAGGTTGCAGTGAGCCGAGTTTGCGCCATTACACTCCAGCCTGGGCAACAAGAGCGAAACTCTGTCTCAAAAAAAAAAAAAAATTGACTCACAGGATTGTGGAGGCTAACAGTTCTGAAATCTGCAGGGTAGGCTAGCAGGCCAGAGTCCCTGGATGTTGCTTGAATCCAAAAGCAATCTGCTGGCAGGCTCTCCCCTTTCTTGAGGGAGGTGAATCTTTTTCTATTTAGGACTTCAACTGATTGGTTGAGTCCCACCCACATTATGGAGGGTAATCTGATTTACTAGAAGTCTACTGATTTAAATATTAATCTCATATAAAAATACCTTTAAAGAAACTTCTAGAATAATGTATGACTAATAATATGAGTACTATGGCCTAGCCAGGTTGGCACAATTGAACACCTTAGACGTCTCTGTGAGAACTTAATACTTTGCTTATCACGTCATAGTTGTAAATGCAAAGATACGTTGCGCAAATTAGCTGATGTTTTAAATGTATAGTGTGAGTTTTCAGAGAATTACTTTATGTGCATTTTGAAGCAAATTACTTTCCTTCTGAAAAAAAAATGAATCTGTGATGTACATTTTTCAGTCTCATTTGTTTCTTTTTAAGCGGAGGTTTCTACCGGAGATCTAAATTCATACTCCAGAAATCCAAAATAGAAACTTAGTTTTTGTTCCATTTTTCAATGAAGTTTCAGAAAAAATAGTTATAATTATGTCAGTCTTTATTTTTTACTGTTAGCCATACCACATGCTGAATCTTGTGATTCAAGATTTAGTAAAGTACTTTATTAAGTTTTCCATTTACAGGGAAAGGATGGTGGTGGATGTTTTTAACTATGCCAAATCTCATTTCTCAAATTTCAGTGATAAATTAAATTAAAAATAGCTTTTTTTCCACTTTAGATCTGTTGAGTAAGTGAATATAGCAATAATTTTTGCAGGAGAAAACCCACCATACTGATTTGAAATAACCACTTAGTATCTTTTACTGCTTTGGCTCAAGTGTGCCCCTTCTTCTAAACTTGCTGGTGTTGTCTCAGTTTTATCTCTATTTTCCTAACTTGCTATTTGTGTTTCTGATTCCACAGCCTAGGCAGTGATTTTTTATTTCCTTGAACCATGAATACTTGGGTATTCCTCATATCTGGAGGTTAACACATAACAGGAATGGCAATTATTTTTATAGTAATTTTTATTAACTTGTTATATTGAGATAATTACAGATTCACATGCAGTTGTAAGAAATAGACTTCCTATGTACTGTGTACTCAGTTTGTTCCCCCACCCCAATAACATATGTAAAAACCATATTGCAACCTGACAACCAAGATACAAACATTTATTCAATGAAGATGCCAAACATTTCCATTCCTACTCCCCTTTTTTGACCACTGCCAGCCGCTACTCTGTTCTCCATTTCTCTACTTTTGTCATTTTAGGAAGATTATGTAATGGAGCCATATAGTATATAACTTTTTGAGATTGGCTTTTTAAGAGTCAGCATAATTCTCTGGAGATTCATCTAAGTTGTTATGTGTAGTGATAATTTGTTTCTTTTTATTTCTGAATAGTATTTCTTGGCATGGATGTATCACAATTTGTTTACACATTCACTCATTGAAGGATATCTTCATTGTTTTCAATTCGAGACTATTACAATTAAAGCTGCTATAAACATTTGTGTACAAGTTTTTGTGTGATGATACACTTTTATTTATCTGAGATAAATGCCCAGAAGTGCAATCACTGATTTGTACGGTAGTTGAAAATTTAGTTTTTTGAAACAACTGTTTTTCAGAGTTGCTGTACCATTTTATATTGCTACCAGCAGTATATGAATGCGATTCATTGTCTCTGCATCTTCATTTGGTATTATCACTAGTTTTTTTGTTCATTCTAATAGATATTAGTGATATTTCATTATAACTTTAATTTACATGTTCTTAATGTTGAACATATTTTCTTGTGTTTGTCATCTCTATATCTACTTCAATGAGATGTCTATTCATGATTTTTGCCCATTTCATAAATGTTTTATCTATTTTTTTCACTGTTGAGTTTTGACTGTTCTTTATATATTCTAGATAGTAATTCTTCATCAGCGATGCAGTAGGAAAATAATTTTTCCCATTCTGTAGCTTGTTGTTTCGTCTTCCTAAAAGGCTGTTTCACAAAACTAAAGTTGTTAATTTCAGTGAAGTCCCATTTAATGATATTTCCTTTTATGGATTACCTTTTTGATGTAAAGTCTAAGAACTCTTTGCCTAATATTTAATCCTGGAGATTTTCTTCTGTATATATAAATATATTTAAAGTGTTATAGTTTAAATTTAATTATAATTTAAAGTGTTATACATTTAATTTATATTTAAATTATATAATTATAATTTAAAGTGTTATACATTTAATTCTGGGGTGACCCATTTTGACTTAATTTTTGCTTGAGGTGTGAGTCTTAGGTTAAGGTTCTTTCTTTTTTCTTGTATTAGGATGTCCAATTTGTCCAGCACAATTTGTTGAAAGGCTGTTCTTGCTCCATTTAATTGCTTTGACATTTTAATCAAAAATCAGTTTGGCATATATGTGTGGCTCTATTTCTGGGTTATTTATTCTGTTCCATTATCTATGTGACTATCCCTCTGCTATTAAAACACAGTCTTGGTACTGTAGTTATGTAATAAATCTTGATATCAGATAGGCAGTTACTTCCACTTTGTTATTTTTTTTACAAAGTTAGTTCACCTATTCTGGTTCTTACACCTTTGCATGTACAATTTACAATAATCCCTATGTATACAAATAATGGTTCTGACATTCTGATAAAAATTGCAATAAAACTGTATATCATTTTGGGGATAATTACAATGTTTACTATATCAAATCTTCCAATCCATAAATGGTGTATATATCTCTATTTATTTAGCTCTTCCTTGTTTTCTTTCATTAGTATTGCAAAATTTCCTGCATAACAACTCCTGCATGTTTTGTTAGATTTATACCTAAGCACTTCATTGTTTAAATCAATTATAAGTAGTGTTATATTTTAAATTTTAGTTTCCATAGGTTCATTGCTAATGTATAGAAATACAATTGATTTTTTAATGTTTATCTTGTATTTTGCAATGTTGCTGAACCTACTCATTTGTTCTAGGACATTGTTGTAGATTACCTGGAATTTTCCATGTAGACAACTATGTGCTTTGCAAATAGGGACAATTTTATTTCTTAATTTCCACTAGGTATGCCTTTTATTTTGTTTTCTTTCCTTATTACAGTAGCTAAACTTTCTAGTACAGTGCTATGTTAAATAAGAATGGTGAGAGTGAACGTTCTTGTCTTGTATCTGATCTTAAGGGAAATCCTTCAGTGTTTCACCATTAAGAAGATGTTAGCTGTAAGTATTTTGTCTCTCTCTCTCTCTTTTTTTTTTTTTTTTTTTTTTGAGGCAGGGTCTCCCTCGATCACCAACGCTGGGGTGCAGTGATGCAATCATAGATCACTGAAGCCTCGAACTCCAGGAGTCAAGTGGTCCTTCCACCTGGCCTCTCATGTACATACATTTTACAAAGTTGAACAAGTTTCCTTTTACTCCTATTTTTCTAAATGTATTGATCATGAATGGATATTTAAGTTTGTAAGATGCTTAAGATGTTTCCATTTTTATGGCAGTATGATTTTTCTTCTTTAATATATTATTATGGTCAATTACATTAATGACTTTTCAAATACTGAACCAGCTTTGCATTTCTGGAATAAGCTCTGCATAGTAATGGTGTATAATTCTTTTTATATATTGTTAACTTCCATTTACTAATATTTTGTCATGAATCTTTGCATGTATATTCACAAGGAATATTTGTCTGCTGTCTTATCTATACAATTTTTGTCCGGTTTTACTGTCAGAGTAATACCAGCTTTATAAACTGAGGTAGAAAATTTTGTCTTCTTTTATATTTTCTAGAAGACATTACATAGAATCTATAATACTAGAATGGGCAAAAAGGCTGAAAAGCTTTTTCTAGAATTCTCCAGTAAAGCTATTTGGGCCTAGATACTTCTTTGGATTAAAAAAAATAAAGTGCACTTTTTCCTTATGATTATAGAAGGGTTCAAATTATCCATTTCATAATGGATGAAGTAGTTTGCATTTTTGGAGGAAGTAGTCAATTTTTTCTATGTTGTCAAATTTATGTGTATAGAATTGTTTATAGTACTACCTATTATCCTTTTGATGTCTGCAGGGTTGTAGTAATAATTCCTGTTTCATTCTTGATATTGCTTACTTGAGTATTCTTTCCTTTTTCCCCAGTCTTGCTTGAAGTTTATTTTCTTTTTTAAAGAAACAACTGCTTCTTTCATCGATTTTTAAACTTTTTCTGTTTTTCATTTTATTAATATATACTTTTTATTTCCTCACCTTTATACTTTCATATTAATATATGTTTACATCATTTTTCTAAGTTATTGAGATAGAAGCTTAAATTATTGATTTGAGACTAGTTTTCTTTACTAATTTCAGCATTTTAGTGCTATAAATTTCCCCTTTGGTTGTGTTCTACAAAGTTTGATATATTGTATATTTATTTTCATTCAGTTCAATGCATTTAAATAATTTCTTTGAAATTATTTTTGATCCATGGATTACTTGTAAGTGTGTTTACTTTCCAAGTGTTTTAATATTTTCCTGTTATATACCTGTTACTGATTCTTAGTTTGAGTCCATTGTGGTCAGAGATTAAACTCTGTATGAATTTGATTATTTTTTCAGGTTGAGGCTTGTTTTATATTCCAGGATATGGTCTATGTTGTTATATGTTTCATAAGTGCATAAAATAATGTATATCCTGCAGTTATTTGACAGAGTATTCCATAAATTTTGACTAAATTCTGTTGTTGATGGGGTGGTTGGGTTTTTCTATACTTTCAATGTCTAATTTTTCAGTCAATTACTGAAGGAAGGTCTCCAAATATAATTGTTAATTTGTTTTTTTCTTTCGGTTTTATGAGTTTATGCATCACACATTTTGCATCTCTGCTGTTTGGTGCATATATGTTAGGATTGGTATGTTTTCTTGGTGGAATGAATCTTTTACCATTGTATAATATCCTTCTCACTTCCTGGCAAGGAACTTTTCTTTGCTAAGAACTATACTTCATATGATATTAATATAGTGACTCCTGCTTTAATTAATTAATGTTTTCATGACATTCATCCTTATGCTTAACAACCTACCTATATAATTATATTTGAAGTAAGTTTCTTAGATAATACATAGCTGAATCATGCTTTTTACTTCACTGTGACAATCTGTCTTTTAATTGGTATATTTAGGTAATTTACATTTAATGCAATTACTGATATGTTAAGGCTTAAGTCACCTGCTTTTTTGTGAAAATATTCTTTCATGATAAAGAAAAAAACCACCTGATTTTTTTCTCACTGCTTTTCATTTCTCTGTTTACTTTTTGTGTCTTCCTATGGGCTTATTAAATATATATATTTTTTTAAATTAATAGTGTCTTAATGTATCTTTTTGTATTGCATTTTTAGAGGATGCTCTAGATATTACATTATATGTTTATGACTCATCACAATCTTCTCAGATTGAGGTTTTACCAGTTTGAATGAATATAGAAATCTTACCTCCTATTATGTTCCTTGACTTTCCCCATTTAAATACAATTGCCTAAAATATTAAACACCATGAACAAGTGAGATTTATCCTTGGGACACAAGGATGACTTAACCTATGCAAATCAATAAATGTGATACACCACATTAACAGAATAAAGGTTAAAAATATGATAATCTCAATAAATGAATAAAAAATATATGATGAAATGTAATATCCTTTCATTATAAAAACCATTAACAAATTAGGTATAGAAGGAATGTACCTCATTATAAAGACCATATATGACAAGCACATAACATCACACTCAGTGGTGAAAATGTGAAAGCTTTTTCTCTAAGATCAGAAATACTGACCTTCATCACTGGTATTTAACATAATGTTGGAAGTCCTAGCCGGAGCAATTAGACAGGAAAAAGAAATAAGAAACATCCAAATTTGAAAGGGAAGAGTTATTATAAATTGTCTTTGTTTGCAAACAACATGATCTTATATATAGAATACCCTAAATTCCACCAAAAAATTGTTAGAATTATGTAATGAATTCAGTAAAGTTATAAGATACAAAGTCATCATTAAAAGTCAGTTGTGTTTCAATACACTAACAACAAATGACCTGCAAAAGAAATTAAGACAACAGTCCCATTTACAATGGCATCAAAAAGAATAGAATACTTAGTAATAAATTTAACCAAGGAGGTGAAAGATATAATACCACTAAAACTATAAAACATTGATGAAAGAAATTAAAGATACAAATAAAAAAGTATCCTTTGTTCATGGGTCAAATATTAAGAATTAATATTGTTAAAATGTCCATACTACCCGAAGTAATCATAGATTCTATGCAATATTGATCAAAATTCCAATAACATTTTTTTCAGAAATAGAAAAAATTTTTTTTCTGTGAGCTGATCAGTGTCAGCTTATTCTCAAAAAAGTCCTAATCTTATTTATTAGAAAGGTGTGCAATAAAACATTAACTTCTGGGTACCTTCCTCGTAAATAGCTTAGAAATAAACAGGAGCCCAGTAGATTTTCAATTGACAATTCAGGAGTCCCTGTGCCATGGTTTAAAACCATTTTTTTAAAGCAGTGGAAAGAACTTTCTTCAAATTAAAATCTATTGACAGCTAATGCCTGGCCTCGCCCACCAGCAGCCACTGGGCATCTTCCCCAAGCTCCCCACGGGAGTCTGGAACTCACTGACTGCAGGTGAAGGATGGCTGAGCTGTGAGGTTCTGTACCATCGGCCCTAATGCCCTTCCCTAAATGGAGGATGTCTCAAAACTCAGAAGCAGCCTTAAACCCAATGTGGAAGCTGAATCTGCTGGCCTGCAAGACATCAGGAACTAAGGGTAGTTCACTGTGCCAGGTCCGGCCTGTGTTTATTCTCAGCCTAAAAGGAATCTGATCCAAAGACGGGCCCAATCCACCTTTCTTGTTTCCACACACCTGTGTCAATCTACGTCCTGTGCACTGGATCTAAACTCCAGGTTGCACTGTTTCCTCGGAAGGATCAGCCCTGTCTGATGATGACATGGCTGTTTATGGAATCCTTCCTCTCTACTTTTCAGGCAGGTTGAGCCTTTAACTCTTACCAGCTAGCTGAACACAACGTTTGCACTTTAGCTGAGACATGATAATGAGGGAACCGCAGAGCTAGAAAGAACTTAGGAAAAACATCTAACCTTTAGCCCAAAGAAGTTAAATTAGTTGCTTATGGCCAAAGAACAAGTGAAAGACTGGTAAAGTGGTAAAATCTAGAACCCCAGGCTTCCCAGCTTTCAGTCCCTTCTTTGGAAAAATAAAATATTTAAACTACAAGGGATTTTAGAAATTATCTAGCATAATCTCTTCATTTGAATAAACAGCCCCATGGGTTAATATTTTCCATCAATATACCATGATATCACTGTTATTTAGGCAATGTTTCTTCTCCAGTTAAGACAGGAAAAACGCTACAAGCTTGTGTCCAGGAGTTAATGAAACCCTGAGGTTATAGGAACGGACATTCACCACCGGGTCTGTGTGCCACACTAGACCAGACACAAAGAGCAACCCAGGTGGGAGGAAAGGGCGAGCGCGGCCAAGCAGTTAAAGGTGACCCGGTTGACCACAGAGTACAAAAGTCTTTGGAAGGCAGCAGCATGGCAAAGTCACCAGGAAGTCTGCATAGACGACCAGACGCCATGACATGATGGCCCAGATCATGCCGCAGCCGTCATGGATCAGCCAGACCCTGTTGGCCTAGTCGGCCTCGGAGGAGGAGGACGAGGGAGTCATAATTACAATTTTCAGCCAGGAGAGGATGATGCTCGGGTCCCGGAGCCTGTATCCCAATGGCTGCGTGATTTCCCAGACGCACCCTCACAAATTATTTCTAAACATCACGTGAATATTTTGTGTCTTTTCTTCAAGATCATAAGGTGCGCGCTGTCCCATGTGATAAGATCCGAGGTCCGGGCAGGGCGGCGCAACCTCCCGAAGTGAAGCCTGCGAGGTCAGCGGCCAGAAAAAAACAATTGATATTCATGTGAAACTGCAAAAGACCTCAAATAGCCAAGGCAAACTCGAACAAGAAGAACAAAGTTGGAGGTGTCACATGCCCTGATTTTTTTTATTTCTAAAAAACAACAACAACAACAACAAAACGGGATACATATGCAGAACGTGCGGGTTTGTTACATAGTTATATGTGTGCCATGGTGGTTTGCTGCACCTACTGACCTGTCTTCTAAGTTCCCTCCCCTCAACCCCCCACCCCCCAACAGGCCCTGGTATGTGTTGTTCCCCTCTCTGTGTCTATGTGTTCTCAATGTTCAGCTCCCACCTGTGGGTGAGAACATGGGGCATTTGGTTTTCCGTTCCTGTGATAGTTTGCTGAGGATGATGGCTTCCAGCTTCAACCATATGACTGCAAAGGACATTATCTCATTCCTTTTTAGGCAGCATAGTATTCCATGGTGTATATGTACCACATTTTCTTTACCCAATCTATCATTGATGGGCATTTGGGTTGGTTCCATGTCTTTACTATTGTAAATAGTGCTGCAACAAACATGTGTATGCATGTTTCTTTCTAGTAAAATGATTACATTCCCTTGGGTATATACCTAGTAATGGGATTGCTGGGTCAAATGGTAATTCTGGTTCCAGATCCCTGAGGAATCTCCATTGTCTTCTACAATGGTTGAACTAATTTACATTCCCACCAACAGTGTAAAAGAGTTCCTATTTCTCCACAGCCTCAATTGTTTCCTGACTTTTTAATAATCATCATTCTGACTGGTGTGAGATGGTATCTCATTGTGGTTTTGATTTGCATTTTTTTGATGATTAGTAATATTGAGTTTTTTAAAATATGTTTGTTGACCATATAAATGTCTTCTTTAGAGAATTGTCTGCTCATATCCTTTGCCCACTTTTTGATGGGGTTGTTTGTTTTATTCTTGTAAATATGTTTAAGTTCCTTGTAAATTCTGGATATTAGACCTTTGTCAGATGGGTACATTGCCAAAATTTTCTCCCATTCTGTAGGTTGCCTGTTCACTCTGATGATAGTTTCTTTTGCTGTGCAGAAACTCTTTAGTTTAATTAGATCCCATTTGTCAATTTTGGCTTTTGTTGCAACTGCTTTTGGAGTTTTTGTCATGAAGTCTTAGCCCATTCCTATGTCCTGAATGGGATTGCTTAGGTTTTCTTCTAGGGTTTTTATGATTTGGGGTTTTACATTTAAGTCTTTAATCTATCTTGAGTTAATTTTTGTATAAGGTGTAAGGAAGGAGTCCAGTTTCTGTTTTCTGCATATGGCTAGCACCATTTATTAAATAGGGAATTATTTCCCCATTGCTTGTTTTTGTCAGGTTTGTCGAAAATCAGATGGTTGTAGATGTGTGGTGTTATTTCTGAGGCCTCTGTTCTGTTCCATTGATCTATATATCTGTTTTGGTAACAGTACCATGATATTTTGGTTACTGTATGCAGCCTTGTAGTATAGTTTGAAGTCAGGTAGCGTGATGCCTCTAGCTTTTTTTTTTTGCTTAGGATTGTCTTGGCTACACGGGCTCTTTTTTGATTCCATATGAAATTTAAAGTAGTTTTTTCTAATTGTGTAAAGAATGTCAATAGTAGTTTGATGAGAATAGCATTGAATCTATAAATTACTTTGGGCAGTATGGGCCTTTTCACAATATTCGTTCTTCCTGTCCATAAGCATATAATTTTTTTCATTTGTTTGTGCCTTCTCTTATTTCTTTGAGCAGTGGTTTGTAGTTCTCCTTGAAGAGGTCCTTCACATACCTTGTTAGCTGTATTCCTTGGTATTTTATTCTCTTTGTAGTGATTGTGAATGGGAGCTCATTCATGATTTGGCTCTCTGCTTGCCTATTGTTGGTGTAAAGGAATGTTTGTGATTTTTGCACATTAATTTGTATCCTGAGACTTTGCTGAAGTTGCTTATCAATTCAAGAAGTTTTTGGGCTGAGATGATGGGGTTTCTAACTATAAAATCATGTCATCTGCAAACACAGAGAAGTTGACTTCCTCTTTTCCTGTTTGAATACCCTTTATTTATTTCTCTTGCCTGATTGCCCTAGCCAGAACTTCCAATACTATTTTGAATAGGAGTGGTGAGAGAGGGCATCCTTGTCTTGTGCTGGTTTTCAAAGGGAATGTTTCCAGCTTTTGCCCATTCAATATGTTATAGGCTGTGGGTTTTTCATAAATAATTCTTATTATTTTGAGATATGTTTCATCAATATCTAGTCTATTGTGAGTTTTTAACATGAAGGGATGTGGAGTTTTATCAAAGGCCTTTTCTGCATCTATTGAAATAATCACGTGGTTTTTGTCATTGGTTCTGTTTATGTGATGCATTACATTTATTGATTTGTGTATGTTGAACCAGCCTTGCACCCCACAAATAAAGCTGACTTGATTGTGGTACATAAGTTTTTTGGTGTCCCGATGGATTAGGTTTGCCAGTATTTTATCGAAGATTTCAGCATTGATGTTCATCAGGGATATTGACCTGAAGTTTTCTTTTTTTGTAGTGTCTTTTCACGATTCGGGTGTCAGGATGGTGATGGCTTCATAAAATGAGTTAGGGAGGAGTCCCTCCTTTTCAATTGTTTGGAATAGTTTCAGAAGGAATGGTACCAACTCTGCTTTGTATTTCTGGTAGAATTCAGCTGTGAATCCATCTGGTCTGGGCTTTTTTTTTTTTTTTTGGTTGGTAAGCTATTAATCACTGCCTCAATTTTAGAGCTTGTTATTGGTCTATTTGGGGATTCAACTTCTTCCTGGTTTAGTCTTGTGAGGGTGTATGTGTCTAGGAATTTATCCATTTCTTCCAGATTTTCTAGTTTATTTGCATAGAAGTGTTTATAGTATTCTCTGATGGTAGTTTGTATTTCTGTGGGGTCAGTGGTGATATCCAATTTATCATTTTTTATTGTGTCTATTTGATTCTTCTCTCTCCTTCTTTATTAGTGTAGCTGGTGGTCTATCCGTTTTGTTAATTTTTTTCAGAAAACCTGCTCCTGGATTTGTTGATTTTTTTGGAGGGTTTTTTGTGTTTATATCTCCTTCAATTCTTCTCTGATCTTAATTTTTTTTTTTTTTTTTTTTTTTTTTTTTTGTCTTCTGCCAGCTTTTGGATTAGTTTGCTCTTGTCTCTCTAGCTCTTTTAATTGTGAAGTTAGATGTCAATTTGAGATCTTTCTAGCTTTCCTATTGAGCATTTAGTGTATAAATTTCCCTCTTAACACTGCATTAGCTGTGTCCCAGAGATTCTGGTACATTGTCTCTTTGTTCTCATTGGTTTCAAAGAATTTCTTGATTTCTGCCTTAATTTTGTCATTTACCCAGGAGTCATTTGGGAGCAGGTTGTTCAATTTCCATGAAAGTGTGTGGTTTTGAGTGAGTTTCTTAATCCTGAGTTCTAATTTGATTGCACCGTGGTCTGAGAGATTGTTTGTTATGATTTCAGTTCCTTTCACTGAGGTGTGTTTTAGTTCCAGTTATGTGGTTGATTTTAGAATAAGTGCCATGTGGCACTTGGAAGAATGTATATTCTGTTGATTTGGGATAGAAAGAACTGTAGATGTCTATTAGGTCTGCTTGGTTCAGAGCTGAGTTCAGGTGCTGAATATCCTTGTTAATTTTCTGACTTGTTGATCTGTCTAATACTGACAGTGGAGTATTAAAGTCTCCCACTATTATTGTGTGGAAGTCTAAGTCTCTTTGTAGGTGTCTAAGAACTTATTTTATGAATCTGGGTGCTCTTGTATTGGATGCATATATATTTAGAAGAGTTAGTTCTTTTGTTGAATTGTTTCCTTTACCATTTTGTAATGCCCTTCTTTATCTTTTTTGATCTTCGTTGGTTTCAAGACTGTTTTGTCAGAGACAAGGATTGCAACCCCTGCTTTTTTTTTGGTTTTAATTTGCTTGGTAAATTTTCCTCCATCTGTTTATTTTGAGTCTGTGTGTTTCTTTGCACATAAGATGGGTCTCCTGAATATAGCACACTGATGAGTCTTGACTTCCCATCCAATTTGCCATTCTGTGTCTTTTAATTGAAAAGAATTTAGCCCGTTTACATTTAGGGTTAGTATTGTTTTGTGTGAATATGATCCTGTCATCATGATGCTATTTGGTTATTTTGCAAACTAATTTACGCAGTTTATTCCTAGTGCCATTGGTCTTTATATTTTGGTGTGTTTTTGCACTGGCTGGTACTGGTTTTTCCTTTCCATATTTAGTGCCTCTTTCAGGAGCTCTTGCAGGGCAGGCATGGTGGTAACGAAATCCCTCAGCATTTGCTTGTCTGGAAAGGATTTTATTTCTCCCTCACTTATGAAGCTTAGTTTGGCTGGATATGAGATCCTGGGTTGGAAATTCTTTTTTTTAAGAATGTTGAATATTGCCCCCCCAATCTCTTTTGGCTTGTGTAGTTTCTGCTGAGAGGTCCACTGTTAGTCTGATAGGCTTCTGTTTGTAGGCGACTTGGCCTTTCCCTCTGGCTGCCCTTAACAGTTTTTCCTTCTTTTCGACTTTGGAGACTCTGATGATTATGTGTCTTGGAGTTTATCTACTCGTGGAGTGTCTTAGTGGTGTTCTCTGTATTTCCTGAATTTTCATGTTGGCCTGTCTTGCTATGTTGGGAAAGTTCTTCTGGATAATATCCTGAAGTGTGTTTTCCAGCCTGTTTTTATTCTCCCCACCTCCTTCTGGTACTCCAATAAGTTGTAGGTTCAGTGTGTTTATGAAGTCCCATATTTCTTGGAGGATTTATTCATTCCCTTTCTTTCCTTTTTCTCTAATCTTGTCTACATGTCTTATTTCAGTAATGTGGGCTTCAAACTATGATATCCTTTATTCCACTTGGTCCATTTGGCTGTTGATGCTTGTGTATGTTTCACGAAGTTCTCATGCTTTGTTTTTCAGCTCCATCAGGTCGTTTATGTTCCTCTCTAAATTGGTTATTCTGGTTAGCAATTCCTCTAACCTTTTATCAAGGTTCTTAGCTTCTTTGCTTTGGGTTAGAACATGTTCCTTTAGCTCATTGTGGTTTTTATTACCCATCTTCTGAAGCCTACTTCTGTCAGTTCATCTATCTGATCTTCTGTTCAGTTCTGTGCCCTTAATGGAGAGATGTCACAATCATTTGGAGGAGAAGAGGTACTCTGGCCTTTTGGGTTTTCAGCATTTTTTTGATGATACTTTCTCATTTTCATAGTTGTCTAGATTTGGTCTTTCAGGCTGCTGACCTTTGGATGGGGTTTTTGTGGGGGCCTTTTTGTTGTTGTTGCTGTTGATGCTGTTGTTGTTGCTTTCTGCTTCTTTTTCTTTCAATAGTCAGTTCCCTCTTCTGTAGAGCTGCTGCAGTTTGCTGGGGGTTCACTTCAGGCTCTATTCATCTGATTCTTTCCCATACCTGGAGATGTGACTCAAGGAGGCTGCAGAGCAGCAAAAATGGGTGCCTACACCTTCTTCTGGGACCTCTGACCTCAAGGGGCACCAACCTGATGCCAGTAGGAGTGCTCCTGTATAGGGTGTCTGACAACCCCTGTTGGAGGGTCTTATCCAGTTGGGTGGCATGGGGAGCAGGACCCATTTAATGAAGCACTTTGTCCCTTGGAAAGGATGTGTTTTGCTGGGGGGAAACCCACTCATCTGGGCTGCCCGGATTCCTCAGAACCACCAGGAGGAGAGGCTAAGTCTGCTCACCTGCAGTGACTACAGCCACCCCTTCCCCTAAGGGCTCAGGCCCAGGGAGATCCAAATTCTGTCCCTGAGCCTCTGGCTGGAGTTATTGGAGATCCTGCAAGGAAGCCTGACTCACTGAAGAAGGATAGGTCAGAGTTATACCTGAAGAGACTCTCTGGCCACAACCAGTGTGTTGGGCTGTGGAGACAAGTCTTGGGACCAAGCCATCCAGCCTCCCTGGCTCCAGCAGGGGAAGAGCACAGCCTGGAGCTGTAGAAATGGTTGTCATCCTTCCCCTGCCAGGGAGCTTAATATGTTAGGCAGCTGCCAGTCCCAGTGCTGGCTGCTGACCCTCCCCCAAGGAGCTCAAATGGCTTACACAGCAGGCAACTCTCACCCCTCCCCCTGGTAAGCTTAAGCAGATTCCCACTGAGAGGCTGTAAGAATGCAGGTTCCATGGTTGGGTCGCTAGACCCTGGTGGCTTGGGTTTGTAAGTGGGATCTTCCCATCCATGGGTTGCATAGTTCTGTGGGAAAAGCATTTTCCCCAGCTGGGTTGCACGCTCACTCACCACCTGCCTTGGCTGGGGGGAGGAGGTTCCCCTTCCCCATGTGGCTTTCAGGTGGGCTGTAGCACCACACTGCTCTTCCTTCTCTCTGTGGCTCATGCCAGCCTTCTAGTCAATTTTGATGAGAGAACCTGGATACATTTGTTGTCGGTGAAGGATACACACGCTTACTATGGTTTTTTTTCAATGGAAGCCTCCGAATGCTGCTGCTTCCAGTCTGCCATTTGGCCCAGCCTCTTCTGATTTCCAAATGTATTGCACAGATACAGTAATCAAAACAATAAAAAATGAAAATTGCATAGAAACAAACATATAAATCAATGGAACAGAATAGAGAACCCAGAAATTAATCCATGTTTTTATGGTCAACTAATCTTGGACAAGGTGTGTCAAGAATACACAATAGGGAAAGGATAGTCTCTTCAATAAATGGTGTTTGGAAAACTAGGTCTCTACGTACAAATGAATGAAACTGAACCTTTATCTCACAACATGTACAAAAAAATCAACTCAAAATAGATAATGACATAAGATCCCAAACCATAAAACTACTAGAAGTAAACATGTGACATTGGTCTGGACACTGATTTTGTAGCTCTGACACAAAAAGCACAGGTAATGAAAGCAAAAATAGACAAACAGGATTACATCAAACTAAAAAGCTTTTAAATAGTAAAGGAAACAATCAACAGAGTGGAGAGACAACCCACAGAGTGAGAGAAAATATCTGCAAACCATACATCAGATAAAGGTTAATATCCAAAATATATAAGGAACTCAAACAACTCAATAACAAGAAAAAAATAATGTGATTTAAAAATGGAGGCCTGGCGCAGTGGCTCATGACTGTAATCCCAGCATTTTGGGAGGCTGAGGTGGGTGGATCACCTGAAGTCAAGAGTTTGAGACCAGCCTGGCCAACGTGGTGAAACCCTGTCTCTACTAAAAATACAAAAATCAGGTGGGCATGGTAGCGGGTGTCTGTAATCCCAGCTATTTGGGAGGCTAAGGCAGGAGAATTGCTTGAACCTGGGAGGTGGAGGTTGCAGTGAGCCAAGATCATGCCGCTGTACTCCAGCCTGGGTGAGAGAGCGAGGCTCCCTCTCAAAAAAAAAAAAAAAAAAAAAAATAGGCAGAGGACCAGAGTAGACATTTCTCAAAAGAAGACATACAATGGCCAACAGATAAATGAAGAAATGCTCTACATCACTAATCAGTAGAGAAATGCATTAAAACAGCAATGAGATATAACCTCAGCCCTGCTAGAATGGCAAATATTAAAAAAAAACATAAGATAAGCATTAGTGAGGATGTGAAGAAAAGGAAACTCTGGTACACTGTTGGTGGGGATATTAATTAGTACAGCCATTATTAAAAACAGTTTGAAGTTTCTTTTTAAAAATGGATTAAAAGTAAGAATACACATACACACACACAATGGAATAATATCCAGCCTTAATAAAGAAGGAAATTTATACCATATGTGACAATTTAGATGAACCTGGCAAATTGTATGCTAAGTAGAATAAGCCAGATACAGAGAGACAAATAGTGCATAATCTTATTTATATGTGGAACCTAAAAAGTCAGACTCATAAAGGCAGAGAGTAAAATGGTATTAATAGTTTCCAGGTTCTGGGGGATGGGAGAAATCAGACCTTGCTAGTCCAAGGGTGCAAAGTTTCTGTTAAGCAGGATGAATAAGTTCTGGAGCTCTAATGTACAAACATACTGACTATAATTAGCAATACTGTACTGTACACTTGAAATTGGCTGAGAATAAATCTTGTGTTCTCACCATTAAAAAAAGTAACTGTGAAGTGACAGATATGTTAATTAGATTGATTCCAGTAGTCATTTTACAATGTATATGTATATCAAAGCATCATTTTGTACACCTTAAATATAAACAATTTTTTCAATTATCCCTCAATAAAGCTGGAAAAAATATTTCCTCCACAGACATTTAGATACATATCACATACTGTTACAATTTTGTTTCAGCTATGAAGCATAACTTAGAAAACTCAAAAGAGAAAAAAAAATCTATGTTTTTTATGCATGGCACTACTCTTTTCATTGTTCTTTCTTACTGATATTACAAGATTTATTTTATCAAATTATTCTGTTTAGAGAATTATCTTCAGGTATTTCTTAAGGCACATCTGCTAGTGACAAATTATTTTAATCTTTCTATCATTTAAAAGCTTAATTTCCCCTACATTTCTAAAGGATATTTCACAGGATTTGGAATTCTATACTTAAAATTCTTAAAGGACTTGGAAAATGTTGTGGCACTTCCTCATGGTCTTCATAATTTTTGATGAGAAATTTTTTGTCATTTGGATAGTTTTTCCCTCCTTATAGATAAGGTGTTATTTTTTACTTTGCTATTTTTACAACTTTTTGTTGGTCTTTAGTTTTCAGAAATGTACTTATGATACATTTGTTTTTCTGTAGATTGTTTGGGCTACATTCCGTGTAGGGTTTTCTCAGCCTCTTAGGTCAATGTCTTTTGTCAAATTTGGTAATTTTCAGTTAGTATTTATTTGCATAATTTTTCATCCTTGCCCTCATTTTCCTCTCCTTCTGAGACTCTGATGACATGAGTGTTAAATATTTGTTATAGATGAACATGTTCCTGATGTTCCATTCATTTATTCCTTTCAGAGTAATTTTTCTATGGTGTTTGGATTGGGTAATTTCTATTGTTCTATAATGAAGTTTACTAATTCTTTCTTCTGGCCTCTCCATCCTGCTATTGAGTCCTTCTGCTATGGACTGAATTGTGTCCTCCAACCCCAAATTTGTATGTTGCAACTTTAACCCCCAATGCTGTAGTATTTGCAGCTGAAGCCTTTAGGAGTTAATTAAATTTGGATGACTTCATCAGGTAGGACCTTTATGATGAGATTAGCACCCTTAGAAGAAAAGGAAAAGTAAGTGAGATTGATTTCCCACTCCCTGTTATGCAAATGAGAACAGGCCAGGTGAGCACACAGGGAGAGGTGGCCATCTGCAAGTCAGAAAGACAGCACTCACCAAAACCTAACCATGCTGGCACCAACCTTGAACTTCCAGATTGCAGAATTATGAGAATACACATTTTTGTTGTTTAAGCCACTCAATATGTGGTAATTTATTTTGGCAGATTGAGCTAAACAAGGCACTTTCCATTGAGCTTTTAAAATTTTGTTTATTGTATTTTTCAGTTCTAAAATTTTCATATACATAATGTGTATATATACATAAATATAATGTATATATATGTAATATAATTTATATATAATATATATATATTTCTTTGCTGTAACCTTCTATTTCCTTGCCAAGACTTTCTACTATTTTGTTTCAAGTATGTTTGTAGTTGCTTGTTGAAGCATTTTTATGATGACTACTTTAAAATCTCTGTCAGATAATTCTAACATCTCTGTCATCTAGGTGATGGCATCTATTGATTTTCCCTTTTTTGTAAGTTGATATTTTCCTGGTTCTTGGTACAAGTGATTTTTAAAATTGAGAACTGGAAATTTGAGGTAGTATATTATGAAATTCTGAATCTTATTTAAACCCTCTATTTTAACTGGTTCCCTTTGACACTGCTTCAACAGTGAGAGCCTGGGAGTGCTGAATTGTTACTGTCAGGTGGGAGTAGAAGCCCAGTTTCACATTGGCCTCCACTGAATCCAGTGAGGGGGAGAGCTTCTCATTACTGTTGGGTGGAGGAGGAGTTCTGGCTTTCCTCTGGGCCTCTACTGATAACACCCAGGCTGAGGCAAGTACTTGTTACTGTTCCTCATGTAGTCTCCACTGAAATCACAGAGGGATGACCTTAATACTAATGGCTAGTCATGAAAAACTTGACTCTCTGCTAGATATCCTCTGATACCACTTCAGTGGGGAGGAGAAGGGCCCTCTCCTGTTTTGATTTTCAGTTGGCTGGAAGTCCAGGCAACCTATGTAGTCTCTAATGACACCACAGGGAACATCTTGTTATGGCCCAACAGTGCTGGAAGTCCTAACTCCCTACTTGGCTTTCTTGGGCCTCGTGCTAGGAGAGTTGCTGGGGCACCTTGCAACAGTGTCATTAGCATGGGATTCTGTGTTTGCCCTTGGTTTTTGATGATGTGGGTGGGGAGTTGTCTGTATTTATTTTTATGATGTTTGGTTGAAATAGAGAATTTACAGTTTAAAAGTTTTTTTTTTTTTTGTATTTTTATGTTACCCCTTCCTGATCCTTTGGCTAGAGAGAACAAGCTTTCGTTGAGGTTTTCCATTCCTCATACACTGTTTCTGGGACACTGGCTTTTCAGCTACCAGTTTGGGATATATGATGGAAACAGAAAACCTACAAAACTCACCACCATGTTGTTCCTTGCTGACATCCCTATCCAGTCTGCCTTCTTCTCTCCATCTTTTAGAGTCTTCTTATGTTTGTTTTATATATAATGTCTAGAGTTTTTAAATTGTGCTTAGTGGGAAGAATAGGGAAATTATATCTACTCTATCTTATGAGAAGTGGAAGTGATGATAATCTTACATATCTCTAAATCTTCCCACCAGTATGGTTATGATCTCTTTCTCCTTCTCATCTCTTCTCCCAACTTTGTTAATAAAAAACGTTTGCTGATCAAATTACCATCTTTTGATTCAATTCGATTAATTATTTAACATACTCTATTTCCCGTAGGCATAAACAACTTTCCTACCTAAGACAACTGTGTTTAGTGAGGAGTACATTCATCTAATAACTAACACTCTTTTTTTTTTTTTTTTTTTTTTGATATGCAGTCTCGTTCTGTTGCCCAGGCTGGAGTGCAGTGGTGTGATCTCAGCTCATTGCAAGCTGAGCTTGCATTGAGGCATTGCAAGCCTCCTGGGTTCACGCCATTCTCCTGCCTCAGCCTCTTGAGTAGCTGGGATTACAGGTGCATGCCACCATGCCCGGCTAATTTTTTTGTATTTTTAGTAGGGAAGGGGTTTCACTGTGTTAGCCAGGATGGTCTTGATCCCCTGACCTCGTGATCCATCTGCCTCGGCCTCCCAAAGTGCTGGGATTACAGGCGTGAGCCACCGCGCCCAGCCATAACTAACACTCTTTATGGCTGTATTCCATGGTTCTTGGCATTTCACTATCAAACTCAGGAAAATCCATAAAACTCTCTTGACTGATTGGGGTTGGGGTGGGGGATAAATGCAAGAGTCATGTATTATAATAAGCTTTGAAATATGAAGATGGAAGCCACAATAGCAAAATTAAATAGAAAAAGTTGTTATAATTTCTGGTATACTTAGTATTAATGTTCTCTGGTTCTTTTGACATGATTGAAATATGTCAATAGGGACTATCCTCCATATTCATAGTCATCTCCTTATTGACAGACACAAGGAGACATGGTGAAGAATACAAAGTCATCCTTCATGCTTCTTCTTTTCCTAGAGTAGGTGACAGCTGAGCACTACTTAGAAGGAACATCGTAGCTAATTTTGACAAATTTCTCTGAAAGTTTATCTTGGAATTGAAAGCCATAGTATAATAGCATCTTCATTTTCACTGTCTCCACCTCTCCTCCAAACCACATCACATTTCTTTGATAATGTAGAAAATGTTGGCTGATTCACAGAGTTTCCTACAAATGACAGATTGCTTTCTGAGATACTATAATTCTGACAGAGAAATAATTACAGAGGATGCCTGAGTCTCTCATTTCTTCTCTTTCTCTCTGCTTTCCAAGTCAATAGACCAGAGAGCCTGTGTCCCTGGAGTCTGCAATGCAGAGGTCCTCACCTCATAGACTTTTAAGCCAAGATCAGAACTTCTATTTCTGAGTAGAAATATCATGTCTTCACCACATGTGTTTCTGCACCTTTGTCTAAATAGAGTTTCAAATATTTGGTGAAGATGAGATTGTAAGCAAATTCCTGATGCTATCTTCAGTGTCTCTGAGAGGTAGAAAAATATATTTTTTTAATTTTTAAGTAAATATAAAATTATAAAATATAGAAATTTAAGTAAATTTTTTAAGTAAAGTATTTTTATATTTAAGCAAAAAATTGCTAAATGATTTCATTTTAAAATACATATATTTTTGAAATGGAGTCTTGCTCTGTTGCCAGGCTGGAGTGCAGTGGTGCAATGTCGGCTCACTCTAACCTCCGCCTCCTGGTTTCAAGTGATTCTCCTGCCTCAGCCTCTCAAGTAGCTGGGACTACAGGCACACACCACCATGCCCGGCTAATTTTTTTGTGTTTTAGTAGAGACCAGGTTTCACCATGTTGGTCAGGCTGGTCTCAAACTCCCAACCTCAGGTGATCTGCCCGCCTTGGTCTCCCAAAGGGCTGGGATTACAGGCATGAGCCACTGAAAAATTATTTTTTAAATCTATCATGGTTGATAAATATCTGTTTCTTTATGAATAAGGGTTTAGAAGCATTCCTCTTTTTATTTTTTTGCTTCACAATTCATTACCGGTAATATCGTATAATTTTTTTAGTAGTATAGACAAATTTTTATAAATCTCTATCAAGTTTCTTTCATTTATGACTTACAATCATACTCATTGCTATTTGTAGTATTTGGATCATTTTGTATTTTACAATAATATGAATTTAGGTAAATTCTATTTTGCATAACTACCATGCAAAAAATGTACGGTAGTTTTATAATTTTGTATGTTGCATTATTGAGTATATTTCGGTTTTGACTAGACATTGATAGGAACTGAGTTATCTGCTTGTCACGTTTCATTTATAATGATCGAATGAATTTTTATATAGACAAGTTTATGACTTAATATTTGTAAACCTTGTTTTTCCTCCATGAATCACAGAGTTTCTGTGCCAGGTATTGTAGTACATATTTATATCTTTTTGCATCATAGTGCTACTGTAATGATTGAGTCAGCAAAGTGTCCAGAGACAGAATCCCAGATGCTGTTTTTAATAGAATGGCTAGCGGTAAGTTAACTTCCATGGGAAATGATTATAAACAGCATCAGTGTATCCCAATCAACCCAAACTAAATGAACACCCAACTCAACTTTTTCTTAGCAGCACCCCACAAAATTCTCACCGTCATCAAAGAGAGTTCTTCCATTCTACCCATCATAACAGAAAGTGTGACAGAGAGAAACTCACAACGGAAAGAGCCATCTGCCAACTTTCGCAAATTTTCAAACACAAATGACCTTGTGCACACATTTCCTGGGCTCCTGTCAGAACCTTGGAATGAGCTTATACAAGTGAGGGGCCATGCAGCTTAAGCTTCATGAGTTTATAGTGAATCCATCTCTGCCTTCATCAAAGTTTATCATTTAACCATTTTTAAATGTTCAGTTCAGTGGAATTAAGTACATTCACATTGTTGTGCACCCATCACCATGACAGATGAATGGATAAAAAAATGTGGTACATAACTACAATGGAAATTTTTCAGTCTTAATTAAGGAAGGGAATTTCAACACATGCCACAATATGAATAAGAATCTTGACGACATTCTACTTAGTGAAATAAGGACATAAAAGGACATATTTTAAGTCATAAAAGGGCAAATATTGTGTACTTCCTCTTATTTCAGGTTCCTAGAGTAGTCAAATTTGTAGAAACAGAAAACAGAGTCATGGTTTTTAGGGCGGAAGAAAGGGCAGTGGGGAGTTAGTGTTTAATGGATATAGAGTTTCAGTTTGGGAAGATAAAAGGTTCTGGAGATAGATGTGATGATGGCTGCACAGCAATGTAAGTAGATTTAATGCCACAGTACTGAACACTTAAACGTGTAAAATGGGAATTTTGTTATATATATTTTACTACAATAAAAAGAATCAAAAACATTTACAAAAACCTAGTCAAATTGAGAGCAGTTATTATTAATATTGTCATTAACTTCTAAATAGATGAAAATGCTAAGCCACACAGAGGTTAAATATCTAGCACAATATTATATAATTAATGAGTAGAGGGACTAAGCTTCAGGCCCATATCTTCTGATCAAAAATCAGTTTTTCTTTCCAGAAATAAATACAAAACATTTTATAAATCTACCCCAGGGCTCAGAATAATCCCAGGTTTATTATCTCTAAGGTCACTAAATGAGGCTGCTGATGGTTAGACGAAGAAAATCAAATCAATTTTCATGAATAAGTAATATGTTTGTAAAGAAGTTGCTAATTGGTAAAATCCATAATCCTCAAAGGTAACTGTTAACGATTTGATGCATAGTATTTGTTTCTCATTAAACTGTGTTGTTAGTTTTCTGGTATCTTAATAATGTTTGTTCTCAGTGTTGAAATCTGCAATTCTGGGTATCTCTTCCATCAATGCCAAAAGTACAAAAATAGAGGACTTGTCCTTGCATTTTTGCTGCTTTTCAACTTCATCTTATGCTTAAAATAGAACGCATTTATCCGTGTGTGTGTGTGTGTGTGTGTGTGTGTGTGTGTGCCCGCGCATGTAAAGAGAGAGAGTGAAATGAGAGATCAGGAGTACACTGGATCAGTTTTGGTTGGAAAGTTTTCCTCACAACAATGTAGTCTTTTAGACTACACTCTACACTTGCCTAGAGGAATGTTGACAAATGTTCCCACCAGAAAAAATTTTAAAATAAGGAAACGGATTATCTTTCATTTATAAGGAAATACATTTTCTGAATTTAACTTTAAATTTATGTGTTATTAATCAGTGCTAGAACTATAAGGTGCTGAGTGAGTTACTGGGTGGGTCTCCACCATTTAAATACCTGTGTGGAAAACTTTATGCTTTCATTTGATGGAGAACATGACACAACCTAAGGCAAAATATTCTAATTGGAATTTTAAAAATATCCTTACTAGGAATTAAGTTTATACATCTATTGTAAAAATTACTAAATATTCCCAGAAGTTGGAGCTTGCAGTGAACCAAGATCACGCCACTGCACTCCAGCCTGGGAGAGAGCGCAAGACTCCGTCTCAAAAAAAAAAAAAAATTACTAAATATTTTTTCTTAATGCAGATATTAAATGGAGTATCATTGTTAGCCCTAATATTGTACAACTTGATTAGGCAAAATAGACAAAAAGAAAACCAATTCAAGCCAAACCAGTTAGCAATATGGACATCACTTGGGAAACACTATCACTGAATACTTTAGGCTTATCAGCTTTGAGAAATCTATTTAGTGTCCTTTTGGGATCTCAGCCTCAGTTCCTTAGACTAAATAGGTGTAGACTAGTGCCTGAAGGTCAGAAAGTTCTGAGGGTTAAGAAGGACTGAATCCTGATTTATTCAAATGTTGACACTCACAGTTACTCTTAAAGTCAGGAAATTTGTCATTTTCTCTCTTTAGACCAAGTTCCAAAGAGGCACTCAATATATGTTTGGAAGGAAAGAATAAGAACTTAACTGTAGGCTGGGCATGGTGGTTCGTGCCTATAATTGCAGCACTTTAGTAGGCCAAGACAGGCAGATTGCTTGAGCACAGAAGTTCAAAACCAGCCTGGGAAGCATGGCGAAACCCCATCTCTACGCACACACACGCAAAATTAAAAACTTAACCAGGCTTGGTGACACATGCCTATAGTTCCAGCTCCTTGGGAGGCGAAGGTGGGAGGATTGCTTGAGCCCAGGAGGCGGAGGTTGCAGTGAGTCAAGATAGTGCCAATACACTCCAGCCTGGGTGACAGAGTGAGACCCTGTTTCAAAAACAAACAAACAAAAATAAAAACAAAAAATCCTTAACACTAAAGCTGAGAAATTTGCTAATGTTAGAATGGAAATGTATGTACATCATGTAATCCGAAATAATAAACAAATAGAAGCAAATAGGTTGGAGGCATATGGGCATATGTAGAGACTTAGAACAAGTATTGGGTAAATTCAGGTTCAGAGAGAAAATCAAGCCACAGATGTACATTAGTTCCAGGTACTAACTTAATCATTGTAACTGGAGAGCATGTCGAGAATCCAGTTATTGAGAACCTTGTTACCAAGGTCAAAAACACTCAATATAAAAACTGCCCTTGAGGTTGAACTAGAGAGTTAATGCCACACTTAAGCATTATATATGTCCCTCATTTAGGGTGAAGGTTAATCCCAGAGTCTGGTTAGAAACTGGCTCTTTTGGCAGGATTTAAGTAATCATATTGAGACAGGCAGGCTGGTTGGTTTCCTGTGTTAATATGGTCTGGAGGAAAAGGATAAAAGCCCCTCACTCAAGCTCTAACTTGTCGAACTCTCAACCAATCAGTAAGAAAAGACCCAATGAGCTTTTAACTGCCAATTTCTATTTCAGGTGGCTATGGACTTTGCCAGAGACCCTGCATGCACAATTAGACTTGGAGATTTAAAATGCTAATGCTACATATGAAAAAGCATGTTGAGCCACTGTGCCAGCACTAAAAAAAGCCCTTCTATACATGCCCTGATATAACCCTTCCCTACAGAAAGACCCTATAAAACTAACCCACACGCTATCCTCAGAGAGCAGCCCATTCCTTTTCCTTTTTCAGTGCTGGCTCCCTTGGGCATAAGCTAAATAAATTTTCTCTTCGATGCTGTACTTGGTAGGCTCTCTTGATTTCGATCCTGGGACACTGCAAGAACTCAGGGCACCAGTAACAATATTGAGGTTATAATTGTTATCATTGAGAGCCGGGTGAAAATTACAAAGGCCAGGGAAGGGAAAGGAACCCTTTCTTAAGTGATCAAAGTTCTTAAGTGATCTAAGTTGGTTGCAGTTTGGATTGTTATTTTTTAATTTCCAGATTTTCAAGTGCGACTTGCTGCCTTCCAGGTTGCTTGTTTCAGAGTTTAGCTGACATAAGGGGGGAACTTTCCAGTTTTAGGGAGGCTTCTTTAGAGACTTAGAGAACATACTTGCCTAGGAAAAAATCTCCCAATAATAAAACTTAAAAAAATCGAAATTGTCTGGATGCCTATTTCCTTGAGTGACTCTTAATTTTCCCTGGCTTCTCTGGAGTGCTTACTTAGTTCTACTCCAAAGGCCCATTCTCACATATTCTAGCTTGTCTTTGCATGTTTTAACAGTTAACATAAGCCACTGAACTTGTGGGTATTTATCAAGATAAGGAACGTGAACATTTGGGGCTTTGCTCCTAAGTCCCTTCCACTCATTTTCTGGGCACTCATTTGGGCTGAACACACAAAGTACAGATTGGCTCTTGCAACAGAGATGCCAGGCTGATGCTGATAAAAGATTTACTGTAGTGTTTTAGAATAATGAAGTTTTGTTAGGGAATTATTATAGCCCTTCCCACTGGGATGCTATCATTTATAATCAACCGATAAACAAAAGTATTTAACTCTGTTCTCATTAATTGATTGAACAATTTACTTTCGGCTTTGTGCTCACACCTGCTCTTGATCAAAGCTGGTTCATATTCTGCTCTTGGCTATTGCATGATGCCACATTAATGGTTTATTGGTTCCACTGTGCCTATAACACAGCAGAGTTTATGATGTTTAATAAAATGACATGTCTAAACACTCTTTTGGCTTCGAATTGTCTTCTCATCAAATTAGTACCATCATGCGCGTTTTCCTTGTACTTCAACATTGCAAATTTCTGTAAAAGTCTGCATGCAGACTTTAAATATTTTAACCGTATTCTTGCAATATATGAGATGGCAAGAAGTATTTTCTTGTTAATTGGAGTTCTTTGCTGTATGCTTCAGGCAGCTAGAGAACCCTAGTAGGATTCTCTTGGAAGGGAGAACCTAGGTGAATGGAGAAATTTTTAGGCATACTCTATATCTGCTCCTCCTTGGAATCAGGTACTTCTAGGAGAGAATAAAGAGCGTGTCACTCTAAGGAGTATGCTGAAGAAGATTATTTCTTTTTAAGAACAAGAAAGCCAGTAACCATAGGAAAGCACGAAGTGAACAGAAGTCCCATGGTAGTTGAGTCAGGTTGTAATATCTTCTCTTAGGGTTGTTATTAGAAGTCACCTAAGAGGTGAGCATCTCAACTTTTCGGGTTTGTATTCTTTATCACTACACTCTTTGGTATCTAGTAATACTAATATTTATTGAAGTCTTTCTTAAGAGTTAAGAGCATGAGTCTGGAGCCAGGATATTTGGGTTAAAATTCAAACACACATCTTAGGTGTGCTAAGCCTCAGATTCCTCTATAGATTAGGTAAAATATCTACTCTAGGCAGTTGTGGGGTTTTTTGTGTTTTTTGTTTTGTTTTGTTTTTGTTTTTTTTTTGAGACGGAGTCTCGCTCTGTCACCCAGGCTGGAGTGCGGTGGCGCAGTCTCGGCTCACTGCAAGCTCCGCCTCCCGGGTTCACGCCATTCTCCTGCCTCAGCCTCTCCGAGTAGCTGGGACTACAGGCGCCCACCATCACGCCCGGCTAATTTTTTTGTATTTTTAGGAGAGACGGGGTTTCACCGTGGTCTCGATCTCCTGACCTCGTGATCCACCCGCCTCGGCCTCCCAAAGTGCTGGGATTACAAGCGTGAGCCACCGCGCCCGGGCGGCAGTTGTTATTTTTACATGAGCTAAGTTAGTGACATTTTTAACATAGCACTTGACATTTAATAAATACTCTGCAAGCGTTAGCAGTTATTATTGTCAGAATAAGATATATAATATGTAGATATTTTAACTCTGTTGTATGGCTAAAAGGCATGGTACCTGTTATGTAGAAGGAAGAATGATGGAAGGGCCTAATACATAGTAATGAAAGTTTCCTCGAGGACTGATTAGGCCAAATTAATTGTTCAGTACCTCCTGCCAATGAGGTCATTCCGTTAGGTTATGGGCCCAAATATTTAATTCTTAACCTTAGCAAGAAGCCCTGGAAATGAGAGAGAAAAGAGATTAGGTCATCACCAGTGGAAACGAAAACTATCCAAAGCAGAGACTCTGCTAGTGAAAATCGCGTTCATGTACAAAGAACTTTATGATTTTTAACTGTAAGAATATAATGTCAAAATAAGCAAAACAAGAGAAGAGTAGATAATGTCAAGCACATACTTTTCCCTCTTTCTGGAGTGTTCTTAAATCCTGTTCTCCAAATGACTGACTCTTATTTATCCGTAGCTTAAATGTCACTTCATCAAAGTGGTCTTATCTGACTTTCTTTTTAAAGTTTATCTCCCCTTTTCAGAACTTTCATTAGTCCACATGGTGCCTTTGGGCAAATTAGAAAAAAAGCAGCACTTCTTCAAGAGTCTTTACTTATATCTGTCAGAAAAAAATAATTTTAATATACCAATGTGTTTGAACAAGACACTTTGCTGCCATCTGCCGGAAAATTTTTGAAATAAATATACAAATCTGCCATGTCCATAAAATAAGTGGCGCCTCCTAGGGTTGTGTTGTGCAAAACATGCATGATTGTAAAATGTGTAAAACATGCATGTAAGGGTTGCATTCCTGCAACCCTTAACCCTTTACCACGACATCCAGTTTGTTTCATCCACAGTATTTATGGCATGCTGAAATTATTTATTGCTTATTTATGTTTTATTCTTCCATGATTTTAGAAGCTCTAGCACTGCTATATCCTCAGTATCCAAAACTGGTATTTCGTTAAAGGTGCTCAAAATACATTTGTTAAATAAATGAACAAATGATGAAGTAAATGCTTATACCTATTTAATCTTTGGTCCAACTTATCCATTCATATAGCTGAATACAGTGTAGAGCAGGAAATCTGATTTAAAGCCTGGTTGGCCATAGTAGTAAAAAGCATGGTGTCTTTTTTATGTAGTAGAAAATTAATAACCATGTGTTGATGGAAATTAAAACCATTTTTCCAGGATTTGCAAGGATTATGAATCATATAAAACATGGGTCTTGCCATTATTAAATTAAAATCTAGTATGAATGATCCCAACAGCTACTTAATTCTATTTGGTTCTCAGGATAAGAAAGGGATATTGAAGAATTATAATTATAAGAGTATTTTGAATTCTCACTTTGTTGAAAATTTGGTTTTGGAAGCCAAGAACCACACATAAAGTTTTGAGCTTACACTTTGTCCATGAACAAGCCTTCTCACTTTTTTGGGTCTCAGTTTATACCCTTATAAAATATTTTGATGAGAATTCTCAACTTTTTTGTTTCTTAAAAAAAAAAAAATACCAAAACAGCCTCCTGGCCAGGTGTGGTGGCTTATGCTTGGAATTCTAGCACGTTGACAGGCCAAAGCAGGAAGATTGCTTGAGGCCAGGAGTTCGAAACTAGCCTGGGCAACATGGTGAAACCACATCTCTACAAAAAATATAAAAATTATCCAGGTGTGGTGGGGTGCACCTGTAGTCCTAGTACTCAGGAGGCTGATGTGGAAGGATTGCTTGAGGCGAGGAGTTTAAGGCTGCAGTGAGCTATGATCATGCCACTTCACTCCAGCCTTAGTGACAGAGCAAGACCTCATCTCAAACAAACAAACAAACAAAAATTAAAAACAACAAAAATCCTCCACACACTACTGTGAATTGAGAAACCTGTTGAAGATTATCTCTCTAAGATCTCTTAGACCATAACAGTCTATGAATATGGTGTCTTGCTTTCAGGTTTTGCATCTATGAAAAGGAAAGTGATGCTGCATGTTTTTCCCTATATTGTTATGAATTTGGTAGATACATGCGGTGACATGCTAGTGCATGCCAAGCAAATCTTGAGCTTCTATGGCTAATTTAACTAACAGTAATTTTTAGTCATGATCTGTCAATTGTGTCAAATAAAAGTACTGGGCTCCTATTCCCTGCAACATTAATGAAATGATCAACTCATGCTTCTATGAGTAAAAGATGGTTGTAAATTTATAACTTTAAGCATGAAATGCTATATTAGTCAGGATCTATTCAGCAAACAGCATTCAGAGTATTTAAAACAGAAAGACCTAAATGCAGAGAATGGGTTATGTGGATGACAGAAGAGAGGAATTGAGAAACCAGCAACTGGAAGTAAAGCCACTCAGAAGGAAGAAAGTCAGAAAGAATAGAGACAGGAGGTAGCATTATTAGAGCCAAGAATCAGGAGGTCCCAGCAGAAGCTTAAAACCATAATGGAGATGTAAGGTGGAAGTTGGAATGATGAAGGAAATGCAGTTGCTTCTAAACATACTTTCTGGAGGAGAAAGGGAAGGAGAGAAATAAACGGATATTCTCTTCTTTCCATCTTTCAATCTTCTACGAGGACCTCCTCCTGACTAAATACAGCTGGAAACAAGCCTTCTACATTCTTTGCAGTACAGGGCAGAGCAAGCAGACAAAACAATGGATCTAAGGGCAAACAGGCCAGAGACTGGCACAAATATCTGTCATCTGTTATCTAATAAAGAAGAGTCCCACCATATAAGAAATTCATAGAGAATGAACTTTGTCTCAGATAAAGCACAATGTCTTTTTCTAAGTTATTTTATTTTGATAAAATAAAATCTGATACCAGAGCTAGATAGTTGAAATAAACCTTGATATATGATCCATTTTGACTATTACAGTGATAAAAATTGCTGAATCCTTATACTTTCAGCTCAGTCAATTGCTACATGGCCAATCACTAAGAGGGTGAAAAATATGAAATTGATCATGCCATAGTCAATTTATACCATCGGATAGACCTGATGTAAACGTGGATGAGTGCTAACAATCTAAGGAAAAAAGGATTCAAAACGACTTTGAAAATACTAGGATGAAATTCAATCATGAAAAATACAACACTGAACTGTGCACCCACAAAAAAATGAAGCCACAGTGGAAGTATTATAAAGAAAAAAATGTTATTGAGATGGGGGAAGGGAGTGGCATTTGCCTAACAAGCAGAAAAATTAAATTAAAAGGCACTACATTAATTTATGAACTATCATCTCTTTGAATAAAAATTAAAAATGGGTATTGAAAACAACAGGCTGGGAATAAATACACTCTGCCTTGGCTTCATCTTCAGCTGGTAGGATTGTACCCGGCTTTCGGGGTAAATTTCAACACCATTCTCCCATAGACTTTCTTTCTTCCCACTTGCAATTGAAAGTTGTCTTTCAGTGATTTATTTGTATTTATCTTATGACATTTATTTTATTAGACCTTCCAATGATACTATTATAAGTTTGTAATCAGTTATGTATTGTATACTTCTTGAGTAAAGGGATTGTGGTAATTCATTTTGGCATCCATCAGAACATTAGTATAGTAAGTTCTCCGTAAATTTTTGTTTAATTTTCTATAGGATTATATGTTCATTATTCATTTCTTCTATAAGTATTTAAACATTTACAGTTACTCCCCACACTGGAAGCACATATATGGTGCTTTGGAATAACTTTTAACTCTAGAACTCTTTAATAGTTTAGGCTGCTTTAGATTTATTTATATGATATTTAATTAATTTATTTAAGTTTTTATTCAAATATAATACATTTACAAAGATAGGCTCAATTACAATTATTCAGCTTTCAGCTTGATGACTTTTCATAAACGGAGCACAACTATAGGACCAGTACACATTTAAAATACCATGTTACCAGCACCACAGAAGCTATTTTCTCTCTTTTCCAGAGACTACCTTCTTGTCCCTGCCAAGGATAGCCACAACCCTGACTTCTATAGTAGAGATTTAGTTTGATTGGCTTCTTTTGTTCAACAGTAAGTTTTTTTAAATTTTTCTGTGTAGGTACTTTTGCTGTAAATTATTCACATTCACAATACTACATAGTGTTAAATCATGTGACTATAATAACTTTTTAAATGATTTAATTGTTAATGAGAATTTTGGTAATTTCCAGTTTGGAATGATGACTAATACCGCTGTTGTGAACATTCTAGTAAATATGCACCTACATGTGTATTTTTTTTTTTTTTTTTGAGACAGAGTCTTGTTCTGTCACCCAGGCTTGAGTGCAGTGGCCTGATCTTGGCTCACTGCAACCTGCGCATCCTGGGTTCGAGTTATTCTCCTGCCTCAGCCTCCTGAGTAGCTGGGAATACAGGCATGCTCCACCATGTCAGGATAATTTTTTTGTGTATTTTTAGTAGAGACAGGGTTTTGCCACGTTGGCCAAGCTGGTCTCGAACTCCCGACCTCAAGCGATCCGCCTGCCTTGGCCTCCCAAAGTGCTGGGATTACAGACATGAGCCACCGTGCCCGGCCTGCATCTACATTCTTGTGGGATGTATGATAGAAGTAAATTGTTGTGTCATTGGGCATTGATAGGGTTCGGCTGTGTCCCCACCCAAATCTCATCTTGAATTGTTAGTTCCCATAATCCCCATGTGTCTTGGGAGGGGCCAGGTGGGAGGTAATTTAATCATGGGGTCTGTTACCCTCATGCTGTTCTTGTGATAGTGAGTGAGTTCTTATGAGATTACCTCATGCTTTTATAAAGGGCTTTTCCCCCTTTGCTTGGCACTTCTCCTTGCTGCCACCATTTGAAGGAGGATGTGTTTGCTTCTCTTTTTGCCATGATTGTTAAGTTTTCGGAGGCCTCCCTAGCCATGCTTAACTGTGAGTCAGTTAGGCCTCTTTTCTTCATAAATTACCCAGTCTGGGGTTTGTCTTTATTAAAAGTGTGAGAATGGATTAATACAGGTGTGCTTATATTACTGGATTACTAGATCCAATTCTTTTCCATTGGTAAGTTTGTCTGCCCCTGCAGTACAGATTTATAATGAATCTTGATATTGGGCAAAAGTAAGTCAGTCAGCATCTTGGTTTTATTAGGATTGCCTTGATATTCTCAAGTCTTTGCATGTCCACATGAATCCTTAAATTAGCTTTTTAAGTTCCACCAAAAAAATACTTTTTTTAAAAAAAGAGGAATTGTATTGATTTTAGAAGTTGATTTTGGGGAAAATGGATATGTTGACAACACCGAGTCTTCCTGTCCATTAATGTGATATATTCATCCATTTAATTGGGTCCTTTAAAATTTCTCCCAAAAATATTTTGCAATTTTTAGCTTACAATTTCTTCATATTTTCTTATGAGATATTTTCCTAGGCATTTTATATTTTGTTTTGTTTTGTTTTCCCCTCTTGAAACAGGGTCTTTCTCTGCCACCCAGGCTGAAGTACAGCAACGTGATCCTGGCTCACTGCAGCTTTGACGTGCTGGGCTCAAGCCATCCTCCCACCTCAGCCTCTCCAGTAGCTTGGGACGACAGGCATGTGGCACCGTGCTCAGCTACTGTTTAAATTTTTTGTACAGATAGGGTCGTGCTATGGTGCCCAGGCTGGTCTCAAACTCCTGGGCTCAAGGTATTTTCCCACCTCAGGCTGCCAAAAGCAGTGGGATTACAGGCATGAGCCACCACACCTGGCAATTTTTTGATAGTATTATAAATGATATGTTTAAAATTTATTTTTAATTTTTTGCTACTATATAAATATAGAATTAATTTTTAATACTGACCTAGCATCTTAAAATTTTCTTAACTTCACCTATTAATTGCAATATTCTTTTGAAAGAGTTTTTGTGTGTTGGCAGATTTTGTATACATAATTATATAACTTGCCAGCAGTGACAGTTTTATCTTTTCCTTTCTAATCAATTTGCCTTTTGTTTCTTTGCTTACCTTATTGTATTTTTAGGACTTTACCAACAACATTGAACAGAGTGGTCTAAAGTGAGTATCCTGGTCTTATTTCTAATCTCAGATGAAAGCTTTTCATGCTTCATTATTGAATATGATATTTCCTGTAGTGTTTTAAAAAATATATTCTTTGGTCTTAATTTGCTAAAAATATTTCTTAAAGTCATGACAGGTTTTAAATTTTGTTAATATTTTCTGCATTTATCTGGATGATCCTATCTATGACTATTTTCTTTATTCTGTTAATGTGGTAAATTCAATAGGTTAATTTTTGAATTTTCATACATTACACTCTGGAATACCCAACGTGATAATGATCTATTATCTTTACATACATATACATAGATAGATAGATATCTCCATATATATATCTGTATATATATATAGATATATGTAGATCTCCATATATATAATAGAATTTGATTTGCTAATCTTTTGTTAAGGATTTTTGCATCTATGATTATGTGAGAGATTAGGTAATAATTTTTCTTTCTTGGAGTGTTCTTTGAAAAGTTTTAAAATCAAGTCTATGTTAGCCTAAAAATAAAGACAGAATATTCACTCTTTCAATTATTCTGGATGAATTTGTACAAATTAGTATAATTTATTCCTTAAATATTCAGAAGATTTCCCCAAGAAAGCCATCTGGGTTTTTGTTGTGGGAAGGTTTTAATAAGTGTTTCAAATTTATTATTAGATGCCAGACTATTCAGATATTAAATTCTGTCAGGTTTTGTAATTTGTATTTCTCAAGGAATTTGCACATTTCATTCAAATTTTCAAATGTATTAGCTAATTAACTGAATAACAGTACCATAATTAAGCTAATTAACACATTCATCATCTCACAAAATTATCATTTTCTCCTTCTCTTTCACTCCTCCTCCTTCTCCTCCTTTGTAGTAAGAACACTTAAGATGTACTTATTTTCTTAGCACATATCAAGTATACAATACAGTATTGTTAAGCATAGTCACCATGCTCTACATTAGATCTCCAGAACTTATTCATGTTGCGTAACTTAAAATTTGCACCTCATTGACCAACATCTCCCTCTTTCCCTTATCCCTCAGACCCTGGCAATTCAGCATTCTACTCTCTGCTTCTACTCATTTGACTATCTCAGATCCCACATATGAATCAGATCATGCAGTATTTATTTTTTTTTGCACCTGGCTTATTTCACTTAGCATAATGCCCTTCAGGCTCATCCATGTTGTCACATCTGACATGGTTCTTTTTTTTTTTTTTTAAGCTCAATAATATGTCACTATACACACAGACAGACAGATAGATAGATAGGTAGATAGACAGATAGATGATAGACAGATAGGGCAGATTTTCTTTACTCATATCCATTCGTACTTTGATGGACATTTAGGTTGTTCCCATATCTTCACTATTGTGAAACATGCTGCAGGTAACAATGGAAGTGTGGTTATCTCTTCAAAGACACCGATTTCAGTTCCTTTGGATATAGAAGAGGGATTGCTGGAGTTTTTATGGAACCTCTGTACTGTCTTCCATGATGGCTGTGCCAATTTACACTCCAACCAACAATGTATATGGGTTCCCTTTTCTCCACATCCTTGCCAACACATGTTATCTTTTTGTCTTTTTGATAGTAGCTATCCTAACAGATGTGAGGCAATGACTCATAATGGCTTTGATTTGCATTTCCCTGATGATTAGTGATGCTGACAACCTGTTAATGTACCTGTTGGCAATTTGTATGCCTTTTTTGGATAAATGTATATCCAGGTACTTTGCACATTTTATAATTGGGTTTTATTTGGGATTTACCTGTTTTCCTATTGAGTTGTTTGAGCTTTTTATATGTTTTGGGTTTTTTGTTTTTGTTTTTGCTTTTTTTGAGACAGAGTATCACTTTGTAGCCCACACTTAAGTGCAGTGGTCCAATTTCACTCATCTGCATGTGGATGTCCAGTTTTCTCAGCACTGTTTATTGAAGAGACTATCTTTTCCCTACTGTGTGTTTTTGGTACCCTAGTCAAAGATCAGTTGCCTATAATGTACAGATTTATTTCTGGACCCTCTATTCTGTTTCATTGATCTATATGTCTGATTTTATGCCACCATCATACTTTTTTGATTACTGTAGATTTGTAGTATATTTTGAAATCAGGGCATGTTATACCTTTAGCTTTGTTCTTCTTGCTCAAGATTGATAACTATTTGGAGTCTTTTGTGTTCCACGTGAATTTTAGGACTGTTTTTTCTATTCCTGAAAAGAATATCATTGGGATTTTAATAGCTATTACATAGAATTTGTAGGTCATTTGTAGATCATTTGTAGATCATTTGTAGATCATTTAATAGCTATTACATAGAATTTGTAGATATGTAGAAAATATCATATATTTTCATTATGTTAATTATTCCAATTCATAAAGATGGGCTATCTTTCCATTTATCTGTCTTCTTTGTTTCATCAATTTTAAAATAGTTTATCAGTATATAAAAGTATTTAATTTCACTGGTTAAGTTTACTCCCAAGTATTTAATTATTTTTGTTGTTATTGTAAATGAAATTTTCTTAATTTCTTTTTCAGATAGTTTCTTGTAAGTGCATAAAAATTCTACTGATTTTTGAATGCTGATTTTCTATACTGCAACTTTATTAAATTCATTTATTACCTCTAACAGTTTTTTGTATAGCATTTAAGGTTTTCTACGTATATGATCCTATCCTTTGCAAACAGAGATAATTTTAATTCTTCCTTTCCAATTTAAATGTTTTTATTTCTTTTTCTTGTCTAACTGCTCTGGCTGAAACTTATAGTACTATGTTGAATGTAAGTGGTGGGAGAAGGCTTCTTTAGTGGATAGTAAAGAAAAAGGTTTCAGTTTTTCTCCATTGATTATGATATTAGTTGTAGCATTTTTATATATGGCCTTTATTGTGCTGAGGTAAGTTCCTTATATACCTATTTTGTTGAAAGTATTTTTTTTTATCATGAATGGTATTGAATTTTGTCAAACACTTTTTCTGTATTTTTGGGATCATTATATGGTTCTTATCTTTCATTCTGTTACTATGGCGCATCACATTGATTGATTTTAGTATGTTGCATTCTAGAGAAAAATCCCACTTATTCATGGTGTATGATACTTTTAATATGCCGTCGAATTCAGTTTGCTAGTATTTTATTGAAGTTTCTTCATCTGCATTCATCAGGAATATTGGCCCATCATTTTCTCTTTTTGTAGTGTGTTTATCTGGATTTGGTATTACAAATGGCCTCATAAAATGAGTTTTGAAGTATTCCCTCTTCTGTTTTTTAAGAAGAGTTTTAAAAGAATTGGTATTATTATTTGAATGTTTGGCAGAATTCACCTGTGAAGGCATCTGGTCCTGGGCTGTTCCTTGTTGAGAGGTTTTGGTTTACTGATTCGACATCCTTACTCACTGTTGGTCTGTTCGGGCTTTCTGTTTATTTTAGATTCAGTCATGGTGGGTTGTCTGTTTCTAGGAATTTATTATTTTTTTGGTTATCTAATTTGTTGGTGTATAATTGTTCATAATCATCTCTTAAGAGCTTTTGTATTTCTGAGTCATCGATTGTCATGTCTCATCTTTCATTTCTGATTTTACTTAAGTCTCCTCTTTTTTTCTTAGTTAAGCTAAGGGTTTGTCAATATGGGTTATCTTTATCTTTTGTTTATCTATTTGTTAATATTTCTTTTGTTTCTGTTTTTATTTATTATTATTATTATTTGAGACACAGTCTCACTCTGTTGCCCAGGCTGGAGTGCAGTAGTGCAATCATGGCTCACTGCAGCCTTGAGCTCCTGAGCTGAAGTAATCCTCCCACTTTAGCCTCCCAAGTAGCTGAGAGTACAGGTGCACACCACAGTGCCTAGCTCATTAAAAAAATATTTTTTGTGTGGAGACAGGAGTTTTACTATGTTGCCCAGGCTGGCCTCGAACTCCTGGGCTCAAGTGATCCTCCTGCTTTGGCCTCCCAAGGCTCTGATTGCAGGCATGAGACACCATGCCTAGCATATATTGTCCATATTCTCTATTTCATTTATTTCTGCTATAATTTGTATTTTCTTCCTTCTGTTAATATTATACTTTAATCTTTTTTATAGTTCCTTATTTATTGGAGATATATTTTCTTTTCTAATGTAGACAATTATCAATGTAAACTTCTCTCAGTATTGTTTTTGCTGTGTCTTATAAAGTTGTGTGTGTTGTGTTTCCATTTTCATTAGTCTCAAGATATTTTTTTAAATTGCTGTTGACTTCCTCTTTGACACAATGGTTGTTCAAGAGTGGATTGTTTAGTTTTTATTATTTATGAATTTTCTCATTTTCTCTTTGCTTCTTATTTCTAATTGCATTTGATTGTGTTCAGAAAAGATACATGCTATGATTTCAATCTTCTTAAATTTGTTGACTTGTTTTGTGACCTAACCGATGATCTGTCCTAGAGAATGCCCTGTGAACACTTGAAAAATATGTATATATATTCTGCTGTTGGGTAGAAAATTCTGAATATGTTTCTTAGGTCTATTTGATCTGCAGTGTTGCTTAAGTCAGCTGTTTATTGATTTTCTATCTGTTATTAATGTGACATCCACTTTAATTCCTAGTATCGATAATTGTGTTTTCTCCCATTTTTCTTGATTAGGTAGTTTTAGAGGCTTATCAATTGTAACATTTATTTTAAATAATTTAATTTTGTCTTTTTTGGTTTTTCTGTATTTTGCACTTGTTTTCTATGCCATTGATTTCTCCCAGTATGTTTGTCATGCTTTTCTTCATAGTTTTCTTTAGTTTGATTTGATCTTCCTTTGGTCTAGATTCTTAAACAGAAACTTCAAATCATTCAACTTTGAACCTATTTCACTTTATTTTCTCATCTTTTTCTTTAAACATTTATTTTTATCTTACTTTTTTTCATCTTACCTTCAGCTCCAGCTGAAAGGATTATTTTTTAATATACACATTTTAAAGCTGTACATTTTTCTCTCACCATTGCTTTTGCTACAACTTGCAAGTTTGGATATTTTGTATCTTCTATGTCATTCATTTCAAAATATTTTCTAATTTATATTTTGAGTTCTTATTTTGCCATTGAAGTTTTTCAAAAATAATGTGCGTTCATTAATTTTCACAAAGTGGAGTTTTAGGGGTTATATTTTTGTGGCCAAAGAATGCACTGTGAAGGATAACGATCTTTTGAATTATGTTGAGGCTTTTTTTTTATTTTGTACAGCCCAGCTCTAATGGTAAGGGTTTTATGTATACTTGAAAATAGTATCATTATTGGGTTTATTTCTGGGTTGTCTATTCTGTTCCATTGGTCTATGTGCCTATTTTTATACCAATGCCACACATTTTGGTGACTATGGCCTTATAGTATAGTTTGAAATCTGGTACTGTGATATCTCCAGATTTGTTCTTTTTGCTTAGTTTTGCTTTGGCTATGCAGGCTCTGTTTTGGTTCCATATGAATTTTCAAATTGTTTTTTCTAACTCTGTGAGGAATGATGGTGGTATTTTGATGGGGATTGCATTGAATTTGTAGATTGGTTTTGGCAGTATGGTCATTTTCACAATATTGATTCTACCCATCCATGAGCATGGGATGTGTTTCCGTGTGTTTCTGTTGTCTATGGGTGCAGAGTTCTAAATATGACAGTTTAGTTTGTTTGCCTATTAGGCTATTCAGACATTCTGTATGGACTTTCATTTTCTTTATCTGCTTTTCCTATCAGTTAGTGAGAGACATGTGCTAAAGTTCGCACAATAGTTAAGGATTTGTACATTTCTCCTTCTATAGTAGTTTTGTTAATTTTTGTTTTATGAAGTTTGTAGCTGTACCACAGGATTTATACAAATTAGGATTATGATGTTCTCTGTTTGACATTTTTTGCTTTAGAAACTGTACCTATTCATTTATTTTAAGAACCTTATTGAAATTTAGTTCGTATACCACACAATTCATCCATTTAAAATATGCAATTCAATATCTTTGATTATTGACAGAGTTGTGTAACTATCACCACAAATGCTTAGAATATTTTCAGCAATCCCCAAAGACATCTTGTATCCAATAGCTATCACTCCCCGCTACCTCACATTAACCTTCATAGACTGAGGCAACCATTAATATACTTTTTGTCTTTATAGATTTGCCTATACTGAGGATTTTATATAAATAGGATCATATAATATGCTGTCTTTTGTAACTTGTTTTTTTCATTTTGCAAAATGTTTTCAGAGTCTATGTGTGTTTTAGCATGTACTTGATTCCTTTTTATTGCTAAATAGCATTCCATTTAATGTGTATACAACATATTGCATATTGTTTCCCTATTGTGGACATTTGGCTTGTTTTCACTTTTTGGCTATCATGAATAATGCAGCTTTTAACCTTCTTGTACAAGTTTTTGAGTGAACATACATTTTCGCTTCTCATGACCCCATACTTATGAACTCCTGGGTCATATGGTCACTCTATGTTTAATCTTTTGAGCAACTGCCAGAATATTCTGTGGTTCTTTCTTGTTAATAATATTTGCTTATTTAAAATTAGCTTTTTCTGACATTGGAAACTTTCTTTTGGTTAGTGCTTACATGATACTATGGTATATATTTTTTCAAAGATTTGTCTGTCTTATATTTAAACTGTTTACTTTTAAACACTACACAGTTATGGTTTCTTTTTCTCTGACAATTTCATTTAGTCTTCTATTTGGAGTTTTTAAGATTTAATGTAGTTACTGATAAAACTAGGTTTATATCTATCTTCTTACTAGTAATTTTCTATGGGCCCATTTGTTTTTTATGTTTCTTTTATTTTAAAAATAGTTTCCTGCTTTCTCTTTCATTATCAAATATTTTTATTATTATACATTTTTCATAAATTTGTTAGTTATATGTTCTCTTATTAGTTTTCTAGAGCTTACAACATGTATTTCTTACTTATTACAGCCCAACAGAAGTGATTGCTTTTCTCGTGTTACTAATACTATTAAACCCTTAGAATCTTAAAATTCCATTTAATATCTCCTATGTGTTATTAATATGTTTTAGTTCTACATATAATTTTAACTCCCCAAAGCATTACAATTATTGTTTTATAAAAATAATATTCACTTATATTTATAATTCCAAATAGTCTTCATTTCTTTTTACATTTTAACTTTTTTCTCTGGAATCTGATGGGACCTTCTGCTTGAAGAATTTTCTTTGTTCTTTTTCTGTTGGGGCAGGTTTTCTGGCCACAAATATTTTAGTCTTTGTCTGAAAACTTCTTAATTTTACCCTCATTTTCAAAGACTATTTTTACTGGTTATAACATTCTAGCTGGACTATATTTGATCAAATTTTAAAAATGTCTGATAAAAGTTTATTGCCTTCGGGTTTACATTACTTCTTTTGAGAAATCAGCTGTCACTCTTATTGTTCTTTTGAATGCAGTATGTGATTTTATCTCTCCTCTCATTGCTTTCCAGATTTTCTCTTTGCCAGTGGTTTTCAGGAAATTTACCTTAATTTACATAGATAGGTGTGTGTGTGTGTGTGTGTGTGCGTGCGTGCATGTGTGTGTGTGTGTATTCTGCTTGGGGTTAATTGACCCTCTTGAATTTTGAGGTTGATATCTTTCATCCATTTTGAGAAAATTGTCAACACTGTGGTCTTTGAAGATGGCTCTGTCTCATTCCCTCTACATCCTTTCTAGAATTACAAGCCTATATATATTAGCCTCTTTGAATATATCTCTCTAGTGTCTTGTGCTCATTTCTGTCTTTTTTTCTAATCTTTTAAAATCTCTGTTTCAATATGTGTGTTTTTATTGACCTGTTCACTAACTGCTGATTATTTCATTAATCCTATGATGTTCTGCTTCTAAACCCATGCATTGAATCTCAAATATTGTATTTTTAGTTTCAGACTATTCTTTTGACTCTGCTTTACAGATTCCATTCTCTGTTGAAATTATCCAGTTTTCATTCATTTTGTCCTCTATTTTTTTCAAAATATTAATTATTGCTACTTTAAGATGCCTGACTTCTCATTTCAATATCTAGATCATCTGTGGGTTTCCCAGTTATCATTATTTGTTGTATTTTCTTGTCTCTTTACCTGCTTAGTGATTTTTTTTGAGACAGGGTCTCATTCTGTCACCCAGGCTGGAGTGCAGTGGCACGATCACAGCTTGCTGCAGCCTCAACCTCCTAGTCTCAAGCTATCCTCCCACCTCAGTCTCCTGAGTAGCTGGGACTATAGGAGTGCACCACTACCTCAATTAATTTTTGTATTTTTGGTAGAGATGGAGTTTTGCCATGTTGCCCAGGCTCTGTATAGTAATTTATAAATATATGCTAGCTATTGTGTGTAGTGAAATTATAGACACTCCAAATGGTCTTATATTTCATTCTCCCATTTCTCTTAGAAAGACAGTGTGAGAAGCTAAACATCTCAGTCCAGTCAGAAATAGATCTGAGTCAGGACTGGTTTGTAGTTTTAATCAGATCAAGCTACCCATGCTTTACCTCTTTACTTAATGTATGGCCATCCTAAGCTTTCTTTAAGAGTCTTCAGCAATTCATATTTTAGCTCTGGAAGATTTCAGAGATCAAGTTTTTTTCTCCATAGTTTCCAGCCCAGCTTCCCAACCTCCACTTCCATATAGCTTCAAAATTTGACAAATATTTGTAGGGAAAGATTGGCAGTTTGAAGCAGGCCTCCTACTTGCAAATTTCTTTATTCTAAGCACCATGAACCTGCAGGAAATTTTACTCTGCCTTGTAGAAACTTTCAGCCTACTGTCCTAGTCATCTACTCAGCACTGGAATTTAGCAAGTTTCTCATAGGGAAAACTGGCTATGCATTTGCACTCTCCGAAATTTCTAAACTGTTAGTCCACCACCACAGAATCTCTACAAAGCTTACTGATGTCCTCATTCTCCCCAAAAGAGTTTCTCAGTGAACACTATCCTTATCTTATTCACAGGATTGGCAAATGCTCCTAGATGAACAAAAAGGTTGGATATAATCAGGTCACCTAGGAAATATTCTCCTCTCGAGCTGTAGATCATCTAATTCTCCTTGCTTCCATAGCTCTTTGATGCCTAAAATATATTTTGGGGTTTTTTTTGTTTGGTAATATGTCTGACTTCTGGTTATTGCAGCAGAAACATTGGCTTGTATACAGAAGTCTAGGCTGCATTAATATTTTAAACAGGTGGTAGTCTTTCAGCTGTCTGGGGTCAGGGTTTTAGAAGGCTCAGAAGTACCCTTTTTGTCTTTTTCATGTTTATGAATGTTACCCATTCATTGATTGATTGATTCAGAAATTAGTGACTGCTGGCTGTAGGTGCATGTTAGTCATAGTGTTTTTATAAATTTCCAAACTGGGGGCTGGAATAAGCATTGCCTTTGTTCTTGTTTAAAATACAGATTAAAGGGAGTCAATTCTGGAGTTTCTTCTGAATGATTGGGTTGGAACCTGGGGATCTGTAATTTTAATACACTTCCCAGGCAATTCTGATGCAGTCCATTTACACAAAGGCATTTGGAAACCACTGAAGTAGGCCTGAAGTGATTAAAAAGTAATGTTCCGAGTCACTATCTTTGTGATGGAATACAGGAAATTTTATGGACTGTAAATCGGAGAGAAGATCAATTTTCAGTTCCCATTGCCAGTAGGTATACAGATATAGATCTCTGAAAGAAAGTTTAAAACCACTTCCCGACATCATCACAGTACATAAAAGAAAGTAAAGGTAATATAAAGAACATAAAGGCCAGAAATAAGAATTCTGATCCTACAGGTAGAGCACTATCTCTCACCTGAGCTGTAGTAAGTTCTCCTGGAGGCTGAAAGCCATGCCTAGGAGTAACTAGAAAATATGAATAACTTTGTGTGATTACTAATTAAGTTTCTGAAATAAAAAGCAAACACTTCTGAGAAGACCAGATTTTGTCAAAGAAGAGCAATGTGCCTCACACAGAAGAAGGGCCACTCTAGACCCACACTGCTCCTGTGGCCACCCTATACCATTATAACCAGAGTTTCAGTGAAGAGGAAATAGAATATGATGCAAAGACCATAACTACTCTTTGTAAGTAATTATATATTTAGAAATCAATTTATAAGAGACCTCATTTCAAAATACAGGTCTGGTTATTTGCAATAAGTCAATTTATTGTCTTCACAGTTTCAAATTCTAGAAAAATCCTTGCTTGGTGGTGCTCTCTACCTATTGAATCAAGAGTCTGACACCCAGAAATGGCCAAAGAGGTCAATCGAAGTGATGTTTACCACATTCTCTCTAAATGAAACTTACTCTGCATGTGCCACTCATGAGGTGACACACTGAAGATGCCATCACCATCCAGAGGTCATAGGATGAGAACAAACATACTGGATGCACTGTGACAATGTGAGGCTGTGTTGAGAATATTCTACATCTTCTAAATATGGGAGTAATGTAAGTGACTCTGCCTCTCTGGGGAAGGAGGAGTGAGAAGATTCTTCCCGTATTTTTCTTCGTGAGAAGGGGAGTAGACATCGCCTCCTACTGCAAGTGCCATTCTTCTCCTTTTACAATGCCCAATACCGTGGCATTGTCCTAAGTAACACAGGGACTGTCACAAGCTCACTGTCTCCAGTATTGTCCTTACTTAAAGTGCCCATGGTCTCTCGTTCTCTCTCTTATTTTCCATTGTCTTTTCGCTCTCTTCTACACAATACCAACAGAAATACTTGGTCTATATTTTAGGTAGTACGTTCCACCCTTCACAAATAGGGGGTTATACTATACCTGTGAAGATCTTCATCCAAGACTTTACAGGATGCTGTAGAGGAAGACATTGAGAGGAAATCAGGTCATAATAAATATCCCCAGCTCATATGTTAAAGCAGCAGATTACCTGGGAATCAGCCCTACTAGAAAGCTGCTGTTTTGGCTACCCATCTATTCTATCTAGCTGCAACACATGGATTAAGAAGACACTTTTCAAGGAGGTTTTTTTATTGCTGCCAAACAAAAATATTCAGTTTGGAGTTACATGTTCTTGCAACTCATTTATACCATTGATAAATCAATCTCATTGATGATGCTCTGGTGCCTCCTGCTTCATATAGCTAGGAATCTCTAAATTTAACATCACAAACTCAAATATCTACAGGCATCAAGTAAACCATGTAAATGAGCAAAGCAGAAAGGTGGCAGTTATGAGTAAGAATGGGAAGTGTGGCAAACAGAAAGTAGCCACCCCACTTGAAGAGGCAGCAGCTACATCGTTTCATGGTTTGCCATGATTTTGCATGGTAAATCAGCTGTCTTCTATTTAAAAAAAAGAAAAAGAAAAGAAAATAAAACAGAGAAACTCAGACTTTTATGTTAGATACTCAGAATATGAAATATTTAAACCCAAATTAAAAAAGAAAAACCCCCACCACACTAATATAAGACAAATAAAAACAAAATAAAACACAACCCCAAGCTAAGATATCCAGCCTGAATTCAGCCTATACCTGCACATTTACAGCTGCTCTTCTGTATTAATTCATTTGATTCTTGACCCACCTGGACGTCTTTTTACCAGATAGGGCCTGAGTACGTTCCCTGCCAGTAAGTCTTCTCTGCCTGACACCCGTGTTATAGCCCCTGCTCCAAAAGTGTGAATTTGCAGAGCCAAGTTCCCCTTCTTGTTCATTCTCAGAGTTCCAGAATCAGAAAAAAATGTTTTTCAAATTAGAGTTTGACTCTTAAGGAAAACTGTCATTTTCATAATGTGAGCCATGGAATGTCAATTTCAAATTTGTTCGATTTTCAGATTTTCATATTGGACCCGGCACAGAGTAGAAAGTTTTTAGATTAGCTTTGAGAGTGTGAGCAAATCCTTGATGAAGAGTCTGACAGAAGCATCTTCTAATCTTGTCTCTGACACTTCTTAGCAGCAAGAACTTGTTAAAGTCCCTCAGATTCATTTCGTTTTCATTTTCTCATATGCAAAATGGAGATACTAATAGAAGATTGTTATATGGATTAAATAGGACAGAATATAAGATAGTACCAAGAAAATCACTAAGTGCTGTTGAAACACAGGACATGATTATGATTGATGCTTTTAATATTTAAATCTAAGCTTGTCTTAGAATTTCTTTTGTTTTATTGACATTCCCGTTTTCCTTTTTTATCTCATAAAATGGAATTAAGAAAAGGTCATGTATAAAAATGAAAAAGCTAATTTGCAAAACAGGGTCAGATTTTAATTAAATATATTGACCTGATGCAATAGTTTCTTCAAAATTTCATTTGTAAAATACTTACTGAGTGTGTACTATGGACCAGACATTGTTTTAAGTACTGGGTATATAGGGATGAAAAATCTAGGCAAAGAGCCTACCTCATGGGACTTATATTTTTAATTAGGAAGACAGATCATAAATATGTAAACAAATAGATACACAATTCAATGTAGTTTACGTGTTTTAAGGTATAATAAAGCAGAATATGAAAATAGAAAGTGACAATAGAGAGAGAGGAGCTCTTTTGAGTAGCACAATTAGAGAAAGCCTCTCAGAGCTAGTGATGTTTGAACAGACATATGACTGGACTGCAGGAATTCACCATGCAGGTCCTTCGAAGAGAAGTGTTTCAGGCAGAGGAAGGAACAAGTACAAATTATCAAAAGCAAGAATAAGTTTGGTATAGCTAATGAATAGGAAAATAACCCCACTGTTGCTAGAACAAAGTGAGAGGAGAGGATAAAGAGTTAGGGGATAAGATATTCTCATTCTTATAGCTGGGAAGGGCTGGATCATGTAGAGTCCTACGATCACAGTACGGATCGCGGTCAAACTTTGTTCTGAATATCACTCAAGTTTGAGCTGGAGCAACATTACTTCAGCTGCTAAGCATAAGGGAATTGGTTTTAGGGGGACAAAAGTGAAAGAAGGGAGAGCAGTCTAGGAGATACATAATACCAGTCATAACCAGAGTAGTAGTGGTGTAGGCAGGGTGAAGCAATCAGATTAAGGATATACTGCATTGTGAAGGTGGCACCAATAGGACTTGCTGATGGGGTATATGTAGGAGTGAAGGAAAAGGAGGTATCACAGGTGATTTATCAATGTGGGGTCTGAGTTACCAGGTTAATGCTACTGCCATTTAGTATGATTTAGGGAGAGACTATGGAAAAAGCAGATATAATAGACATGGAGAGTGAAATGAGAAAATGCATTTTAGATGTATAGCATAGCAAGTTTGAGATTTCTGGCTGGGCATGGTGGCTCATGGCTGTAATCCCAGCACTTTGAGAGGCCGAGGCAGGCAGATGACTTGAGGTCACGAGTTCGAGACCAGCCTGGCCAACATGGTGAAACCCTGTCTCCACTAAAAACACACACACACACACACACACAAAATTAGCCAGGCGTGGTGGTGCGTGCCTGTAATCCCAGCTACTAAGGAAGCTGAGGCAAGAGAATCACTTGAACTCGGGAGGCAGGGGTTGCAGTAAGCCGAGATCACACCACTGCACTCCAGCCTGGTCAACAGAGCAAGACTCCATCTCAAAAAATAAATAAATAAAAAGATTCCTGGTAGACATCAAGAAAATATATCAGGTTGGAAGCTGAATGCTTGCATCTGGAGTAAGGCCAGGGAAAAAGCCAAAGATCCTTGGACACTGCAGTTTGACTGGTCAGGAAGAGGAGGAGGAGCCAGCAAAGGAGACGGGAAAGGAGCAGCCAGGGTTGTAGGAGAAAAATCAGAAATGCAGGCTTAGAAGCAAAAAAAAAAAAAAAAAAAAAAAAAAAAAAGGAAGAAAAAGAAGAAATCGAATGTGTCAAATGCTTCTTATCAATGAAGTAAGATAATGCCTGAGAATTAACCATTGCATTGGCAGAAGGGAAGGTGTTAGAAACCTTTGAAGAGGAGTTTTAATTAAGTGCTAGCGTGAAATCCTGATTGACATAGGACAAAGAGAGAATGTATGGGGAGAAAATGCCTGCAGCAACTACCTACAACTCACTGGGGAGACTTATTTTTTCTATAAAGACGAGCAGAGAAATAGGCAGTACCTGAAAGTGCTAGTAGGGCTTATGGCAGTTTTATCAGTATGGATGCAGAGAGTGTGTAAAGGAGATAAAAAAGCAGACTAAATCAAAGATGCAATGAAACTGATGACCAAGAGTTATAGATTAGGCTGAGTGCAGTGGCTCGTGCCTGTAATCCCAGCACTTTGGGAGGCTGAGATAGGCAGATCACCTGAGGTCAGGAGTTTGAGACCAGCCTGGGCAACATGGTGAAATCCCATCTCTACTAAAACTACAAAAATTAGCCAGGCATGGTGGAGTGTGCCTATAATCCCAGGTACTCGAGAGGCTGAGGCAGAAGAATCACTTGAACCTGGGAGTCGGAGTTTGCGGTGAGCAGGTAAGCAGAGATCGAGTCACTGCACTCCACCTGGGTAACAAAGCAAGACTCCATTTCAAAAAAAAAAAAAGAATTATAGATTAAATTTCAGAACATGTGGTCCACAGTTTCATGCAACTATGTTTATAAGCAAAATGGGTCGATTTCATTTTAAACCTAATTAGAACATTTGAGAGCTTTCATGTTAATTTTGTCATTGCACCTCAAGCTGCAAAAGTTGTGGTCACAGTGCATGATAAGTGCTTAGTTAAGATACAGAAGGCATTAAATTTGAGAATGGAAGATGTGAACAGAAAGGTGTTTGATTTGATAGCAATCGGGTTTGGTACTATCCTAAGTTTCAGGCATCCACTGAGGGTCTTGGAATGGATAACCCATGGACAAGAGGGATTACAGTACACAGATTAATCTGTAAGTGTTAAAGCAAGCTTGCGTTCCTGAGATAAATCCCATCTGGACATAATATATTATGTATTGTTGGGGTTTGATTGGCTAAAATTTTATTAAGTATTTTTGCACTTATGTTTATGAGGAGTTTGGTAAGCAGTTTTTGTTTTATTTCTTGAAAGATTTTTTTCTGGATTTGGTATCAGAGAGGGATGGCTTTATGACTTACATAGAAATTACTTTTTTCTTTTCAATTTTTGTCTGGAAGATTTTATATAGAGTTGGTATTATTTATTTCTTAAATGGGGTAATTTTCCGGTGAAGCCATCTGCGTCTGGAGTTTTCTCTGTGAGCAGATTTTTAAAATATAAATTCAAATTTTAAAACAGTTATAGAGCTATTCAAGTTATCTATTTCCTCTTGAGTTAGCTTTGTTAGTTTGTGTTTTCCTCAACATTTGCTATTTCATCTAAGGTGTCAAATTTATTGGGCATTTTTTATAATATTCCCTTAGTATCTTCTTAATACTTGAAGAATTTGTAGTAACATCACATTTCTCATTCCTGATATTTACAACTTATAACTTTTCTTTTTTTCTTGATCACTCTGGGTAGAGATTTTTCAGTTTTACTGATTTTTCCCAAATAGCCAACTTATAGTTTCATTGATTTTCTGTAATGTTTTGCTTTCTGTTATTTTGCTTTTGCTCATACCTTTATTATTTCTTTCTGCTTACTTTAGGTTGAATTTAATATATTTTTTTCTTTACTATGGAAGCTAAGGTTGTTAGGTTGAGCTTTTCTTTTCTTCTAATGTAGTTCTGAAGCTACAAATTTCCCTCTTGGTACTGTTTTATACGCATCCAGCAGACTTTGGTATATTGTGCTTTCCTTTTCACTCAGGGAAAAATGTTTCCTAATTCCCCTATTGATTGCTTTTTTGACTGACAGACTATCCATTTTTCTAAATACATGGGCATCTCCCAGATACTGTTCTGCTATTTATTTCTAATTTAATTCCAGTTCGTTAGCTCCATTTTCTAGGCGAGTATTCTGAGGGTCAGAGAATGTGCTCTATGTCTCTCTTGTGTCCCTGCAGATCTGTTATCAACTCTCCACTTTAATTTGTGCCTTGAAAGGCTGCCAGTGGAGACTGCAGCAATGGACTCAGTTTTGCCTTTCCACTTGATTTTGCTTTCCTTTTGGATTTTCAATGTGGAGCACCACCAGGAAACTGGAGGGAAGGAGGCTTATGTGGCCAGGGCACCGATGTCTCTAGGATCCTCCTTACAGGACACTACTCCTAGATGCTTACCTTGTACAAAGATCAGCCAGTACACTCTACATAGTTTTCTCTGCTTCTGACTTATGATAATTGCTCTCTCTTCTTGCCTTTTATAACTAGTCAGGGAATCAACCCTATGATTACTAGCCTCTGACTACTGCACTATCTCTTAGGAATTGTAAATAATGGCTTAATTAAATTTCCTCCTGGTATTCCAGTTCGAGTATGCCATCTGCTTCCTCCCAGGACCCTGACTAATAAAGAAAGTATCATTAAGGGTTGTAGAGCTGTTCTCAAAAAGCTTTTAATCTAATAGAAGAAACATATATTCTACAAATGAATGTTAATTATTTTTAATGTGTCTGTAAATGCCAAGTGAATGAAACAGACAACAACTACAGGGATTCCAGCATGTGGAAAAGGATTCCAAATCATAAATCCAGTTCTAAGTTCCTGTCTGATTTTGAAATACTTTTTCATATTTCCTAAGCAGAGAAAGCTTTAATGTAAATTGTGAATTAGGTCATAGGAAGACCTCCTATATGAAGTAGAATTCAACCAAGCATTTGAAACATGGAGTATATTTGAATAGGCAGAGATGTAGCATGAAGTCATATGCTAACTGGGATTTTTTCTCTAAATATTTAATGTATATATCCTGCTTCCTCAAACCTGTGCCTTTTTGGAAGGCTTGTAATAGTGCTGTGTGGCTTACTCCCTCCATCAGAAGATGGGGAGGAAAGCCAGCCATTTGAACTATAGCTAGGGTAGGATGCTTTGGCTCTAGTTCTAGGGAATGGAATCAAAATTACCCTGGAAAGTAGGATGAAAACAAAGAGCATTACAATTTCAGTTAACACCCAGAGTCAAGTTAAGAGTCTGAGCGGTGTCATCAACCTCAAGTTCAAGAGGAAGATTTAAGTCTATAGACCGAAGACAAAATATTAAGAGCCCAGAAGATCAATAATAGATGAGGAAATGACACACAGGATGCATTGAATCAAAATATTTTAAGACACACGTGGTGAGAAAAGAAAAACTTTTGGGTACATATTATTGCAGAGCACCATGCAGGAATCCTTGAAGTGACACTTAGATAAATCTCAATAGAGTAGCTGAAAGAATGGTTAAGGGAATGGTTCCATAGACAACATGTAAACGTCTACCTAGAGAACATTTATGGGCTGAAGTGAATTAATGTGCACACACTCTTAGATATTGAGTCTACAAGAAGTTAAGTTTCAGGCATGATAGGAAAGACACATGTCAGTGATGGACAGTTACCTTGGAAATGTACTGAAATGTGTGGGCCCAAGCAAATGAGTCATGACTTTATTAACTACTGTGAAGTAAAAGCAGACCAGAATATATGAATATTGCGGATAAGCTAATTGTTTTGAAGTTTTAAAAACTTACTTGACTTTTTTTTTTAAGGATTCCTGACTGCCAGAATCAGCACTCAGCTTTTCCTTTTTGCCTCACGGAGTTCGACTTTGATCTCAAATTGCACATCCCACTCACCGATACAAAAACTTCAAGCCTGCTGGGCGCAGTGGCTCACACCTGTAATCCTAGCACTTTGAGAGGCCGAGGCAGGCTGATCACTTGAGGTCAGGAGTTCCAAACCAGCCTGGCCAACATGTTGAAACCCCATCTCTATTAAAAATATACAAAAAAAAAATAGCTGGGCATGGTGGTGGGTCCCTGTAATCCCAGCTACTTGGGAGGCTGAGGCAGAAGAATTGCTGGAACCTGGAAGGTGGAGATTTCAGTGGGCCGAGATTGTGTGCACTGCAATCCAATCTGGGTGACAGAGTGAGATTCCAACTCAAAAAAAAAAAAAAAAAAAAAAAAAAAAAAACGCTTTAAGTTGACTAGCCTCATTCTTTTTGAAACAGAAATGGGCACTAGCTGTTGTGATTCATGCATGTTCCTCAGGGACTGTAATCTACCTCTTATAGCGTTCAGCATCTCCCCAGAAAGAAAGACTTCTGGGAGCTTGTTATTAATGAAGACAAACCTGGGAGCTTTGAAGTACCACTTTAATAAATACTAATTGATTATACAAATGACAGTAAACTAACTTTCACCTACATACATTATGAGCAACTATTTTTTCCCAATTTCATTTTTATAATAATAATTTTTTTCACATTGATCTGCTATGCCACTTTTGTCACCTTTCACAATTCCATAGATGTGTTGGTCTGTGAGTTCTCTATTCTGTACCATTTGTCAATTTGTCTGTTCTTGCATTAATACACCCTGTCTTAATTACTATAGTTTCATCATGAAGCCTGATATATAGCAAAATTGGTCTCCTCCATTATTTGTCTTTAGATATGTCTTGTCTGTTGCTGACCCTTTATATATTCATAGAAATTTAAGAATCTGCCTCATTAGAAGTCCGATTATGAGGCCAGGTGTGGTGGCTCACACCTGTAATCCCAGCAGTTTGGGAGGCCAAGGTGAGCAGATCACCTAAGGTCAGGAGTTCAAGACCAACCTGGCCAAAATGGTGAAACCCCATGTCTACTAAAAATACAAAAATTAGCCGGGTATGGCGGCACCTGCCTGTAATCCTAGCCACTTGGAGGCTGAGGCATGTGAATCATTTAAACCCAGCAAGTGGAGGTTGCAGTGAGTCGAGATTGTACTCCAGCCTGGGCAACAGAGTAACAGAGTGAGACTCTGTTTCAAAAAAAAAAAAAAAAAAAAAAAGTCCAATTATGACTTTGGAATTGTGTTAAATCTTTAGATCAATCTGGGGTGAATTGACATCTCTATGATACATCCCTATCACAAACACAGCCCTCTCTTTAATTGTTTAGGTCTTCTTGACTGTATCTCAGTTAAATTTTTATAATTTTTTGCTCTCGGGTCTTTGCATCTTAGTTGGATTTATTTCTAAATAGTTTGGAGTTTTGCTTGCTATGTGAATTACATCTTTATTCACATATTTACATTTTCTTATGTGTTACTGATGTGTAGAAATACAATAGATGACCATGCATGGGGGCTCACGCCTGTATCCCAGCACTTTGAGAGGCTGCGGTGGGAGGATTGCTTGTGGCCAGGGCTTTGAGACCAGCCAGGGCAACATAGTGAGACTCAGTCTCTCACACACACACACACAAAATTAGCTGGGTGTGGTCGTGCGTGCCTATAGCCCCAGCTATTCAGGGGTCTGAGGTGGGAAAATTCCTTGAGCCCAGAAGGTCAAAGCTGTAGTGAGTCATAATTGAGCCACTGAATTCCATGTTGGGTGACAGAGTGAGACTCTGCTCAATTCTCCTATTATTTATAATTACATTTTATTAAATAACCTGTAATATTTTTATATAACAATTCTCTGTTGATTTTTTGGCATTCTCTATGTTAATAATTATATCATCTGCAAATAATGACAGTTTTATTTCTTCATTTCCAAGCCTTATTACTTAATTTCTTATCTTATTTCACTGGCTAAAAAATTGAAATCAATTTGACACCATGCAAAACAAACAACTTCACATGCATTGAGGATTCAAATATCAAAAGTAAAATTTTAGCGTTTTGGTAGATAATATAGATAATGTACAAGTAGGAAATTTTTTCTTAAGTAAGATATCAAAAGTGATAACCATAAAAGAAACAACAGATAAATCTGTGTATATTGAAATAAAAACCCCTGCTATTCAAAAGATAGCTGAAGAAAATGGGAAAATATACAAGCTATAAATAGGAAAGAGTGTATTTGCAGCACATAAATTGATACATTGATAAAGTATACTCGCTGTCTCTTTAAAGGATAAAGAACTTCTACAATATAATATTAAAATGAGAAAATTGTTATTTCACAGAAAATATTTATCACCAATAATCATATTTAGAAATTTTAAACAACATTAGCAATGAAGAAAATGAAAAATAATACTGTAATAATAAGTAATCTAGAGATGATTTAAATTACTGTAGCTGGGAGGATTGCATAGGTTATATGCAAATATGACACCATTTTGTGTAAGAGACTTGAGCATACATAGGTTTTGGTATTTGCAGGGGGATCGTAAAATTAATCAATCCCCCATGGATATCAGTGGACAAGAGTACTATATTGGAAAGTTGAACAGTTATGTATCTTACAACCCAGCAATTCAAATTTTTGGTTTACGCCTGAGAGAAATAATTGCACAGGATCACCAGAAGTCATGGACAATAACTTTCACATTACCACTGTTCATAATAGTGAAAACCTGGAAATAAATTTAAGAGAATGAATAATTAAATTATGATATATTCAAACAATGGACTTTTGTAGGACAGTGAGTTGAATCAACCTCATGTATTCACTACAATATGGATGAAAAGAAAAAAATCAAATCATAGCGACTTGAAATCAAATCAAACATATAGCAAAATAATATTTTCCAAAAATCAAAAGCAAGTAAAACTAAATAATATATGGTTTAAGCATACATATATACTTCTAAGACTGTTTAATATTTAAGGGAATAAATAACACAAAATTTGGGATTGTATTTATTTTAGGGTGGAAGGAAAATAGGGGAACAGTATGGGAGGAGCATATAAATAGATAAACATTATTGTCAGAGTTCCAATTATTTGGTTGCATGGTACATTTTTGAGTGTTTATTATATTATCAAAATTAATAAATCAAGTAAATTAACATCATATATGAATCATTAATGATAGGATATCATGGACTGAGGCTTATGTTTAATTCTGTAAACCTGAGGTTCTTTAAAAATCATATATAACAGCAACACATATGAGCTGGAATTAATCCCTACACAGGATCTCTCAGAAAGTAGAGTGGAAGGATGAAGAGAAAAGACAAGTACTTTAGTGAGAAATACCATGGAAATGCACTGATACCAGGAAAAATACACTTCTCAAGCAACGAGGGATGTGGCTTCCTTAGTCACTATTGGGGTTAGATTAGCCAACATGATCTATTTCCTATTCAAAGGCACAAAGAATTTGTTAATATGAACCTTAGATTTTATCTACTCCAATGATTCAAAATATTCTCTGATATTTCTTTCTTTCTTCATTTTTTTAAATTTTATTTTATTTTTTTTTTTGAGACAGAGTCTCGCTGTGTCGCCCATCCTGGAGTGCTGTGGTGCAATCTCAGCTCGCTGCAACCTCCGCCTCCCAGGCTCAAGTGATCCTCCTGCCTCGGCCTGCTAAGTAGCTGGAATTACAGGCCACCACACCCAGCTAATTTTTGTATTTTCAGTGGAGATGGGGTTTCACCATGTTGGCCAGGCTGGTCTCAAACTCCTGACCTCAGGTGACCCACCTACCTCGGCCTCCCAAAGTGCTGTGATTATAGGCATGAGCCACCATGCCCAGCCTCTAATATTTCTTTCTAGCTGTTTGAATTTTGTGACTGTTTCTTTTAACCTCTCTATTATAATACTCAGCTTCTCCCCTCCCCTACCCAGCCCTGGGGTTTTGGTCTTGTGGAGATACATAATTAACTGAGGAATGCAATAGTGTTGCCTCTGGATTCTCTAGTTAATGTTATCTATCAGTAAGACTGTACTCCACATTTTTTCCTGGTTAATGCCATCTTTCTCTCCCAGAACCCTAAAGCACTTGTCAAAGCCATAGGGGTAGGGACAGGAAGGGGAACAGGGTATAGCACAGAGGATCTAGGGGTGTCTGAGGTGAAAAAGGCATTAGAAAACATGTAGAAGATGAAATTAAAGCAGAGAGAGATAAAAATGAATGACTGAAAGCACTCAATTCATTAACTGAGTAATTCAAGTGACATTTGTCATGGCTGGTGGCAGAGCTGAACCAGAACCTGAGACAGGATAATAGGGTCTGGGAGGCAGGGAACCTAAGGCTGATTCACACTGACTGCCTAGAACTAAATCAAAAGGAAAACCCCAACTTCCCACACCTAAGTAACAAAAGGACCAGAGGCTACTTTCTTTGCAAAAAGACCCCTCCCTTTTTCTATGTGGCAGATGGAAAATTGAAAGTATCTCTGATTGGTTGCTTTCTGCAACCAAGCAGATGCTTGCATAGGGTGTAACCTTTGTAACTTCAGGCTCTGATTGGTTGCTTTACACAACCAATCAGACTGATTGTGGGCCACTACTTAATATACATAGGGTGTATACCAAGTAACCAATGGAAACCTCTAGAGGGTATTTAAACCCCAGAAAATGCTGTAAAGGGGCTCTTTAGCCCCTGTGCTCAGCCTGCTCCCACCTGTGGAATGTACTTTCGTTTTCAATGAATCTCTGCTTTTGTTGCTTCACGCTTTTTTTTTTTTTTTTTAGATGGAATTCACTCTTGTTGCCCAGGGTGGAGTGTGGTGGCACGATCTCACCTCACTGCAACCTCTGCCTCCTGTTTCAAGAAATTCTCCTGCTTCAGCCTCCCGAATAGCTGGAATTTCAGGCATGCGCCACTACACCTGGCCAATTTTGTATTTTCAGTAGAGATGGGGTTCCTCTATATTGGTCAGGGTGGTCTCGAACTCCTGACCTCAGATGATCGGCCTGCTCAGCCTCCCAAAGTGCTGGGATTACAGGCGTGAGCCACCGCACCCAACTTACTGCTTCTTTCTTTCCTTGCTTTGTGTGTTTTGTACAATTCTTTGTTCAAGACGCCAAGAAGCTGGACACCCTCCACCAGTAACAAACCCATTTCCCTTGGCGCTGAACTGAGGCACTTCCTGTTTCACCAGACCATTCTTTACCTACCCCTTGTGCCCAGAGAGGAAGCCAAATTTTTTTTTCCAGTTCCATTTGTATCTAGAAGTTTCTAATGTATACTCTGTTCATACCTGAGATTCCACTCCACAGGAGAGGTATCAGGTTACTTCTAAGTCTCTTAGGAAGTCTCTTCCTAAAAGAAAGTTATCCGCCGGGTGCGGTGGCTCACGCCTGTAATCCCAGCACTTTGGGAGGCCGAGGCCGGCGGATCACGAGGTCAGGAGATCAAGACCATCCCGGCTAACACGGTGAAACCCCGTTTTTACTAAAAATACAAAAAATTAGCCGGGCATAGTGGCGGGTGCCTGTAGTCCCAGCTACTCGGGAGGCTGAGGCAGGAGAATGGCGTGAACCCGGGAGGCGGAGCTTGCAGTGAGCCGAGATTAAGCCACTGCACTCCAGCCTGGGTGACAGAGCGAGACTCCATCTCAAAAAAAAAAAAAAAAAAAAAAAAAAGAAAGAAAGTTATCTCAGTTCTTGAGAGGCAACAGCTGCCATGCACAGGGTTGCAAGGAGTTCTCTGAGCTACCTGAACCGCTGCGGGTGGTGGAGGGAGGAGGCTATGGCAGGTGGCAGGTGGGGGTGGTAGACAATAAACAAAGACATTTGTGGAATTGTGTAGACAGAACGTGGGAGCTCTGTAGGGCCCCCAGTGCATCTATTTGTCTGCCTTTAGACTAAGACTCAAAGAATGAACTGATGACCTCGTATATTTCATTTTATTATATAGTCACTTGAACTTGTTTTCTATGAACTGTGTCTTCCTTGCAGCTTGCCTTTTAATTAAACTCTTAATATATCTATTTAAGACCTCCCCAGACTGATTAATCAAGTGCCACCAGGAAACTGAAATTCCATCATAAAACAGTTACTAATGTGTGAGGGGGGATTATTAAATTGCTGTTTTATTACAGAAATTGACAAAGATCAGTGATGAAGAGTGAGCATACTGGAGTCACGTGGCAGCACGCTCATCTAATTAATGAAGTGACAGTTTTATGCTGTGAAGTAGCAAAAGGACTTGACAAGACTCATGGCTTTTCTCATTGACTCTAAAAGCTGGAATGATGTTTCTTAACATTCGCACAAGGTTTGGCAGTAATATATTACCCTTGTCACACTTAAAGAAGGAGGGAGGGGCAGTTAAATTCTTCTTCCACTGTCGACAAATCCCAATAGGAAGACATTGCTGAGAGTACTCCCCTGGCCCCACCTTATCTAACTACCAACATCCACGCCTCCACCATACACTCTACAATCAGATATCTCTATTGTGAAGCTGCTTGCTTTGTTTTTTTTTTTGGTACATTTGTTGGGCAAAGATGAAGAAACCAACAGGGACTGACTTTAATTTTCCCAGGAAGAAAAAGAAATAAAAGCTTAAGGCATTGACACACAGTTTGTTAATGATTCTGAATTCATAAACCAATGGGACCTAAAACAGAAAACAGAGACTTATTCTGAATTAATCAGACATTTATAATATCGATGAATGTTTTCTGTGACAATGGTAAAACTGTCTTTATCAGAAGAAAAGACAGGCAACTTAATCCGTCTTTTTCAGTTGATTTTTCTTTTTTTTTTAGTATCTGTTGCCTGGCTACTTGTGTTGTTTGGCCAAATATTTGGGCCTCTGTGTGTTTTGATTCTGCTCAGATAGGCAAAGGGGATCAGATGGATTTGAGAACTGTGTCTCTGTTGAGTCTACAAGAGTCCTCAGGGGATCAGATGAAAAACAGTCTACTCATTTCTGGGATTACAAAGTTCCAGAAAAACAGGCTACATGGTACTAACAAAGGCAGTCTTGCTTCTGATATTTCAGCTGTTCAACTCTTTCATTATTTCCCCTCTAAATTTCCCCTATTAAATTAAAGAGGGAGAAAAGAACTGCTTTTCTCCTACTTAGTTGATACGGGTAGGTCCAGCCTCAGGTCTAAATCAGATCTAACCCAAAGTTATGTTTGTGGAGCTTGGTTCTGAAAACTCACTTTTTTTGAAGGTAAATGATTATAAATTTAAATTTCAACTCCCTGTAGGGCTGCTTGGCTGAGAAGGATTTCTGGGCTTGGCACAGCTCAGTAGTAATTATCAAGACTTGAACACAGTTTTTGTTTCAAGGGGAAAGACATTTGGCAGCAGCTCTTGCAGACTCTAAAAGGCCACAAGATTTTTTTTCCCCAGAGGTGCCAAAACCTCTAATTTACAGAAGTAAAATGTTAATGCTCCTCTCACCCATATCCTGGTCCCCACCAGCTTTGAGGAACAGGTATGGTTTTTTCTGCAACACTCTCATCACAGGAAACCACAGAGCTCACAACCCAGCAGGATTACTTTCAGTGCCAGTGTACCGTTTAGGACCATCCATGTGGGATGGCTTTCAAATCTCCACAGCCAAACGTGTTTCACTTGAAGGGATAAATCAGAGTTACTCAAGCAAATGATACCTAAGCTTTTTTTTACAATCCACTCAAAAGATGCATTTCTTTTTCTCTTTGAGGCAAGGGGCAACCAACATAGCATTTTTAAGTATCTAATAGGTGCCAAGCATCGTGCTAATCAATGCAGAGAGAGCCTAATCCCAAAGATACAGCTCTTGGCCATTAAAGGTGACAGATCTGTTTGGGTAATAATACAAGTCCAAAATCAGCAAAGTATGATTCCAAGGCCCTACATGAACAAGTAAAAACTAATATGTGTGTATGTGTGTGAGTGTGAGTGTGTGTGTGTGTTTGAGAGAGAGAGAGAGAGACAGAGAGAGAGTGAGAGAGAGAGAATATGTGGTACATTCATTCATTCATTCATTCAACAAACACTGGCCTAGTATCTCAGGATGCAAAGATGACTAATATGCTGTTCCCATCCTTAAGGAGCATACAAGCAATGGAGAACACATTGGATGAATAGACCATTTATCCATTCAGCAAATATTTGGGTACCTCTTGTAACCCAGGCCCTCTGCTATATGATGTGAACATAATGCTAAGAAGCTAGATACAGCTAGATGTATTGTCTATGCCTGTAATCTCCGCTACTCTTGAAGGCCGAAGCAGAAGGATTGCTTGAGGCCTGGAGTTCAAGATCAGCCTGGTGATACCACATCTCTAAAAAAATAAAAATAGAAAAGAAGCTAGATATGGTCCTTTGCTTTATGGGATTCATTATTATGCACTCATTCAAGAGAACAGTTCATGATGCTGAGTAGGAAACTAGATAGGCTTTCAAGTAAAATCAATCTATATTCACATCTTGGCTTTACAATGTACTAAACCTGTGGTTAATATGTTACTCACCCTCTCTAAGACCTGCTTTTATCTTCTGGGAAATAGGCATAACAGTACATAACATACAGGTGTTGCAATTATAAAAAAAATAGGTAATATAAGCACACACCCATTGTAATGTCTGGTACTCTGTAAGTACCCAATAAATAGTACTTAGTTACAGATATAAGTGGGTATTTGAAGACAAGCAATGGTAGTACGTAGATGGAACATTTAAGAAAACCAAAATTCAGGTGACCTGAGATGGGTTTGAAGAATGAGAGGAGTTAAGGACAGGAGGAGCAGTGTGTACAAAGGCCTGGAGGTATGAGAGAGCTGGTTGTTAAGTACTAGTGTGGAGGAAAGTAAGGGTGAGAAATTAGGTTACACAGGAAAGCTACGGCCTGGCCATAAAGGGCTTAATATGTCATATTAAATCTGGATTTTTATCCTGAAGATAATGAGAAGCCATTGGATTCTCAATTACAGGAACATTTCTTGAAGAAAATGGTACTTGAGCTAAGCCTTGATTGGTGAGTAGGATTCAGACTGGCAGAGAAAGAGGCTTGGGATGGAGGAGGAAGAGAAGCAAGTGTACAGTGCTCAGAGATACAGGGGAGCTCAGCACTTATAGGACCTAATTAGCCAAAAGGGGTTTGGCTCTAGTTTCTCTTTGAGCAATCTTAGGAGACCATCATCTTAACTGATGATTCCAGAAGGGTTTTAGGGTTAGAGCTGCTGAGATGTGTGGCTGGGATCAATCCTAATATATTTCTTTCTTTGAATTGTTTATAATCAAATGGGCTTCTGTCCTGGAGCAGCAGGTCTCTGGGTATTATTTATAGATATTTTGGAAGTAGAGATGATCCATTTGTTCACTGTTACAATAATGATGGTTCATATTTGCCTATAAAATCTTAGATGCTTCTGGCTGTTACAGTGAGCATGTCTTTTTCACAGCTCTATCTAGCACTGGATATAGACATGATAACTGTTTTCTAAATTCAAAATCATTCAGATGGTTTGACATATCTAGTAGTATCATGGGAACAACCACAGGATTGCCTGCTTGACACCAAGGTGTGTGGTGAGATCAGGCTTCCTATAACTAAAAAAGCATGGATATTTCAAAGGGAAACACTGCATGAAGTAGGCATGTACTCAGGCCCCAGCTAAGGAACGAACTGAGAGAAAGCTACTCTTTGACTCAGCATTGCCATCTCCTTAAAATTTAATCCAACTGTAGGTCAGTTCTAAAAGAACTTTTTAAAAAATTATACTTTTTTGTGTGTTCCAGAAATAAAAAAGTGTCTTTCATCTTTCTAAACAATATATAGTCCTTAAGGAACTTATATGTAAAATATGTATGTTATATATATAAGTTCCTTAATATGCATGTTATATATATTATATATATGTTAATAATATATATGTTATATATGTTAATAATATATATGTTATATATATTATTCTGCTTATATATATATCAGAATATATATATATTCTGCTTCCCACATTGCCTCTGTTTTCTCTGAACGTCCTTTTCCTGTTTGACTTGGTCTCTATATTTCCTGATAACGCTGCTCCTCAAATGTGAGATCTCAAATGTGAATTAATGGCATGGCTTGGAACGAGTGTCTGAAGGTCACACTTCACATTGTACAACTTTCAATTAATCCTGTCTTCGCTTCACTTCTCACCATGGCCAGAGGAGGTATCTGGGACCTCCAGACCCGGAGCTCTCCCTGTTCTCTGCATGGGTCAACTTGCTGCTCATTACTTTTTTTCTCTGCAGTCACTCAAGGTCCAGCCTTCCCTGCTGTGCCCAGGCAGTTATCACTCAGACATTCTTTTCCATCTTTTAGAATAGCATTGACCTCTCTTTTCTGGTGCTGTTTCTCTCTCACAGTCTTTGTCTTTGTGGGTTGATAACTTAGTGGATGCCAGGAGGAAGAAGAAATAAACACATGTGGGCAATTTATTTTACTCAAGGAGAAGGATATTCTTTTTTTAAAATAAATAACTATTTTCATTTAAAATCATTAATGTAATTTGATTGTACAGAAAGATACTCTGAGGCTGGCACTCAACGTTTTGACCTTTAAAACCTAGAAATAGGGAAATATGATTATTTGAAAAGTGGTAGAAATGTGCTCTCTGTGGTTCAAAAGGTGTAATGGGATATTTATCTTTAGGACAGTTTCTTTATTCTGGGATAGGATCATTTTGGTTGGGTTTCTTCATCATGTAGTGTTTTATTTCATTGCATTTAGTATAGCTCCAAATGTTTTTGAGGCAAACCAAATGCAAATGCTTTTTTTCATTCATTCATTCATTCATTCATTCATTCATTCACAATTCAGCTATTCATCCATTCATCTTTTCATTTATTTATACAACAAATATTTATTGAACCCCTATTCTATGCCCTGCCCTGCACTAAGCTCTGCATACAAAACAGGGAAGGAGGCACATGAAATTACTGTCCATGTGTTATTCACATGTTATTAACAATGTAAAAGTTGTGTTAAGAGGTTGGAGGATGGCTATAGCTCCAAAGCAGCCATTCTCCAAGTTTGGTATCCTGATTGGCAGTGTCTGCAACACCTAGAAATTTGATAGAAATGCAAATTCTCTGGCCTGCCCCAGACATACTGAATCAGAAACTCTGCAGTTGGTCACAGCAGTTTGTTTTAAAAAGCCCTTAAGGTGATTTCAATGTACCCTACAGTTTAAGAAACACTGTTCCAAAAAAAAAATGCTTTAAAATAAAAAAAAAATAAACTGACTTTCTGTATGTGAACTGGGAAATAAGGAGTACCTTGTTCTACTGAAAGGAGTGTAGCAGTGGGAAGAAAGGGCTCTGGAATTATGGAATTTCCAGATATATTTTTTTTAAATGTAGTTTGTCCTATGTTAGGACTTTGTGTTCTGAAAACAAGGACGTGCTACTATGTGTCTTATTGAGGACTGTCCATGATTTTTGTTGGTTTATTTTATGTGCTTTTAAATCCATTTGCTGGTGGGATATGAGAATAAGACCCTTATATTATGGCATTTATGTTGAAACTATTGCCTGGATGCTGACAGCACCAACAAATCAGCTATGAATTGGCCCTCATCGGGATTAGTTCCTCCAATGTCAGTGCTCTTGATACCCTTGCCATTGCCATGCCCAGGGCCAATACTGCTCTCAATGTCACATTGATATTTTATTGAAATTCATCTTGTAGCTTTTACTTTTTCTGGGATGTGGGTGTCAGTTAAGGAGAGGTGGACTGGGTACAGTATTAGTGATAACCTAATATTTTCAGATTTACCTAATTCTTTCAATCATGCCTTAATATGTATATCAATTGATTTCTTCGTACCTCAATTTCTCTTCCTTTTGGAAACATTATTTCCCAGGATGCTTTTTCCCCACTCCTTTAAACAGGTATCTGGGGAACTTGTCCTCAGTTCTTCACTGATGTCCACGCATGCCTTTATGCTTAGAGTAAAGCTGTCATCCTGTCACACTCATCATTCATTTGAATTTGTTAGTTATGGGCAATAACAGAAGCAGCAGCAAATGCTTTTCATTTCTTTTATACCTGGTGAGGCATTATGGTACAATGGAAAGAGAAGTAGATTTAGTGTCAGAGGTGAATCTAAAGGCTCTTGTTTCCAGGAAAGCCACATGACCTGGGAAAAAGCTTTCCTCTCTTATTGTCTTATTTGTAAAACTTTAGGATCATATGATTCCTTAAGACTGTCAATTTCTAATAACTGATGATTCTATTATACAGAGATCACAATTTGTATATAAATATTATGCTTGGAATTTCAGCCATGAATATCATATGTATTGGGGAATCAGAAGTATCAGCCGGTTTGGAGTATTGGGAGGACACTGGAAGAGCGGAATTTAAGGTCAGTTCCTTACCTTCCAAATCCCAGGTTTTGTAGAAATCCATTGCTTGAAAAAATAACTCATATGAAAAGCCTAGCTCTCACTATTAAGTTCATTGTTATGTGATTAAGTTTGGGTTGCTATGTTGCTGTTCTATGGTGAATTCAAATGCATCTTCAATCATTAAGATTTTTCCAATCAGTACACTCTTCCATTCCTATTCTTCCATTCGTCAGATGCAGACAATTTCTCAGAGCATATGGCTATAAAGGTTGTCTTGGAAATATTCATTATGGGTATACTTGTCTTGTGTCACATATTATGCTAGAGGTTCTATCATAAAATCTTGAGTCTTGTTTATTTGCAGGGAGGGACCCTGTGTTTAGCACAGTGACTCATGTATACTAAGTACTTACTGAATAAATTAAACACTTTCTTTATTAATAAAAGGGGGAGTGTCATTTGGGTAGTGGTTTGTAGGCTGGTGCCAGTCCATGAACTTCTTGTTACAAGCCCAAAATGAGAGATGTACAAAAATTGAGAATGAGTGTTAGAAACTTTTATATAAATTGGATATTGTTGCAGCATCAAAATATGTCATCAATAGATTTATCTCACTGAATAGTGTATACAATAAATTTTGCATACAGTATTGACATTTTATTCTGCAAAATTGCTAAATTAATCTGTCCTTTTTTGTATCTTTTTAGTAGATTTATTGGGATTCTAAGTACTCAATTGGGTCATTGGCAAAGAATGTTTTATTTCTTCATTTCCAATTTGCATGGGGTTTTTTGTTTCTTTTTCATAGTTTAAGATTTATAGGATAATGTTGAATAGAAGTGATAAGAAGGATATTTGTGTTTCATTCTCAATCTAGAAAGAAAGCATTCAATCTTTCATCATTAATTGTGATGTTATCCATAAATTTTATAAGAGATGTAATTTATCAGATGAGGACATTCCCTTCTATTTCAAGTATGCTGATAATTGTGTGCTGAATTTTGTCAAATGCTTTTTCTTGAAATCATAATATATTGATTACATATCATAATTATCAAATAATCATAATTATTTTGATTATCAGCATAGTGAATACCATGGATTGATTTTTGAATGTTAAACCAAATTGCATTCCTGGGCTGAGCCCAAATAGTCAAGATGCATATATTGCTGGATTTGATTTGCTAAATATATGTTAGAGATTTTTACATTTATGTTCATAAGGGATATTTGTCTGTAGTTTCTTTTATTGCAATATATTTGTCTGGTTTTGGATTCAGGATAATACTAGACTCCTAAAATCAGCTGGGGGATGGAATTCATCTTCTATGTTCTGGAAGAGTTTGTGTAATGGGTAGTATTTCTTCCTTACATGTTAAATAGAATTAACCAATGAAACTACTGGGATCTGAATATTTCTCTGTGTAATTCCTAAAACTATGATTTTAATTTTACAAATTAAATATAGGACTATTTATTTCTTCTTTAGTGAACTTTGGTAGTTTGTGTCTTTGAACAGCATTTTTACTCCTCAATGATGGCTATTTCTTTCCATAAAGTTATTCATAATGGTCCCTGATTAGATTCCTAATATTTGTAGGATCTACAGTGATGGCCTCTTTTACATTTATGACTTTGATTATTTGTATCTTTGATTTTCTTAATCAGTCTGGCAGAGTGTGTTCAGTTTTGCTCATCTTTTCTTTGAAACAGCATGCAGTTTGATTAATATTCTCTATTGTTTTGTATTGCCTATTTTACTGATTTCTGTTATTATCATTTAAAAAAATTTTTTTTAAAGACAGGGACTCTCTCTGTTGCCACCGTTGCAGTGCAGTAGCATGATCATAGCTCACTGTAAGTTCAAACTCCTGGGCTCAAGCAATCCTCCTGCCTCAGCCTTCCAAGTATCTGGGACTACAGGTGTATGTCACCAAGTCTGGCTAATTTTTAAAAATATTTTGTAGAGATGGGGGTCTTGCTTTGTTGCCCAGGCTGGTCTCTAACTTCTCCACTCAAGTGATCCCCCTGCCTCAGCCTCCCACAATGCTGGGATTATAGGTGTGAGCCACTGTATCCAACCAATTTCTGTAATTATATTTATTATTTCCTTCCTCCACTATTTTTTCATTTGCTATACCTCTTTTTTTTATTGGTTGTTTTAATGTTTTCAATGTACATTTTTAACTTATCACAGTCTGTTTTCAAATAAAATTATGCCACTTCAAGTATAACTGACAAATTTAAAACATGTGCTATGACTATATTTTAAAATACATATGTTATAAAGCCCATGATACATTGTTATTATTTTTGTTTAAACTGTTAGTTACTTTTTAAAGAGATTGAAAAGTTTAGTAACATCTTCTATACTTACCCAAATTTTGTTTTATATTTATTTATTATTTAGTCATCATGCATTCTGCATTCAATCTTACCCACATTTTGAATACTTTATTCCTTTAAGTAGATCCAAACTTGTATTTGTTACTATTTTCCTTTTGCCAAAGGAAATTTCTTTATCATTTCTTATAGTATAGGTCTGCTGTAGATACATTTTCTCAGCTTTTGTTTGTCCAATATATCATATTTTCATTTTTGAAAGCTATTTCTGCTGAATATAGAATTCTGAGTAGACCATTTTTTCTTTCAGCATTTAAATATGTTACTGTATTGTCTTCTAAGTTGCATACTTCTCATTAGATATCAAGTAAAATTTTTGTCTTTGTTTCTTTGTACTTAATATTTCTTCTTTTCTGAATGCTTTAAAGACGTTCTATTTATCATAGGTTTTCAGTAATTTGATAATGATGTGTGTTATTGTAGTTTTATTTTGCTTATTCTATTTGGAGTTTATTGATTGAGATTCTTTATTCATTGCATTCTAAGTGTTCATCAAATTTGAAAAATGAAATGACATTATGTTATCATTTTTTTCCATCATTCTACTTTTTCCTGCTGAAATTCCCAGTACATGTTTCTTAGATCATTCAATATTGCTCCACATGTCAATGATCTGTACACTTTTTTCTTTCACTTTGTTGTTTTCCCCTGTGTTTCATTTTGGATAATTTCTATTTCTGTATTCAAATTCACCATTTTTTCCTTCTGCAGAATACAACCTACTGTAATTCCACCTAAGGTATATTTTTTATTTTTGATATTTCATTTGTAATCTCTAGGTGTTTCACTTGGGTTACTTTGATATATTCCATTTCTTTCCACATCATATTCATGTTTTCCTCTACCTTATTGAGCATATAGAATATATTTCTGATAGTTGCTTAGGTATCTGTATTAGTCTGTTCTCATGCTGCTAATAAAGACATACCCAAGACTGGGTAATTTATAAAGAAAAAGAACTTTCTTGGACTCGCAGTTCCACATGACTGGGGAGGCCTCACAATCATGGTGGAACAAAGACACATCTTACACGGCGACAGGCAAGAGAACATGTGCAAGGGAACTGCCCTATATAAAACAATAAGATCTCATGAGACTTATTCACTATTATTATAACAACATGGGAAAACTCACCACCATGATTCAATTACCTCCCACCAAGTCCCTTCCATGACACATGAGGATCATGAGATCTACAATTCAAGATGAGATTTAGGTAGGGGCACAGCCCAACCATACCATTCTGCCCCTGGCCCCTCCCAAACCTCATGCCTTCACATTTCAAAACCAATCATGCCTTCCCAACAGTCTGTCAAAGTCTTAATTCATTTTAGCATTAACTCAAAAGTCCACAGTCCAGCTGGGTGTGGTGGCTCACATCTGTTATCCCAGCATTTTGGGAGACTGAGGCAGGTGGATTTCTTGAGGTCAGGAGTTTGAGACCAGCCAGACCAACATAGTGAAACCCTGTCTCTACTAAAAATACAAAAATTAGCTCGGCATGGTGACTCATGCCTTTAGTCCCAACTACTCAAGAGGCATAGGCACATGAATTGGTTGAACCTGGGAGGCAGCGGTTTCAGTAAACTGAGATTGCACCATCACTACGCTCCAGACTGGGTAACAGAGTGAGACTGTCTCAAAAAATAAAATAAGAAGTTCACAGTCCAAAGTCTCATCTGAGACAAGATAAGTCCTTTCTGCCTATGAGCCTATAAAATCAAAAGCAAGTAAGTTACTTCCTAGGTATAATGGGGGTGCAGGGATTGGGTAAATACACCCATTCCAAATGGGAGAAATTTGCCCAAACGAAGAGGCTACAGGCCCAATGCAAGTCCCAAATCCAGCAGAGCAGTCAAATCTTAAAGCTCCAAAATGATCTCCTTTGACTCCATGTCTCACATCCAGGGCACACTGATGGAACAGGTGGGTTCCTATGCTCTTGGGCAGCTCCACACCTGAATGCTTTCATGGGCTGGTGTTGAGCGTCTGCACCTTTTCCAGGTGCACAGTGCAAGCTGTCAGTGGATCTACCGTTCTGGGGTCTGGAGGATGGTGGCCTACTTCTCACAGCTCCAGTAGGTGGTACGCCAGTAGGGATTCTGTGTGGGGGCTCCCATCCCACATTTCCCTTCTGCACTGCCTTAGCAGAGGTTCTCCATGAGGGCTCTGTCCCTGTAGCAAACTTTTGCCTGGATATCCAAACATTTCCATACATCCTCTGAAATCTAGGCAGAGGTTCCCAAACCTCAATTCTTGACTTCTGTGCATCAACAGGCTCAACACCAGGCAGATGCTACCAAGGCTTGGGGCTTGTACCCTCCAAAGCCATGGCCTGAGCTGTACCTTGGCCCCTTTTAGCCATGGCTGGAGCAGCTGGGACATAGGGCACCAAGTCCGTAGCCTGAACACATTAGGGTGCCCTGGGCCTGGCCCATGAAACCATTTTTTCCTCCTAGACCTCTGGGCCTGTGATGGGAGGAGCTGCCCCAAAGGTCTCTGACATGCTCTGGAGCAATTTTCCCCATTGTCTTGGTGATTAACATTCTGTTCCTTGTTACTTATGCAAATTTCTGCAGCCAGCTTGAATTTCTCCCCAGAAAAAGTTTTATTTTTTAACCACACTGTCAGGATGCAAATTTCCCAAACTTTTATGCTGTGTCACTTCTTGAATGCTTTGCTGCTTAGAAATTTCTTCTGCCAGATACCCTAAATCATATCTCTCAAGTTGAAAGTTCCACAGATCTCTAGGGCAGGGGCAAAATGCTGCTAGTCTCTTTGCTAAAGCATAGCAAGAGTCACCTTCACTCCAGTTCCCAAGCCTTTCATCTCTATCTAAGATCATGTCAGTGTGGACTCCATTGTCTATATCACTATCAGCATGTTGGTCAAAGCTATTCAACAAGTCTCTAGGAATTTCCAACTTTCCCACATCTCCCTGTCTTCTGAGTTCTCACAATCTCTAGGAACATCCAAACTTCCCCACATTTTTCTGTCTTCTCCTGAACTCTTCATACTGTTCCAACCTCTGCCTGTCACCCAGTTCCAAAGTGGCTTCCACATTTTCAGGTATTCTTATAGTAGCACTCCACTCTACCAGTACAAATTTACTGTATTAGTCTGTTCTTATGCTGCTAATAAAGACACACCCAAGACTGGATAATTTATAAAGAAAAAGAGGTTAAATGGACTCATGGTTCCACATGGCTGGGGAGGTCTCACAATCATAGCGGAAGGTGAAGGAGGAGCAGAGGCATATCTTACATTGTGGGAGGTAAGAATGCATGAGCAGGGCAACTGCCCTGTATAAAACCAGCAGATCTTGTGAGACTTGTTTAATATCACAATAACAACATGGTAAGACCTGCCCCCATGATTCAATTACCTCCCACTGGGTCCATCCCATGATTCTTGGGGATTATAGGAGCTACAGTTTGAGATGAGATTTGGGTGGGGACACAGCCAAACCATATCAGCATCCTTGTCTGCTAATTTTATATTTTATTTAATTTTATTTTTTTGAGGGGGAGTCTAACTCTGTCACCCAGGCTGGAATACAGTGGCACAATTTCTGCTCACTGCAACCTCTGTTTCCTGGGCTCAAGTATTCCTCTTGCCCCAGCCTCCCGAGTAGCTGGGACTATAGGTACATGCCACCACACCCAGCTAGTTTTTATATTTTTTGTAGAGATGGGGTTTTGCCATGTCACTCAGGCTGGTCTCAAACTCCTGCACTCAACTGATCCACTCATCTTAGCCTCCCAAAGCAATGGGATTAGAGGCATGAGCCACTGCACCTGGCCTGGTAATTTCATTATATATGCCATTTGGTGGTCTGTTTTAATTGATTAATTTTCTACTATCTTTATGCCATATTTTCATGCTTCCTGGAACACCTGATGATTTTTTAAGTGACAAAGAGGTTATGCATATTTATCATGTATAACATATTGTTTTGAAATATGTGTATATTGCAGGATGGCTAAATCAAGCTACTTAACATGTATTACCTCATATTTATGATATTTTGTGATGAGCACACTTAAACTCTACTTTCTTAGCAATTTTCAAAAATACAATATATTGTTATTAACTATAGTCACCATGTTGTTCAATAGACCTTTTGAACGTATTCCTCCTATCTAACTGAAATTTTGTATCCTTTGACCAACATCTCCCCAACCCTTGGTAAACACCATTCTACTCCTTTTTTACATTCCACATGTAAGTGAAATCATCCAGTGTTTGTCTCTCTGTGCTTGGATTATTTTACTTAGCATAATCTCCTCCAGGATGGACACTTGGGTTGATTCCACATCTTGGCTATTGTCATATCTGGTGATTTTTTATTGGATGCCAGAAATTGTGAATTTTATGTTTTGGGGAGGCAAATTTTTTTTTAAATTTCTTGAAAATATGCTGCATGTTTTCCTGGCATACAGTTAAGTTGCTTGTAAGCTTTGTTACAATGGGTCCTGTGCACCCTTTAAATGAGGCTAATTTATACCTAAAAATAGTGTGATACTCTTCTCAGGGTGATGTCTATTATGGTGGTTTAATATTTTTTTTTTTTTTTGTCACTCTGGATAATGAGAACAGAAACTTTTCACAACGCTTTCCGAGAATTGTTTTTTGGCCAGTTTTTTTTTTTTTTTTTTTTTTTTTTTTTTTTTTTTTGAGATGGAGCCTCAGTCCATTGCCCAGGCTGGAGCGCAGCAGCATGATCTCAGCTCACTGCAACCTCTGCTTCATGAGTTCAAGTGATTCTCCTGCCTCAGCCTCCCAAGTAGCTGGGATTACAGATGCCTGTCACCATGCCCAGCTAATTTTGGTATTTTTTTAAAGCAGAGATGGGGTTTCACCATGTTGGCCAGGGTGGTCTCGAACTCCTGACCTCAGGTGATCTGTCCGCCTTGGCCTCCCAAAGTGCTGGGATTATAGGCACGAGCTACTGCGCTTGGCCTGGCCTATTTTTTTCAGTAGTTATTTCTCCAGTACTTAGTAGTTTACTGTATTGAAGTGTAGATCAGTGATCAGCTCAAGCCAAGAAGGCCACCCTCTATTGGAATCTAGAGTTCATTCTCATGAATTCACTTCTCCTAGCACTCCACTCCATGCATTCTAACATCACTGACTTCCCTTTCCTCTAATATTTGTCTCATCTGCAGATACTCATGGAGACATCTATGCTGTGTTTAGGTTTCTCTTCCTTAAGACATTTTTAAGCCTAAAAACTGTCACTAGGCACACACTGGGTCAATTGTAGAACTTACCTGTCTTTATTTCAATGTTTTCAGAGGTCAAGCTCTGTGCTGCCTCTTTTTCAATGCCTGAAAACCCCAAAATATATTTCATATGTTTTTTTCAACTTTCTAGTTGTTTAAGATCAAAGGATAAATATCGGGTACCTGTTACCCCACCATGGCCTGAAGAACAATTCTTGAATAGAGTATAGACCATAAATAATTTGTTTGAGATACTTGGGAAAATAAAACAATGACAATATCAACAATACCATCGACAATATCATCAACAATAACTGAACTTTCACCAGAGAACAACCTTGTTCAATGGAACTTTCTGAGACAATGCAAGTGTTCCATATCTGTACTATGCTCCACAATAGCCATTGGCAGATGTGGCTTTTTCAAGGCATGTTGAGCAATTAAAATTTGGCTATTGTATCTGAGAAGCCAAAATTTTAACTATATTTAATTTTAATAAATTTAAATTATCACATGTGGCTAGTGGTTACCCTATTAGACAACTTAGATCTAGAGCCTTACAGAAAAATGTTAGCATTACTGGAACAGATAAAATGTCAGTGAGTGAGAACAAGAATCAATTGGGAACAAGGAATGGGCATTTTTCTTTTTAGGTAGAGCAAAGCTGGGTAATGTGTGTTTAAGGCTTATGTTTTAGAGTAGAACAATTAGAAAAGACATTATGACATAGTATGGTGAAAGTTAAATAAATGAATATTTCTAAAAACTACTTTGAAAAAATGATGAAGGACTCGTGTCTGTCACTGCTGTTAATATTATTTCCCTCCTGATCAGTGGTTAAGGGGAGCACTTGAAGAACAGATACAATGTATGAGTGGAGAGCTGTGTCTCAAGGCCAGTCTTCCTACCACTTAAGCACTCATGGCCTGATTTCAAACCAAAACTCATGGGATTTCCAAACCAAAATGGACAGAATGGCTCAGAATGCCTCTGTCATGTCATGTTCCTGGTCATATAAGGGAGGTAATAATTAAATTGAACAAGGATAGCACCTCTTCCAAGATGTTAAGAGACCTGGTACTTTTCCAACATTGAAGGCAAGAGGCGGCTGGCTGCCTGTTGAACTTGCATGTCTCAGTTACCTGCTCTACAAAGTGATCATCCACAATGACATTCAATTCCTGGAAGCCCTAAAATTGTAGATCAAACTCTGGGAGATCAGTATGTCAGGAACCCTTCCTGGAAACCCTAATACTATAGATAAATCGCTGGGAGACTGGTATGTCAGGAACCCTTCCTTGTGTGCCATATTCATATTAAATAATGGTCTCTGAATGTGAAAAATATACAAGGATTTTCCCAGTAAGTTGTAGATGTCTGCAATGACTTCAGGCTAAATCAGAGTCAAGGGGTTCATTCTTCCCTTCGCATCCTATTACATATGAGTGTCTATATGGCAGTTTTATTTTCCAGGTTGTCATTCCATCTTTTATTAAAATGCTTCTTCATGATAGACCTGTTTTTATAGGCCAGATCCTTAAAGACATGGGAGATAAATTGTATTTTTTGTCATTTGTGTATACAGTGCAGTATATATAATTCACTAAAAGATTAACAAGGACACAAGCTTCTATTAGTCACTGTCAGGATATATAACGGCTTTGCTTGCTTGTACCTAGTCCACCATGAGTTTTAATCATAAGCATGGTGTAGTTGTGGTTTTCTTTGGAAAATATTCGCCTTTGACATATAATAACACAATAATGCAGGGCAGTAGGTGGCAGTTACTATATCATTAGAGAACAACAGGGACTCCACATTGGTCACAAGGGTAATGGAAGTAGAATAAAACACTGCAATAAATTTATTTACAGTCAGAACACGTGAAAACCATGAAGAGCTCTCAAACAAGGAGCACTGGGAAGGTAGGCAAGAACCCGACTGGTACTATCATAGAGGACTATGGTTGGGAGGTGGCAAGGGGAGGCTTTCCCAAGTCTGATAGGAGGCTCAGTAGCAAAGTGCCCAGAGGATAGGCTCACACTTTGGGTCAATTCCTGCCTCCCATTCCTAGCTTTAGATTATAATAAGTTCTATGACTTTGTGCTGATATCTGAAGGATAAAGAAAATAGTTCCTACCTGTAACAGTTTTGTTAAAATCAAATGAGTTACAATTTGTGTCAGTGCAGTTCTCTAAATTAAGATTCATGTTCAGATATGACTGGTGAGGAAGTCATGGAGAGCCTGGGTGGGGTGTGTATGTGAGGGTAACCCATCATAAGGCAATGGAGAAGCTTAGGAGACAAATTTTGTTTAAGGACAAGATAGAAGTGTTGTAGTGGAGATGTGATTTCAGGACCACACATAGCATGTCAGAGCCCACATGGACCTTATTTCTGAGTCTTAGAACATGGTCTATAATCAGCAAAGGAAAGTCTATAAGAGCAATTTTCACTAGATGAATACTTGGGAGTATAAGACCTGCTTTGTTGAAGCTATGTGTTGTGTTTGTGCCAGGAAACGGTATTTCCTTCCTTTTGGTTTTCTACTGGAGCAGGATGTGGTGCAGGAAAAAAAAACATAACAGCTTGATTAGTGAGGGAGGACCATGCATGGTGGGAAACACCAAAAAGATGTCATACTGTGGTGGCTTCACAGTCAGCATCATCTCCACTGAGTTTGTGGTGATAAAAGATAATTTTCAATAACTGCAGTAAGAGAAGAGGAAAATGGTAGATGCCACTCAGCAGCTGTGAAGGTGTTCATTAGCGGATATGAAGCATCCCCATGGGATGTCCAGAATTGATTCAGGAGGGAGGATTTGGAGGGTATCTGGCTTTCCCATTATGGTGAGAAAGCACCCTTATTTTCTCCAGTTTTTAGATCCAGACTAGTGAAGCCTGGAAAATGTGAGGCCATGGAAAGCCATAACAGCATGGTGCCAGCTACAAAGTAAAGACTCAGTAATTATCACCTTTCTTCCTGGAGACAGATGCTTACACACTGGTAGTAACAACAGAAGCAAAGACATTTCCCTTTAATTCCTGCACGGCTGCTTATGCTACCCCCAAGATCTCCCTGCAAGGAATTTTGAGTGGTTACTTTTGTCTAGAAATTGCCAAATTGAAACCAATCAGCAAGCCGAGGCAGCCAAGCGTGCCAGCCCAGTGCAGGATAGTAGAAATGGAGGTGGGAGTCTCAGGTTTTTATTCTGCTTTTGCTGTTTTCTAGTTGTATGACCTTGAACAAGGTATTTAATCTTTCAGGACTCAGGTTTTTTTTTTTGGAAAAAGATCTCCAAGGTCCTTTTTCACTCTGACATTCTGTGAGTTCCTGTAAGTTCTCAATTCTCTGATCTGTCCATGGTTCTTCAGTAAGTGCCAGAGTTGAATGGAGGTTACAACAAAGGTGGTAGTGGTTGCAGAAGTCTTCTCAGAGTAGGTGGGAAATGACTAGTGTGCTGGAGTGCTCAGCAGACACTACAGAAGCTAGTTTTACTAAAATTGCATGTTCTTTGGGATTATTAGTAAGATATAAGTCTGAAAAATGTGAGCTGAGGTCCAGGCCATCTAAAGACTCCTCTCTACCTTGATTTTTTTCAGGTTCATCTGTTTGAATTGGAACTTGAGCTCGTCTCAAGAAGTCTGCTTACCACTATAGGGAAAAGCAAACAATGATTGTATGTATTTTTCCTTGGTGGATAGTACATGGTTAGCATTTTTTCAAACTAATAAAGATAATCATTACCATTTATAGAGTGCTTACCTAAAACAGTCATTAAGTCCAAAATTTTTAATTCTCATAATAGCCTTAGGAAGTAGGAATCACTTTACAAATGACATAACCATAGCTCAGAAGTGGTTAACTATTTAAATTCACACAAATGTTAAGTAATGGAGCCAAAGTTTGATTTCTAATCTCTTTTGAACCCCAATACTGAACTTTAATGTTGACCCTTTTAAGGAGTCCATATAACTAACACACTGATATGCCACGCAGTGCAAAATGTGTCTAAGTCTTTGGGCAGTTTAATGGCAAATGAATTAATAAAAAATAATTAAATGTCTGAAGCATATTAAACACAAAATAACTAGGCCATGGTTGGATCTCCACATGAATTCTTCCCGCTGCAGCCCTTTCTGCTGTGACAGAAATAAAGTGAAGTCTCTCGGTAATTCGAAGCATATACAGCAATTAATTCCACATTTATATGGTCTTCTATTTAGAACTGTGTTTTAATTTTTAAAGCACACTTTTAATATCTGTGCTGTAACTGATAATTATTTGGGGAAAGGGGCAGGAGCAAGAAGATTTTAGTGGCAGCACAACAATTTTTAATGCAACAGCTGCAATGCTGAAATCAACCATGTGCCAAGAGCTCTGAAGCCTGTCAGAGGAAAGATAGTCTATAGTTAGACCCTCCCACTTCAAGGTCACTGCTTTGAGGCTAGCCAAAGTTGATTGTGGCTTAAGGTCACTTTCATCAATGGCTCCTTGGTGGCCTCAGTAAATGAGAGAGTGGACGTATCCATTTTCCTCCTGGGCAACCACCCAGGACTAATTATGAAGACTGTCACTGCAAATGGGAGGACCAACCCTGACATAGACACTCATCATTGTGTCCCCTCAAGGTCTAGGTCATGCTGATGCTGATTCTGATTATTATTGTTATTATTATTAGGTATTCTCTGAGAAGCCTCTGGCAGAACACGAATTTGGAAAAAACAAGCACATTAGTTTCAGTTTCTGTTGGTCAAGATGAAAACAGCGGACAATGATGAAATTTATTATTGGTGTTCCACCCATCTCCTACCCACACTTCAAGGTCCACTTCAGGCCCCAGCCCCCAACAAAGCTGTTCAGGACCAGTAAGTCCATGATGTCCCATGAATTCCAATTGCTTCTGCTATCTATGGGTCCTATTATGGCTCATAATCACTTATGACTTCAAATTGTTTTGTACTCTGGTTGTGGATGCTCAAGTGAGAAATAGCAGGCAGGACATTAAAATCTTCCATTGGTTCATTGACTCATGAAACTTGGCTTGATATAAGCCCTCAGATGTCCTTATTGGAACAACCATGGCTTGTTTAAGATTTCAAGGAGTCTTTCTCTGAGGCCCTCCTTAACATATAAAGTCTAAAATTGCCTACAGCAGCCATATTCCACCTGTATTCTTACCTTAGAATAAATAAGGCACATTTATGCTGTGTAAGAGGTGAGTACTCACTCTCTCAGGCTACTTCCTTAATAATAACATTCTACTTATGCCTTTGCATTCTTACATTCATTGAAGAAAGAGGTAGAACATTAATCAATTAGCTAATTACATTATTATTTAAATCTTTAGTTCCCCTGGACATGTTTCCATTATATCTGTGTTTTAATAATTTATTCCAAATATATATTTGCTTTTTGTTAGGACTTTGGTTCTTCTCGTATTTCAGCCTCTCTCTCTTAGACATGAATCCTTGGGCACATGGAGGGTAGTGAAGGTCTGTTTTACATGAATCACAAAACCTCTCCTGCTAAGCCACTCTTCCCACAGGTGACTCTACAATCTGAGACAATGTGTACTTGTTGGAAGGACCTTCACAGCATATAGTCTATGAATCCATGGGTAAGAGACTTCATCACAGCCATGGAAGAATTAATGATGCTTAATAACTCTTTGTGGACTCAACTGAATAAATGACTGACCTTATAGCAGTTCTGCCATCATCTCCATTCTTTTCCACTTTGGCTCACAAGACCCTACAGGAATCTGAGGCCACTGACAACACCAACCTCACATGTTCTCTGTGGGATCTCAAGACTGCAGATTTAACCACCTGGTCCTGAACTCAACAACAACCTGCCTACCAATTACTTTAGTGATTCAAACAGAAGCTCTTAGCTGCTTGTATATTATGTATGATTTTTCTACCACTGCATCTAGCTGTAACAAATCCTACATTTTTATTCTTTCTAAATCAAATTGATTCTGACTTCGTGCCTACACTAGTCATGGAACTTCTTTCTCCCAAAGAAATTCAAACTCTAATATTTTTGGAAACAGGTGGCTTATGTGAGTATCCAGAAACTGAGGAAATGTTCTCTAATCTTCAGTCAACCATGATGGTCTCTGATATGTATGTTGTTCAAGTACACATGATCTATTCACAATATGTAGACCTGTTACTACTCAAGCTTGGGCATAGGGGTCTTACTGTAGTCTGGATTCTTAACACCTGGCATCAACCTCAATAGACATACTAGGAAGGTCCAGGGTGCTATGAGGAAATTGTTTCCTGGTAAAACCCTGCTTCGTTGTCAGTCTATATGACTTCTCCTTCTTTAGGACCAGCCCTTCTGTCTAACTCACTAGGTATTTCTCTCTCTTTCTTTATTTTGGGGCAAATTCTGCCTGGTAGTGTGACCATATGTCATTCAAAACAGAACACTTCTAAGTCTAAAAGCAAGTATTAGTTACAACTACATTAGGAAAGCAGGTGGTATAAACCAGGATATATGATTTTCCTATGTGTAGATGTGATATTGTGATATAATAAAAAAAAAAATATGTATTTGGTCTCTGCCCCTGGTTCCTGGAGTGCAGCTCCAAAATCCTTAGAATCTTCCTATTGATAAGATTGTCTTTTGTATGCTAATAAGATGACTGGTGGCTGGTGGCCACTAGATAGCTTCAGGATGGGTGTGGTCACTAGAAAGACAAAGGCATAATTACAAAGTTGGGATTTTCAGCCCTACTCTCCCATCCTCCCAACATCTAGGGACGGAGGGAATAGGGGCTGAAGGTTGACTTTATCACCAATGGTCAATAATTTAATGAACTTTGCCTACATAATAAAGCCTCCATAAAATCCCTAAAGGACTGGGTTCAGAGAGATTCTAGATTGTTGAACACATGGAGGTTCCTAGAGGGTGTGCAGCCAAAGAAGGCATGGAAGCTCCACGCTGCCCCTCCCAACCCCATACCTTGCCCTATGCATCTCTTGGTCTGGCTCTTCATCTGTGTCATTTGTAATATCCTTCATAATAAATGGATAAAGATAAGTAATATGTTTCCTTGAGAGTTCTGTGAGCTGTTCTAGAGAATTAACTGAACTCCAGGAGTGGGTAGTGGGAAAATGATTTATAGACAGTTGGTCAGAAGCACACAGATCACAACCTGTGACTTGTAATTGGGATCTGAAGTGAGGACAGTCTTATGGGACTGAACTCTGAACCTGTGGAATCTAATGCTACTTCTAGGTAGACAGTGTGAAAATTGAATTGAATTATAGGACATCCAGCTGGTGTTCACTGGAGAACGGATTGCTTGCTGTGTATGAAAAACTACGTAGGTCTGGTCACAGATGTGTTCTGTGTTGTATTGTGTGTGAGAGGAGGAAAAATAGTTTGATTTATCCTTTCTCTTTCAGAGTAGACCTTCCTCAATGGGTCTTTTGAAACACAATGTTGATTTCTTTTTCCTGTAGGTGACAGTAGGGAAAGAAGACGCTACCATTGCTTAGCCATCCCACCAACTCATCTCATTACATCTGTACACACAGCTCAACAGGCAAAACCCTCTCTGGGAATGTGATTCTTCCTGGCAAAGCAGGCATGAACAGAGACGAAGAATGCCAATACCCTCTTGACCATCAAGATATGCCAAAACCACTTTAGAGAATATTGGAATAAAGTGCCTGAGAACAGATCACCCAAGAAAAAGTGGGTATAATCCTAAAATGTTCATTTACCACACCAAATAGCTGCCATTTCCCTTTGTTTATGCCATAAGCAACTAGAATTAGAGGTTGAATTTTGCAGTGAAGCCGCTGCATAACTACGAAGTCTAGATACAGCTCAGCCTGGATGCTTTCAGATTCCAGCTTTCAGAGGCAGGAGATGCAGACGGCCTCCACTTCCAGAATCCATTAAAAGAGAGTTGCAGGCACTCATGGTTTCACCCTAACAGCAAAGAAACCTCCATCTCAGAAGCATTAATCCTTCTCCAAGGTGAACCTAGGAAGGTGACAGAAGTGTAGCTATTATTATCGCAATTTGTTTCCTACAAACAGCAGCCTCCAGGTGGAGAAATGTGAGTAGTTAACTTGCTTTGTTCTTCTAGATTATTTCTTCCCACTGAGTCCCCAGGGAGCCACCTCAGACAGGGCAGAGCAGCCCTTTCCTGTCCTATCATGTGGAGAACAGCCCAGGATCTATTGGTTGCTGCAGAACCTAGTCTCTCCCCTGTAGACAATTAGACATTTTGAGAGCAGAGCATGTCAATCCTGAATCAAAAGACACAGAGAAACCCAATTATCCTACAAAGAAAACAGAAAATAAAAGTCATCACCCCCATCCTCTTCACAGGTTGACAGAGGAACAACTTCTAATTCATTCTGATGACACTTTTGAGGTAAAGACTTGGTTCAGTTGCTTTTGTGAATCTATCTTTTTTAAAAAAATATTTGGGGGCTCTGAAAATATGGCTGTACTTTTGCTTACAGTCAGAAAAAAAAATCAGATATCTTACCATAATGCTTAAGAGATTAAAAAAATGTTTTTGCTTTTACTCCTCAGGCTTCCAAAAAATCATATTTTCCTCAGGCTTCTTCTATAAGGCCTGCTTTTTTTGGTCTCACTTCTAACTGAGGAAAAAAAGGTAAGACATATTAAAAGGAAAAAAGTTTGCTCCCTTGTAATTAAATCTATTCAAGAAGAATTTTTCATATTTCAAGAAAAGAATGTTAAATATGTGCTAGGGGCCTGGACTTTATTTCCCTATCTTGTAACAAGGTGTGTGAAAAAATATTGATTTGCTCCTGAGAGATGCTGGAGGAACTTAATGAAAGTTGTTAAATACTTTGGAATCCTTTGATGGAAGAGAACATATAAAAGTGTAATGTGCTTTTGTTTCATGTGAAGTTTTTAGAAACCAGAAGGAAACCCTGTCACACCCCACCCTATTGCAAACAATGTGCTCACAAAGATATCTTTTCAATATCCGTGTATATTTGATTGTGATAAATATAGTGTCTGACCTTTAACAGACATAAAAGTGAAAACACAAAGAAACTGGACACTCCTTGATGGCTCTCGCCTATTTTCACAGAGCCTCTCAGCATATTGATTGGCTAGAAAACACTGCTGAGAGCTAGTATATGACTCTTAACAAACACATTCCATTGCAGGAGGAGTGTGTGGGCTTCTGAGACCCTACACAAGATAAGTTACATGGAACAAAGGCTGAAATAGTCAATAAACCTGACCTTGTGACAGGAGGCCATCAGGAAGCTCTGCGTGACTTTTGTCCAGGAATAGCCAATTCCCCCTCTTGGTTCTCTATACAGTGGAGAACATATATATCCCCCTGATTAAAGGCTCTGAAAGGATAGTCTTAGCTGATGCCTCCAAGAGAAAGTTGTTCTTCTGTCAACAAAGTCACCACCATGAAATTCAACTGGAGAAGCTTTGGCTTTTCTTCATCATTCTGTCAAGAACTTAGCCTATTCACTTTTCACTCTTACACCCTCCCAGCATTCTCTCTCTGGCCTGTGTCTACATAATAAAGTTGTTGAAGCAGTGTCTCTGAACCATCACCTGTGAGAGAACTGTACACATTTCCTTTGGCATTGAAGGCTTTCTTTCCTGCAGGTCAGGTGCTGGCTATGACTTCTTGATTGGGTTCTAGCAGAATGCTGTGTTTGGAATTTTAGCAAAGGAGCCTACTTCTCAGGAGACACACTGTATCGTCACTGTTAGAAATTTTCTGCTCTTAGTAGAAAAGGGAGTAGGGAGTTTGGCAGGGAGCAGAAAACTTTCCTTGGGTACCGCAGTGGTATTCAGTTGGCCTTGGAAGAGCTATGGTGTATACAGCCACACACTGGCTGATGACAGAATAAGAGAAGTGAATTTTACCACACTTGTGAGTCATTTTCTTCCTTGGCCTCTCACCTAATGAAAAGAAACTTCAGGGCTGGGCGTGGTGGCACACATCTGTAATCCCAGAATTTTGGGAGGCCAAGGCAGGCAGATCACTTGACATCAGGAGTTTGAGACCAGCCTGGCCAACATGGTGAAACCTCCCCTCTACTAAAAATACAAAACTTAGTCGGGCATGGGAGCGTGCACCTGTAATCCCAGCTACTTGGGAGGCTGAGGTGGCCGAATCACTTTAACCCAGGAGGTGGAGGTTGCTGTTTGAGCTGAGATAATGCCACTGCACTCCAGCTTGGGTGACAAAGCAAGACTCTGTCTCAAAAAAAAAAAAAAACAAAAAAAACAAAAAAAAAACTTCAACTGTAGGCTCAACTACCTCACTTGTTTTATTAGCCAATCTTATTAGGCTCAGATTTGCTGTCTAATGGTTTCTGCTCAGATCATGGCCTTTTAAACTGGCCAGGCCACCTAATGAAGTAGTAGGTTCATGCAACTTTAATCTTCTGGCACTCTCACCCTTTCCTTAGCTTTGGCCTCTACCCTCACTTTGGAATTGAGCATGGATCTTAAGTATTTGAACCTTGGCTTTTCCCAGTGCATAGGATCTAGCTGTTCCTCTAGCCTTGAAGCCTGTGGTTATCTCTCAAGAGTATTTCATCCTAGATTTTACTCACAGAACCTAACAGTGACCTCAAACCCTGGACTAACCTCCCAAATGGGCTACCCATGGCGATCCATGTTGAAAAGGACTCATGTGAGGTTCTGGAACTTGGAATTAATGTCATTGTGATGGGTCCTGGACACTTACATGCTTTGTCAATATGCTTCGTCTTCATTCCTGCCATGGTTGTTCAAATCAGGGAACTCCTAGCATTTCAGATCCCCAGGTAAGAGTGGATTTCTCCCCTGAAGCCAGAGAGAAACCAGGCAACTGGAAACCTGGAATTCTGCTCAGCTACTTTCTACAAACTCAGTCCTACTAATTTTCTTTTCTTTCAGAAGTTGGGTGGTTTCCAATTCAAGTTGGTGTTCTTATTCTTTTTTTTTATTTTATTATTATTATACTTTAAGTTTTAAGGTACATGTGCACAATGTGCAGATTAGTTACATATGTATACATGTGCCATACTGGTGTGCTGCACCCATTAACTCGTCATTTAGCATAAGGTATATCTCCTAATGCTATCCCTCCCCGATCCCCCCACCCCACAACAGTCCCCAGAGTGTGATGTTCCCCTTCCTGTGTCCATGTGTTCTCACTGTTCAATTCCCACCTATAAGTAAGAACATGCAGTGTTTGGTTTTTTGTCCTTGCGATAGTTTACTGAGAATGATGATTTCCAATTTCATCCATGTCCCTGCAAAGGACACGAACTCATCATTTTTTATGGCTGCATAGTATTCCATGGTGTATATGTGCCACATTTTCTTAATCCAGTCTATCATTGTTGGACATTTGGGTTGGTTCCAAGTCTTTGCTATTGTGAATAGTGCCACAATAAATATACGTGTGCATGTCTCTTTACAGCAGCATGATTTATAATCCTTTGGGTATATACCCAGTAATGGGATGGCTGGGTCAAATGGTATTTCTAGTTCTAGATCCCTGAGGAATCGCCACACTGACTTCCACAATGGTTGAACTAGTTTACAGTCCTACCAACAGTGTAAAAGTGTTCCTATTTCTCCACATCCTCTCCAGCACCTGTTGTTTCCTGACTTTTTAATGATTGCCATTCTAACTGGTGTGAGATGGTATCTCATTGTGGTTTTGATTTGCATTTCTCTGATGGCCAGTGATGGTGAGCACTTTTTCATATGTTTTTTGGCTGCATAAATGTCTTCTTTTGAGAAGTGTCTGTTCATGTCCTTCGCCCACTTTTTGATGGGGTTGTTTGTTTTTTTCTTGTAAATTTGTTTGAGTTCATTGTAGATTCTGGATATTAGCCCTTTGTCAGATAAGTAGGTTGCGAAAATTTTCTCCCATTTTGTAGGTTGCCTGTTCACTCTGATGGTTTTTTCTCTTGCTGTGCAGAAGCTCTTTAGTTTAATTAGATCTCATTTGTCAATTTTGGCTTTTGTTGCCATTGCTTTTGGTGTTTTAGACATGAAGTCCTTCCCCATGCCTATGTCTTGAATGGTAATGCCTAGGTTTTCTTCTAGGGTTTTTATGGTTTTAGGTCTAACGTTTAAGTCTTTAATCCATCTTGAATTGATTTTTGTATAAGGTGTAAGGAAGGGATCCAGTTTCAGCTTTCTACATATGGCTAGCCAGTTTTCCCAGCACCATTTATTAAATAGGGAATCCTTTCCCCATTGCTTGTTTTTCTCAGGTTTGTCAAAGATCAGATAGTTGTAGATAGGCAGCATTATTTCTGAGGGCTCTGTTCTGTTCCATTGAACTATATCTCTGTTTTGGTACCAGTACCATGCTGTTTTGGTTACTGTAGGCTTGTAGCATAGTTTGAAGTCAGGTAGCGTGATGCCTCCAGCTATGTTCTTTTGGCTTAGGATTGACTTGGCGATGTGGGCTCTTTTCTGGTTCTATATGAACTTTAAAGTAGTTTTTTTCAATTCTGTGAAGAAGGTTATTGGTAGCTTGATGGGGATGGCATTGAATCTATAAATTACCTTGGGCAGTATGGCCATTTTCATGATATTGATTCTTCCTACTCATGAGCATGGAATGTTCTTCCATTTGTTTGTATCCTCTTTTATTTCCTTGAGCAGTGGTTTGTAGTTCTCCTTGAAGAGTTCCTTCACGTCCCTTGTAAGGTGGATTCCTAAGTATTTTATTCTCTTTGAAACAATTGTGAATGGGAGTTCACTCATGATTTGGCTCTCTGTTTGTCTGTTATTGGTGTATAAGAATGCTTGTGATTTTTGTACATTGATTTTGTATCTGAGACTTTGCTGAAGTTGCTTATCAGCTTAAGGAGATTTTGGGCTGAGACAATGGGGTTTTCTAGATATACAATCATGTCATCTGCAAACAGGGACAATTTGCCTTCCTCTTTTCCTAATTGAATACCCTTTATTTCCTTCTCCTGCCTAATTGCCCTGGCCAGAACTTCCAACACTATGTTGAATAGGAGTGGTGAGAGAGGGCATCCCTGTCTTGTGCCAGTTTTCAAAGGGAATGCTTCCAGTTTTTGCCCATTCAGTATGATATTGGCTGTGGGTTTGTCATAGATAGCTCTTGTTATTTTGAGATGTGTCCCTTAAATACCTAACTTATTGAGAGTTTTTAGCATGAAGGGTTGTTGAATTTTGTCAAAGGCCTTTTCTGCATCTATTGAGATAATCATGTGGTTTTTGCCTTTGGTTCTGTTTATATGTTGGATTACATTTATTGATTTGCGTATATTGAACCAGCCTTGCATCCCAGGGATGAAGCCCACTTGATCATGGTGGATAAGCTTTTTGATGTGCTGCTGGATTCAGTTTGCCAGTATTTTATTGAGGATTTTTGCATCAATGTTCATCAAGGATATTGGTCTAAAATTCCCTTTTTTGGTTGTGTCTCTGCCAGGCTTTGGTATCAGGATGATGCTGGCCTCATAAAATGAGTTAGGGAGGATTCCCTCTTTTTCTATTGATTGGAATAGTTTCAGAAGGAATGGTACCAGTTCCTTCTTGTACCTCTGGTAGAATTTGGCCGTGAATCCATCTGGTCCTGGAATCTTTTTGGTTGGTAAGCTATTGATTGTTGCCACAATTTCAGAGCCCGTTATTGGTCTATTCAGAGATTCAACTTCGTCCTGATTTAGTCTTGGGAGGGTGTATGTGTCAAGGAATTTATCCATTTCTTCTAGATTTTCTAGTTTATTTGCGTATAGGTGTTTATAGTATTCTCTGATGGTGGTTTGTATTTCTGTGGGATCGGTGGTCATATCCTCTTTATCATTTTTATTGTGTCTATCTGATTCTTCTCTCTTTTCTTCTTTATTAGTCTTGCTAGTGGTCTATTAATTTTGTTGATCCTTTCAATAAACCAGCTCCTGGAATCATTAATTTTTTTAAGGGTTTTTTGTGTCTCTATTTCCTTCAGTTCTGCTCTGATTTTAGTTATTTCTTGCCTTCTGCTAGCTTTTGAATGTGTTTGCTCTTGTTTTTCTAGTTCTTTTAATTGTGATGTTAGGGTGTCAATTTTGGATCTTTCCTGCTTTCTCTTGTGGGCATTTAGTGCTATAAATTTCCCTATACACACTGCTTTGAATGTGTCCCAGAGATTCTAGTATGTTCTGTCTTTGTTCTCATTGGTTTCAAAGAACATCTTTATTTCTGCCTTCATTTCATTATTTACCCAGTAGTCAGTCAGGAGCAGGTTGTTCAGTTTCTATGTAGTTGAGCGGTTTTGAGTGAGTTTCTTAATCCTGAGTTCTAGTTTGATTGCACTGTGGTCTGAGAGACAGTTTGTTATAATTTCTGTTGTTTTACATTTGCTGAGGAGAGCTTTACTTCCAACTATGTGGTCAGTTTTGGAATAGGTGTGGTGTGGTGCTGAAAAAAAATGTATATTCTGTTGATTTGGGGTGGAGAGTTCTGTAGATGTCGATTAGGTCCACTTGGTGCAGAGCTGAGTTCAATTCCTAGGTATCCTTGTTAACTTTCTGTCTCATTGATCTGTCTAATGTTGACAGTGGGGTGTTAAAGTCTCCCATTATTATTGTGTGGGAGTCTAAGTCTCTTTGTAGGTCACTCAGGACTTGCTTTATGAATCTGGGTGCTCCTGTATTGGGTGCATATATATTTAAGATAGTTAGCTCTTCTTGTTGAATTGATCCCTTTACCATTATGTAATGGCCTTCTTTGTCTCTTTTGATCTTTGTTGGTTTAAAGTCTGTTTTATCCGAGACTAGGATTGCAACCCCTGCCTTTTTTTGTTTTCCATTGGCTTGATAGATCTTCCTCCATCCTTTTATTTTGAGCCTATGTGTGTCTCTGCACGTGAGATGGGTTTCCTGAATACCGCACACTGATGGGTCTTGACTCTTTATCCAATTTGCCAGTCTGTGTCTTTTAATTGGAGCATTTAGTCCATTTACATTTAAAGTTAACATTGTTATGTGTGAATTTGATCCTGTCATTATGATGTTAGCTGGTTATTTTGCTCGTTAGTTGATGCAGTTTCTTCCTAGCCTTGATGGTCTTTACAATTTGGCATGATTTTGCAGTGGCTGGTACTGGTTTTTCCTTTCCATGTTTAGCGCTTCCTTCAGGAGGTCTTTTAGGGCAGGCCTGGTGGTGACAAAATCTCTCAGCATTTGCTTGTCTGTAAAGGATTTTATTTCTCCTTCACTTATGAAGCTTAGTTTGGCTGGATATGAAATTCTGGGTTGAAAATTCTTTTCTTTAAGAATGTTGAATATTGGCCCCCAATCTCCTCTGGCTTGTAGAGTTTCTGCCGAGAGATCTGATGGGCTTCCCTTTGTGGGTAACCCGACCTTTCTCTCTGGCTGCCCTTAACATTTTTTCCTTCATTTCAACTTTGGTGAATCTGACCATTATGTGTATTGGAGTTGCTCTTCTCAAGGAGTATCTTTGTGACGTTCTCTGTATTTCCTGAATCTGAATGTTGGCCTGCCTTGCTAGATTGGGGAAGTTCTCCTGGATAATATCCTGCAGAGTGTTTTCCAGTTTGGTTCCATTCTCCCCGTCACTTTCAGGTACACCAATCAGATGTAGATTTGGTCTTTTCACATAGTCCCATATTTCTTGGAGGCTTTGTTTGTTTCTTTTTATTCTTTTTTCTCTAAACTTCCCTTCTTGCTTCATTTCATTCATTTCATCTTCCATAACTGATACCCTTTCTACCAGTTGATCGCATCAGCTCCTGAGGCTTCTGCATTCTTCACATAGTTCTTGAGCCTTGGCTTTCAGCTCCATCAGCTCCTTTAAGCACTTCTCTGTATTGGTTATTCTAGTTATACATTCATCTAAATTTTTTTCAAAGTTTTTAACTTCTTTGCCTTTGGTTTGAATTTCCTCCTGTAGCTCGGAGTAGTTTGATCGTCTGAAGCCTTCTTCTCTCAACTCGTCAAAGTCATTCTCTGTCCAGCTTTGTTCCGTTGCTAGTGAGGAACTGTGTTCCTTTGGAGGAGGAGAGGCACTCTGCTTTTTAGAGTTTCCCATTTTTCTGCTGTTTTTTCCCCACCTTTGTGGTTTTATCTACTTTTGGTCTTTGATGATGGTGATGTACAGATGGGTTTTTGGTGTGGATGTCCTTTCTGTTTGTTAGTTTTCCTTTTAACAGACAGGACTCTCAGCTGCAGGTCTGTTGGAGTTTGCTAGAGGTCCACTCCAGACCCTGTTTGCCTGGGTATCAGCAGCAGTGGCGGCAGAACAGCGGATTTTCATGAACTGCAAATGCGGCTGTCTGATCATTCCTCTGGGAGTTTTGTCTCAGAGGAGTACCCGGCCATGTAAGGTGTCAGTCTGCCCCTACTGGGGGGTGCCTCCCAGTTAGGCTGCTTGGGGGTCAGGGGTCAGGGACCCACTTGAGGAGGCAGTCTGCCCATTCTCAGATCTCCAGCTGCACGCTGGGAGAACCACTGCTCTCTTCAAAGCTTTCAGACAGGGACATTTAAGTCTGCAGAGGTTACTGCTGTCTTTTTGTTTGTCTGTGCCCTGCCCCCAGAGGTGGAGCCTACAGAGGCAGGCAGGCCTCCTTGAGCTGTGGTGGGATCCACCCAGTTCGAGCCTCCCGGCTGCCTTGTTTACCTAAGCAAGCCTGGGAAATGGCGGGCGCCCCTCCCCCAGCCTCGCTGCCACCGTGCAGTTTGATCTCAGACTGCTGTGCTAGCAATCAGCGAGACTCCATGGGCGTAGGACCCTCGAGCCATGTGCGGGATATAATCTCCTGGTGTGCCATTTTTTAAGCCCGTCGGAAAAGCGCAGTATTAGGGTGGGAGTGACCCGATTTTCCAGGTGCCGTCTGTCACACCTTTCTTTGACTAGGAAAGGGAACTCCCTGACCCCTTGCACTTCCCAAGTGAGGCAATGCCTCGCCCTGCTTCAGCTCGCGCATGGTGCGCTGCACCCACTGTACTGAGCCCGCTGTCTGGCACTCCCTAGTGAGATGAACCTGGTACCTCAGATGGAAATGCAGAAATCACCTGTCTTCTACGTCACTCACACTGGGAGCTGTAGACCGGAGCTGTTCCTATTCGGCCATCTTGGCTGCCAGAAGAGCATTCTTATTCTTTTTCATGCTGAATAGTATTCTATATTATAGAAGTATCATAGCATTTGTTTTTCTATTGATATTAGGTTGTTTCTGATTTTTTCTAATATAAACATTCTATTGTGAATATCCTTACACATGTTTTTGTGCACTATTTCCCACCATGGAATTTAAACTGCTGTGTCATAAGGCATAAATATTTTGACAGATACTGACAGATGGCCTTCCTAAAATGTTGTATCTGTCCAGCCATCTAAGAAACTATTGGGAGAATCTTGAATTTTGCACACGCTGTTCCACTAGTTGGAACGCTTTTCCTGGTAGGTTCTCAGGCTGTTTTCTTCTTATCCTTCAGATCTCAACTAAAATGTAACCCTTCCTAAGAAACATTTTCTGATCGCCATAGCTAAAGCCACCTCTCCTCATCACTTTAACATGTCTCACCTTCTCCACAGCATTTGTTAGTGCCTGAAAGTATCTAACTAAATTATTTTTTTTATTTTATTATTGTTATTATTGTTTGATATGGAGCCTCGCTCTGTCGCCCAGGCTGGAAGGCAGTGGCATGGTCTCGGCTCATTGCAACCTCTGCTTCCCAGGTTCAAGTGATTTTCCTGCCTCAGCCTCCCGAATAGCTGGGACTACAGGCACATGCAACTACACCTGGTTAATTTTTGTATTTTCAGTAGAGACAGGGTTTCACCATGTTGACCAAGCTGGTCTCAAACTCCTGACCTTGTGATCTGCACGCATCAGCCTCCCAAAGTGCTGGGATTACAGGTGTGAGCCACCGCGCCCAGCCCCTATTTCTTTTTAAATATGTGGTTTTCCCTGCATCACTCTTCATTAGAATATATACACCCTGAGGGAGGGATTCTGTTTTGCATCCTCAGCACTTAGAATAGTGGCTGTTGCAGCAGAAATGCTCAAGAAACAAGTGATAAATGACTAGTTACTCCATATTCTTTCTAACACTAGTTTTATTTATTTGCCAAACATGTTAAGAGTACTTACTTTTGACTAGGTGCCGTTCTCAGCACTTTACACCTATTAATGAATTTTATGGTCATGACAGCCCTTGAGGTAGGTAGTATTACTAATCCCATTTACAGAAAAGAAAACAGACATGGAGAGAGTAAGTCATTTGTCCAAGATTTGATACCTGATCAGTTATGGAGCTGGGATTCAAACTCAGGCTTTTTGATGGGAGAACAATGAGATCTCATTGCTATTTCACTTTTTATCCCTCTGATTACTAATGGTGTTGGGGCTCATTCCATGTATGCATTGACCATGATAAATTCCTTTATGTGAACTGGCTCTTTTGGGGGTTGGTGGTATGTTTTATTAACCTTTTCCTCCTTCCTTTCAGCATTCCTTCCTTCCTTTTGTTATTGTTGTATAGAAGTGATATTTGAATAATTTTGAATAATTTGAATTATTCTTTCTCTATTGCTCTGTGGGCTGGGTTTGCACCAACAAAGAGTATAATTGGTCAGGGCAGCTTGGGTCAGGTAGAAAGAATCAGCAAGGAATTCTTCAGAGTTATTTCCATTCCAATTTGGCCCAGTTGCTGAATTTAGAGCTAGAGGGCTTTCCACTGGGCCTGCTGTGCTGGGGTGAGATGCTCAGGGATGGGGGTCTCCTCCAGGGCCCAGAGAGGACAAGACATGAGCTCAGAGACAGATGCCATACCAAAGATAGCGGCAAAAACACTGACTGCATTTGGAGGGATGACCGAGCCCTGGCAGAGCCAAGGAGGAAGAGAAGACTAGAGTTCTACAAGACACCAAGGTTAAATACAGACACTGCAGAATGTGCACACCTCATATGGCAGGCAGTACACACTCAGGGGCGTGTAAGAAGCCAGGAAGTCCCTTTTTTCCTGTGTCACACAGTGAGTAAGGCCTCCTCATACCCCAGGAGCCATCTGAAGAGCTGGGGAAAAGGCAAGGAAATGGAAAGACAGTCAATATCTCATCAAATAATGAGTTATACCCAGAGAAACTGTTTAAATTATTGGGTCATATTTAGTTTAAATTTAATTGGCCTGAATTACTTACCTCAGTTCCTGCTACTTATTAATTGGGGGCTGTAAGAGAGGTCAAAGGAATTTTGACGACTTGAGGAAAATCTGAGGAAATTTACTGTCTTGCAGCAATAGGAATTTTTTTGTTTTTAATATTAATAATGCTTACTATCAGTTTCTGCAAGATACTTTAAACAGATTTGTGCTGATTCTTTCTATTCCTAACTTTTTATGAATTTTTATAGAGAATGAAAATTAAATTTAAGAAGTATCTTTTAGCTTCTATTGTTTTCACTTTATAACTTTTTGCAGTAAAATGCCTCAATATATTGCCTAATGTCAAATCCTCCCTAAATTCCTGGGATAAATAATTTTTCTAAGTATTAACTTATTTTATTAACTAAATTTTTCTAAATATTAACAGTTGTTATTTTTAAAATATTTTGTGGTCACTGCTAGAGATTTTCAATAGAAATAAAGTTACATATGCATACAGAAACTACCACCTTGATCAATATCCTATCTGTGCTACTATGTAAATAACGTTTTCCCCATAAACTATCTAGTGATATTAACATTTCAAGAAGCTGCACAATGGCTATCCTTTAAGTAACTGTCTTTTTTTTTAGAGGCCAAGTCTCACTCTACCATCCAGGCTGGAGTGCAGTGGTATGATCATAGCTCACTGAAGCCTCGACCGCCTGGGCTCAAGCAATCCTCCTGTCTCAGGCTTTAGAGTAGCTGGGAATACAGGCACGCAGCACCACACCTGGCTAATTTTCTTTTCAAAATTTTTGTAGAGACAGGGTCTCACTAATGTTGCCCAGGCTGGTCTCAAACTCTTGGTCTTTAAGTGATCCTCCTTCCTTGGCCTCCCAAAACACTGGGATTACAGGTGTGAGGCACCACATCCAGCTGTCTAAGTAACTGACTTTTATTGGTGCATTTTCTTTCCTCATAATTTCTTCTTAGAGAGCCTTGTTCTTTTCCATCCCCACCAAGGCAGCAGAAGTGATGGATCCCTTCTGTTAGTGCGTGATCTACTAACCCCAGCCTTTGTTGGATAATTGGACTGAGCATAAGTATCTGACCCATGAGATTTTTTCTAACCTTCTTTCTCTTGAGCATTTGATCAGGAGTTGGTTTCCAGTTGTCTGTGGAGATGGGAGGTTAGGTAGACACAGGGTCCAGAGTGGCCATTTTTGGATCACGTATGCTGGTGAACAAGCAGGGTGAGTGTTTCAGCAAAGAGAAGCACTGGCAAAATCCCCCACCCTTTTGTGATTCTTCGTATTGGGTAAAAGAGCTAACCTTAAAGGACTGACTTGCCCTTGCATATTCTGAGACAAAATCCATTTCCAGCCTTCCTCAATGACTCCCTCATTTTATAAAATCCCAAGATGTCTCCATCTTCTTTGAGATGTTCCTCATTAATGAGTGTTCTTCCTATTGCAATATCCTAAATGTAAGCACCTTAGTTGTCTGGTGCATTTTGTTTTCTAAATGCATATAGAAACATGACTTTATGAGTGGCCAGGCAAGATGAAAGACACGAAGAGTCAGGGAGAGGACCTGCCCTGGTTCCAGATGTAATCACCCAATGGGCTCTTCCTGCTTGCTGCACAGACAAAACCAATTTACTGAGACCATAGTATAGCAATAGAGAAAGACTTTGATTAACATGCAGCCAGTTTCATGGGAGAACTGAATTTGTCACTCAAATCAGTCTCCCCAAAGGCTCAGAGGTGAAGGTTTTTCAAGGATAGTTTGGTGGGCAGGGGACTAGGGATTGGGTCTGCTGATTGGCTGGAGATGCAATCACAGGGGTGTGAAAAACAGTCCTTGTGCACTGAATCTGTCTCTGTGGGGGGGAGCTGCAGGGCTGGTTAAATCATGAGTCATGAGTCCAAGTGAGGTTGGTTTGAAAAAATCTCAGTAGAACAATCTTAGTTTTTAAAATAATGATGTTATCTATAGGAGCAACTGGGGAAGTCACTTAACTTGTGACCTCTGGCCACATGACTCCTGGGCATTAAGGGATTATAGAAACTATATCTATATTTTAGCAGAATTGCAGCCTCTCCCATAATTCTAATCTTGTGGCCTCTCATTAGTCTTACAAAGGTGGCTTCAGCCCCAGAACAAGGAGAGAAGCAGTTTTAGGGAGGGACTATTATCATCCTTGATCCAAAATTGAACAATAAACTTCCCATGTACATTGGGAAGTTTATTGGGAAATATTTTTTATTATTAAACAAGTCTTCCCATGGTTAGCTTGGCCAATGCACAGGAATGAGCAAAGAGAGCCAGCCTGTGAAGGTAGAGGCAAGATGGAGTCAGCCATGCTAGATTTCTGTTGCTATCATCATCTTGACAAAGGCAGTTTCGCTGACAGCTTTCCAGAGCCCAGGCCTCGCTGATCAGGAGGTGCTTCTGTGCTTCCTGCTTTGGTGTTCTATGACTTACTTCTGTACTCTTATCTCAGGTCCCCACACCAAGCCAGCTTACGATGATTTCTACATCTTGTGACTCAATCACTCCTTGCTAAGACCATGTCGTATTGCACATTCCTGGAGCATTGTGTCTACAAAGCATGAATGTAATATAAAAACCAATGGGGGAAAAAAAGATAGAGTGCCTGGGTTAAATTCTAATTTCTCTGCTTTACTTCAGAAACCTAAAATCAGTCCTGAAAACTGCAATAATTAGTTTATTTTACACATGCCCTCTTTTCTGACCAATCTTTTATAAAATACCATAATACTGTTAAAAGACAAAGACTGAGCCTTTTACAATTTTTTATTCTAAGGGCCTAAAATGTGCCTAGCACATAGTAGGCTCTTCTAAACATTGGTGGAAATCTTTTAAACATTGACATGGTACCAAGAAGGATTATGTGCACATTTGAGTTATGCCTTGAGCCACCAGCATGACCTGGAGTGTATTACTTTGTTTCTCTCACCTTTTTTTTACATATCTGCTTACCTAATGAGTTCCCATAAAGATCAAGAAAAACATGAGATAAAGGAACCTAAAGCAGTTACTGTCACAGAAACTGGGGTAAAAATCATTGGTATAAAAACTTTCCAGATTCTTCATTATTATTTATTCATTTATTTTTATTTTTCAGAGAAGAGGTTTCACTCTGTCACCCTGGCTGGAGTGCAATGTCACAGTCATGGCTCACTGTAGCCTGGAATTCCTGGGATCAAGCGATCCTCCCACCTCAGCCTCCTGAGGAGCTGGGACTACAGGTGCACACCACCACGCATGGCTAATTTTATTTTTTGTAGAGACAGGGTCTTGCTATGTTGCCTAGGCTGGCCTTGAGCTTCTGGACACAAGTGATCCTCCTGCCTCAGCCTCCCAAAGTGCTGAGATTACAGATGTGAGCCACAGTGCCTGGCCCTAGACTCTTTAGACAATTTTTTTTTTTCTTTGAGACAGCGTCTCCCTCAGTCACCCAAGCTGGAGTGCAGTGATACAATCTCTGCTCACTGCAACCTCGGGTTCCCGGGTTCAAGCGATTCTCGTGCCTCAACCTCCCAAGTAGCTGGGACTACAGACGTGCACCACCATGCCCAACTAATTTTTGGATTTTTAGTAGAGATGAGGTCTCACCATGTTGGCCAAGCTGGTCTTGAACTCCTGACCTCAAGTGATCCGCCTGTCTAGGCCTCCCAAATTGCTGAAATTACAGACATGAGCCACTGTGCCTAGCCTAGACAATCTTTTTCTATTATAAGAGAGTTACAACCATGATCCAGTACATAGCCACATTGGAATTTTGGTAAGAAAAAAAATAGTAAGACTTTGTATGCAGGCTATAATTTTTTTTTCTTTTTTTTTTTTTTTTTTTTTAGACAGAGTCTCATTCTGTTGTCCAGGCTGGAGTGCAGTGGCATGATCTCGGCTCACTGCAACTTCCCCCTTCCGGGTTTGAGCAATTACCTGCCTCAGCCTCCCGAGTAGCTGAGATTGCAGGCGCCTGACACCATGCCTGACTAATTTTTGTATTTTTAGTAGAAACAGGGTTTCCCCATCTTGGCCAGGCTGGTCTTGAACTCCTGACTTCATGATCCACCCGCCTCAACCTCCCAAAGTGCTGAGATTACAGGCGTGAGCCACCACTCCGGGCCGGGCTATAGATTTTTTGTTCAATATTTAGCATAATAAGGTTGGTTACAATATGCTGTAGAAGAGGTGCTCTTGCCACTGAAAAATACCTAGCCTCAACTGTAAATGGGAGGTAATATAAGAGAAGGTGTCCCCAGCTCCAGCTGTACCCTACTTTGAGGCTTCCAGAAGTTTTCAGTGTACAGGAATGAATAAATAGTTGGCCTTTGTATGACATTGCTGGGTTAATGAACAGACACACAACTGGGGACAGATTCTGTCAGCAAGTACACTCAATTCTGACGTAAATCGATGGAAACCATTAATAAAAAAAAAGTTAAATGTGGCAAGAAAGCAAGCAATTAGCTGGTTTTTTTAAAAAAGAGATATTTATTGTTGTTAAAACCATAATTAAATTTTGCTTTTGCAGAATAGCTGTTTTCCTCCCAGTTAATGTTATAATTAAATGGAAGAATTGTTATCTTTTGGGATTTAAAATGTATAAGCAATATTGGATTTACCTTGAGTTAAAAAAAAAAAAGGAAAACAACAAGACAAAATTCAGGAACTTTCAGATGAGCAAATAGAATTTGTTTTTGTACTAGGTATAGTAATTTAATTTTCAAAACAATGAAATCAGATATTTGAAGAAAAAGTAAGTAATTATCAGTAGTGAAAAAATGAATACAAACATTTCTATTATTATTTTCTATAGGGCATTTTTTTAATAAATTGGATTTATCTTGAATCTCATCCACTTACATTAATATGCCCCATTTATTATTTGTTGAATACAGACTGCATAACACATGCTGTGCTATATGCCCAAGATACAAAAATATATAATTGCCATATGCAATTCCAAGGCATCCACAGAGAAGGGGTACTGGAGGGAACCTCACCTGATAGATATCTGTGATGATGAGGTATATCTCTTCCCTGCTTCCTTGGTGCCTTTAGGTCCTTCCCAGCTATGCATAGGAGGAAAGAATCTCAGGAGGCCAGGATTCTGTGCCTACATGCTTGAATTAAAGCTTGCAGTGAGGCCTCTCTGGTGCCCTGGTCCCACAGTTCTGTAAGCCACAGATCTGTCTCTTACAGTCTAGGGGAATAAATTTTCTAGTTTGGGCAAGGGTCTCTTTCTCTTGTTTCTTGCACACTCTGCTTCCCCAACCCATTTACTTCCTGCAAGCTTTATAAGGTATTCTATGGGATTAGACTTTGGAAAAATGAAAGCCAAGATTTATAAGGCACCTCTCCTTCTTGGCTTAGCCACACTTCCTTTGAGGCAATGATAATGAGTCCTCTCTTTTCCATAACTGTGGTCTTAATTCAGACAAGCAAAGTTTTTCAGGAACTATTATAATTACTTTCTCATTTTATTTTTCTCTCTTTTTGGACTCTAAAGCATTCCACACAAAGTTACCAAATTACTTTTCCATAAAAGTAGCTCTGACCTTGTGATCTCTGGCTCAAATATCCTTCCTGGTGTTGGGGCCAAAAATCAATATTCCAAAATATGGCACTTTGACATGCTGAACTGAAGAAGAAGCCTGAAGGACTCTCTGACCTCCTCACACCTCCCCAGTCACCTCCTGACCTCAACTCCCTCTTTGTTGCCCCTTTCCAATATGAAAAGAATTTTTGAGATCCATATTTTTTAAGATGGTTCTTTGGGACACTAGTCCACCATCTTTTCGGTTTGCTGGTCATCCAAAATAACGTCACTTTTCTTGCCCTAACTCCTTGTTTCTCAATTTATTGGCTGTCGTGCAATGAGCAGTACAAACTTTGGACTCAACTACAGCAGGAGAACAATCATTTTCTTTATTTCCCCTCCCTCCTATCTCATTATTTGTTGCAGAAAAGAAGACCAAGAATGTAACCACACTTGAACAGACCCTTTCACAAGATAATGTCTGTCTCTCAGGATCATTCAAATTCCAAAGACAGCTACTGACAACTTAGTCTCTATTTCCCACCCATTCATTCTCCCTAGTAATCATTTATTGCCCTTCAACAGAATTCCTCTTCACCCCACTCCCATAACCTGTTTTGCCACTATCATGTTTTTTGCCAGGGTGGTACATAAGCTTCCAAACTCCATTAGAAGAGTGAGTCATACTATGCAAATCTCCCTGTGTACTCATTAACAATTTTGTATGCTATTTCTCCAATTAATCTGCCTTTTGTTAGTTATTCAGTGAACCTTTGGAGGTCAAAGGGGGAGTTTTCCCTTGGTCCTGACACTGGCTTCCCATTGTCAAAAAAATTAAGGCCTCACACCTTGGATATTTAAATCTCCCATGTTGGCCTTAATGTAGCTGTTAAACTTTTCCTCATTTCTCCTTTATATCCTTGTGCTACAGGAAACATGCACAACAACATCCATGCTTTTCCCTTTTCTGTCTTGGTTCCTGATATACCTTCTGTAAGAAATGCTCTCCCCTCCCTTCACACCAATTTCCATGTGACCAAATTCTGTCCATCCTTCAAAGGCCAGATGCCATGCTGCTTTCTTTATGAAGCCTTCCCTATTCTCCATGAATGCCAGCTGCAGGAAAAGAAATAATGAAACCCAAACTGAGAAGAGTTTATGGCTGGTACCAAAAGAAGAGAATGAAATGTTAGTGAGGGCTAAGCTTTGATTTTTTTTTTTTAACCATGCCCAAATTCCTATCTAAGGGATCTAGGGAGTCATGTCCTACTTGTCATAAATTCTCATCAGATGGATTTCATTTAACCCTATATATCGTGACTTACTTTCCAATCTGACTCTGGCACAACACTATGTGACAAAGAAGAAAATCAAAATGCTTTACTCCAAAACATGTTGCTTTGCCATATTTTGAAATGGCCCTGCAAGCCATCCTTTGTGGGGAAAAATTTGCATCTGTTAAGAATATTAACATAGCTAGATCTTTTTCTTCCAGGCCCTCCCAATCCTGAAGAGATTAACTAAGAGTCTAGCACCTTTTAAAGGTCTGAATAGGAAACACTTGTCATCTATTGTCTCTAAGGGCAGCCACTATGAGACTTCAAAAGAACCACAGTTTTTTATCTTAATGTGAATGTTTCCTTTCTTTTAATAACAGGTCTTTAGACAAACTCAACCAATTGTAAACCAGAAAATGTTTAAATTCACCTACAGCCTGGAAGCCCCCTGCTTTGAATTGTCCCACCTTTCTGGACCAAATCAATGCATTTCTCAAATGTATTTGATTGATGTCTCATGCCTCCTTAAAAATGTATAAAACCAAGCTGTACCCCAGCCACCTTTGATACATGTTCTCAGGACCTCCTGAGGGTTGTGTCACAGGCCATGGTCACTCACATTTGGCTCAGAATAAATCTTAAAGAAAATATTAAAGAAAATATTAAAGAAATATTTAAAGAATATTTTACAGAGTTTGACTCTTTTTGTCAACATTAGTCTAGAAAAAAAAGGTAAACATGTGGAATAAAGTCATAATTCCATAACAGATATCAGGACGTGCCTGAATGAGATCTAAGTATGGGATTACCCAAGACTGAGTGGTGACTGAGCCCCTCGGGGCCTCGAGTAGGTAGTAGGGCTGGACATTGAGAAAGGGCTATAGCTGGTTATTTCTACAGTACTGGCTGACATCAGGGACCTTTCCAACTCCAACCTTATATAATGCTGATGTTCAACATTGTAAAAATAGCTCCTGAGGACTCATCTAAACTCCTATTGTACTTTTGTTCTGTCTCTCTTATGACACTAAAATTAATGATGATATGAGGACATTATTTATCTGTCCCATCTCCACTGATGGATGACAGCATGCTCAAAGGCAAGGCTCACCTGGCACTGTACCTTGCACATAATTCTGAGACCACCCAGTTAAAAAGTTGAGAGATCAAAGCATTGATATCCATGCTGGTGTCGATCACATTAAGCATTGTTACAATAGTAAATTCAAGGACTGATGATTCTGGTGCCATAAAGAGGCTTCTTCTTGTACTTGGCAGTGTCCCGATGAAATGGCCATGTTCTGAAACTATCCAGTCTTTTATTGATCAATACAGCATATGCCAATTAGACAGCAAATCCCACATTTTTTTTATGTTCTAAGTGTACCTTGACATTGCAGATGATTAAGTGACGTGAGGGGGACAATCATTAGCACACCATATCAATGTCTGCAAGATGACTGTAGTGAGACCAGAAATTTCCATGAGACCCAAATTATTCCCATATGAGGGATGAATATGGTCATTATACTTATCTTAGTAAAAGAAGAACATGATAAAAGAAATAATATTGCTATAAAATATGGAAGCTACTTTAAGAGTCTATCACATCCATCTTTAATGAAGTAGAAAAAAACTTCCTGATCAGCTCACCTGTGAGCAGTCATGATCTGCCTTACAAATGAGACCTTAGGGTAGATCTGGACAGAAGGAACATGATGAGGGAAGTAGCTTTGTTAATTAAAAAAAATAATTTCCTGTCTGTTTTGAATTCTGTTTTATCTGTTGCTACTTTCCCTGATAAGGCCTCTGTCTATTAATAATGGAAGACCTGGTCCCAAATCATTTAGATATAAACGATTAGATATATGTGACTTCAGTGAGCACTGGTCCTGCTCATGGATGCTCCTATGGAAGGCTTTGAAAGCACACTTTTAGAAATGTTTCTTTCCTCCTATGCACCCTGAAAGGCATTGGGATTTAAATTTACTCTCATTCTGTCATCTTTCAGTAGAATGTTTTTCCCCACTTTGGAAAAATTGTTCCAATGTTTTTGAATGTCATGGTTAATGTCAGTTTTCTTAAGTCATGAGTACATCTGACTGAATTAAATAAATGTTTTAATTCTTGAATAGTCTCTCTTCCACCACACAACCCTCTTCCCCAGTTGGAAAGAACCACGGAAAAGAGAGACTTGATTTAAAAGATGATCCAGTAATACATTCTGTTTGCCTTCCTGCCTTCTCTTTGGCTAAATGCTACATTGATTGTAGCACTTGAAGTGTTGCCACATTCAGCAATACAAGCTTCACATGATTTGATATTTAACTTGTGGGAAAGGAGCCCAGATCTTTCTCTCCCTCTTTTTTCTCCCTGTGTGTTTACTGAAATAAGAAGTGTCATACCCAGCTTGTCTGTTTACTTTCAGCCCATTGTTTTGGAAAGAATGAGGAAAAAAACTGACTAGCATTCAGAAGCAGCAGTCAAGAAAAGCACACGTCTTTTTTCTTCTTATATATAAACTTGTTTAATCAGAGCATTTGTACTTTGATGTATTATTATTACTTCTCTCTATGGGAATTGATTTGTAATGCTACCTAATCAGTGTGGTTCCAATTTTAATCTTGGAGCTGAGTAATAAATATAAGACATTAATTTCCATAAACCATATATATTTGAAAGCTTCATTTACATAGTGAACAATTTAGTCCTATAAATTCTAATGTGTTTCTATTCCTTTTGGGTTACTGTTTCCATAACCTTTTTATAGCTCTGATGAACATAATGCTACCCAGTGTTGACAAATTTCTCGCTATTGTCCAATGCATAAAAATGTATTTCAAGTAACTCTCCAGTACTCACTCAGTAATTTTTCTTCTTTTTTTCTCACTCACTATTGAGGGTAATTCCCTTTTAGGAGCTGAGACATTCCATTTATTTCCCCTTCCACTTTCGGCATCTCATTTGTCAGTTTTCTCTAGCCTAGTATAGGCTTCTGATATAGTTGGTACCAAGACAGCCCCGTTTATCCTGAGCAAGACTACTCAGCTTTAAGAAAAGTGCAGACTCAGCTGTAAGTAATATCATCTTTGTCTCTAAGAGGTTGGGGGAATGAGACAGAGTGTAACTGAGTATACTTAACATATAAACTGAACATTTTTTAGGTGATGTAAGATGAATTGAAAATGTCAAAATGGATCATCATATTTTAGAAAAACACATATGTGCATATAGTGTGTGCATATATATGCATACATCTATATCTATATGTGTAGATGTATATATTATAAATATATATATATACACACACACACAGAGACAGAGAGAGAGGCTTAACATATAAAATAGATTTAGCTTCCAACCATTCATATTTAGCAATTTCTATGTGCTTGAAGTTTTAATTATTTAAGATTTTTTTTGCTTTTTATAGACAACTTGAGACTAAACTGGTAGTATCCTAAATGTGGATTACAATGTATAGTTTTAATGCATTTTCATGCATACTATCACATTTGATCATTACAATATTTCCATGAGGTATTACTATATTACTGTTGAAGATAAGGAATCTAAGAACCAGGAATTTCTAAGATTGTATATTATTGACACAAAGGGGATATTTACTGGGTTTACCTGGAGTATAAGAACAACTGAAACATACACCTGTTTCAGCACAAATAGTCATTAAGATATTGACATCATTTTATAAGACCACAGTAAATGCTCCCCTGGTTACCCAAGCCTTTTGAACCTAGGGGAAGATGAATTACTGCCAAGGCAGAAGTGCATTGGCTCCGACCCTTACTGTGTTCTCCTGTGATTCCCCCAAACAAGTTTCCCTGAATCTACTCCAGGTGGGTAGTGAACCAAAATCATTAGCTGTTGTTTCAAAAACAATGTGGAATAAATCAGGGGTCTCAGTTCAGTTCCTAAAAACAAGACTCCATTTCACCCTTCCTACCTCTGCTAGGCAGTGTTCCTGGTCAAAGATTAATTGGTACATGAGAAGAGTGTTTCTTGCCCTCCCTGGAGTCAGATAAATGGATGCTGAAGAGGAGGCTGGGTCTGTGTCGTAGATACGGGCAGCACAGAAACAGGAAGCAAAGGTTTTCAGTGAGGATGTTAAGCTTTAGTTATGCCCTTTGCACCACTGTGCAATCCAGCTGACTCTGCTTCTCTGCATGAGCAATGGGGGAGAGAAGCAGGGGATTTGGAGTCAGGTGCTCCTGGGTTGCAATCCTTGCTGCTCCACTTACCAGCACTGGGAATTAGGGCATGTTACCTCCCTGAGCTTCAGCATGGAGAATTGTTGAGTATGAAGTGTGCACTAGTTTTCTACTGCTGTATAACAAATTACCACCAGCTTAGCAGCTTAAAGCATCACCCATTCATTATCTCAAGTTTCAGTTGGTCAGAAGCCCAGGCACAGCACAGCTGATCTCTGCTCAGGATATCACAGGACTGAAAACAAGGTGTTGGTCTGGGCTGTGGTTCTCATCTGATGCTCGAGACCTTCTTTCAGGCTCACAGGGTGTGGGCAGAATTCATTTCCTTCGAGTTGGAGCTAAGTTCCTAGTTTTCCTGCTAGCTTTTGGCAAGGAGCTGCCCTCATCTCCTAGAGGCTGCCTGCAGTTCTTTGCCCCCCAAGGACAGTTCACAAGATGAACATTTGCATTTTTCCAGAAGAGCGAACACACCTCTCTCTGACTTCTGCTACAGCTAGAAAAAAGTCTGCTTTTAAATGGCTCCTGTGTTTAGGTCAGGCCCACCTGGACCCTCTCCCTACGTTAAGGTCAGCTGTACCATATAACATAACTTAAGCATGGGAGTAAAATCTATGATATTCACAAACCCAGGATGGTGCAGAGCATGCATATCACATGCAGGAATCCTGGGGACACTTTAGACTTCAGCCTGTCACCCAGGGATAAAATTTCTATGAAAATCTATCTCCAGGCAAGTAGTTGGCATACAATAAATGGTAATTCCTCTATAAAATATGGTTAAGACTTAATAGATTTTTAAAGGTATGATAATTCTGGTTAACTATTTTCTGTATCTGTCTTCCATTAAGAGAGAAATTCCATGTAAATTACACAAATTTTGCTAATCGTAGTGTCTAGCTTACCACTGAGCACATAGAATGCACAGTAAAGCCTTGATTAAATTATATGGGATATGGAGAGGTAAAGTCATTCTTTCATACTAAATAATAGTGTTGAAATTTTGAAGACTGTAGGCTGTGAGTCAAGACTCTCTGAGGGCATTTATATTCACATGCATAGTTTTAACCAATGGTCATTTATTAGCAACTCATAAACTTTTATTTACAGATCATGTGACTGTCAGCACTCAAACCTGTTTTGATGGCTGCATACTGGCCATTGATGGTCGCATGTTACCTAAACATCTCAAACTCAACATGTTGCAAATAGAACTGCATCCCACAAATAATTTCCTGATTTATATCTTCTATCTCCATGAATACGTCACAGTTTCCCCAATGTCCAAAGCCACAAATTGGATAATCATTCCCCTTCGACTCTTATCCCTCTTCCCTTTTTTATCCAATTGGCCAAATCATGTCAGTTCTGTCTTCTGAATGCCTCTTTCACTTATTCTCACTTCTTTGTTTATGTTATCCCTGGTCTTCATCATTCCCTACCTAGTAATGGCAGTGGTGTAATCAGGTTTTTTGTTCTCAGGTTCTCTAATTCATTCTGCAGTCTTATTGTTCAACTTATTTTTCAGAAATATAAATCTGATCCTGTTTTTTTTTTTTTTTTTTTTTTTTTTGCCAGTTTTTCAATGACACTCAACTGATTTTAAGAAGATAAAAAACTGGCTGTCCAACAACTACTACTTTCACTACCTGGCCATACATGAATCTCCATAGAGCATGGACAATTAGCTTTTAAAAATATTTTGAGGCATAATTTACATACAGATACTGTGTGTGTGTTGATGTGTTTTGACAAATGAATATATTTGTGAAACCATTATCTAATTAAGATATAATACACCAGTCATCTTTTTTGTAAAATATAAACCTTCTCATGTTTCTTGTTACTCTCTTACTCTCAAAAGCGTTCCATCACAGAATGAAATTCTATTCCCCTTCTTGAAACCGCCTTTGCAAAATTATGACTGAGACAGTGAAAGAGAGCTAATTTAACCGACTCCATCTTGCTTCTAACCTCCAAGGTGCCCTTGTTCATTCCTGGGCACAGGCTGAACTAACTTTGGGAGAAACCTAGTTTATAGTTTAAACAAAGACAATAGCAGCCCTTTCCCAAAGCAGACCTTCTTCTTGCCTGGGGACTAGACTGCCTTTGTAGGACTAACATTAGCCACAAGATTAAAACTTAGGAGTCATGCAGCTGGAGGCTACAAGATTCTCACCTTCCCTAAACTGCTTCTAAGATCAGTGCTTGAGATATTTTGCAGACCCTGCACTTGATGGATCAGCTGGCACCACCCAGATTAATAAACTGGCTCATGTGATCCTGTGGCCCCCACCCAGGAACTGACTCAGTGCAAGAAGACATCTTCAACTCCCTATAACTCCTGCACAGCCAGCTCTGCATGAATTACTCTTTCTCTATTGCAATTCCTGTCAATGAAGTGCTCTGTCTAGGCAGCGGTCTAGGTGAAACCCTTGGGTGGTTACATTCTCATTTGTGTAATTACATAGGTAGGACCCTGCCCATCTCTCTGACCTTTTCTCCTACAAATCTACCCCTCATTCACACAGCCTATGCCTATGGTCTTTCCTAGTTGTCTCAAGTTCATCTCTGCCTTTGCCTAGAACATTTCCATGGCTTTCTGTCTTCCTTCTGTCAACCTTAAATAATGAGATTCAGAAAATATGATTAAGTATAGAATGTATTTGAGTGAAAAGCTTGAGGGTAGCCACCCAGGAAACACTGACTCCAAACAAATGGGGTCAGTGCTTCAAAGTAGGGAAGTTAAGATTTTATTTACAAAGGGGAGAGACAGAGCAGTTTCAGCAGGGTTGCATTTTCCATAGAAGACGGATGCATACATTATAGCAATTTGATTTGTTACAGATTGCTACATTCCAAGGAAGGTTACTTTATTACTCTATGAGGAGTGATAATGATCTGAGTGGGTCTTATCTCTCTTGCTGTTTGTTCTTCCTAATTACTTATAGAATAATAATAATTTTAAAAAAAGGCAAGAAGGCAAAAGCTTCAGCTATGTGCCCCGTCACTCAGTCCATATAGCTAGATTCCTTTCAAGGCTCAGAAAAATTTAAAATTTCAATGGCTTTAAGTTTGAGTTATTTAATTTTACATTTCCTTCAGGTTTGTTCCAATGTCCTTTCTCACAGCCAAGTAGACCCTTGTTTAAATGATGTGTCCTATGGAGAGCTTCTTGATGATCCTATTTTAAATTGCACTCATATCAGAGCCCAAGCCCTTACTTGTATCACCAGCTGACACACTTTATACATTTTTTAATTTTTTAACTTTATTTTTTTAGACACAGGGACTCACCCTGTCTCCCAGGCTGTAGTGCAGTGGTGTGATCAAGGTTTACTGCAGCCTCAACCTCCCAGGCTCAAGCAATTCCCCCACCTAATCCTCCCAAGGAGCTGGGACCACAGCACACTACCACACCCAGATAATTTTTTATTTTTTTAGCTATGGGGCCTCCCTGTATTGCCCAACCTGGTCTCGAACTCCTGGGCTCAAACAGTCCTCCTATCTCGGCCTCCCGAAGGGCTGGGATTACAGATGTGAGGCACTGTACCCAGCCCACATTTGTTTATATGTTTAATAGAATGTAAGTGGACTTGGGATGTCTTCTTTGCTGCCTTTTCTCAATGTTCCAAATGGTATCTGAGAGTAGGTTCTCAATATTTGTTGAATGGAGTGGATGAAATCTACACTCTATAGCATGGCATAAAAAGTCTTTCATGATATGAACCTTGCCTTATATTTTACTTATATTTTCTGCTTCCCATAATCCCTAAACTTCAGTCAGTTTCAACTACTTAGAGCTCCTTAAAGACGCTAGATTTCCCTTCACCTCTGGCCACATATTCTTACTGTTCCCGGAATTTCCTTGCTTCCTTTGTCTACTTTTCAAATGCTTGCTCGTTCTTGGCTGAAATTTCTTCCTCTGTGAATAACTCCTTGACTCTTTCAACAAACTTCAATCTCCCTGCTCTGTTACCTCCTTTCCACTTTCTTCTTAGCATAGCCCCTAGAATGTCCAGTAAATATTCATTTTTCAGCACAGTGTTTTTCCACCAGTATCTGAGCTCTTTGAAGATTTTAATGATGCCTTTTCATCCTTGTATCACTAATAATTAGCCAGTTTAATGAATAATTTGAACTCAATAAATTATTGAGTGTTCAAAAAATAATAGAAATGTGTCTTCAAAGAAAATAATAGAAAACAAAAGAAGAAAGACAGGGAAAAGGTAGGGAAGAAAGGAGAAAGAAAAGAAAATAGCTAGAAAAGAAAAATAAAATAGATATTTAGATAAATATTGAGATTTAAATTCAGTCCCTCAAAAGTAAAGAGTCCAAGGTCTCAGAAAAATAATCTAGTTAATTCATGGCTACCTTCAGTTATTAAATATAGGGCTAATTTAGATTTAAAAAGTTTCAATTCTTGCTCTGTGTGTGTGTGTGAGACAGAGACAGTGAGAGAGAGAGAGAGAAAGAGAGAGAGCAGAGATACTGTTTCTGAAGGGAAAAAGAACATTGTATATGATGAAAGTAAAATTTGAGCCAAATTAAATTTAAAGCAGTTTAATTGAGCAATGAACGATTTGCGAATTGAGCAGCCCCCAGAATCACAGCAGATTCAGACAGACTCCAGGGGTGCCTTGTGGTCAGAACAAATTTATAGACAAAAAAAGGAAAGTGACATACAGAAATAGGAATTGAGTTACAGAAATAGCTGGATAGGTTACAGCTCAGTTTTTGCCTTATTTGAATACAGTTTGAACACTCAGCAGTGAATGAGTGGTTGAAGTATGGTTGCCGGCATTGGCCAAGACTCAGCTATTGTTACAGATGCATACTCCTAAGTTAGGTTTACAATCTTGTCTGCCTATTAAGTTAGGTTGCAGTTCATTCACAAGGACTCAAATATAGAATTACGGAGTCCTTCTCAGGCCATATTTAGTTTGCTTTAACATATAGAAGAAAGACATATTCCTAAATAGTAGTTTGAGTGTAAACTCACAACAAGTTTAAGTACAAACAAATAGTAATACACACACAAACACACACATGCGTATGTATCTGTATGATGTTTGTTACACACGCAATTCATTTCCTAATATTTTATTTTAATGATGGGAAACACATTTACCACATGGTCGGATATGGAAATAACTTTTTTGTGTGACACCAAATAAGACCCTCCAGTTTTCCTTTATTTCAGCTTCATCCCTTCTTTAACCGATCTTTTCTTTTGAAGCTGCACAGACCAAGAATAATAGAGGAAACTTACAGGATGATTATGTTAATCGTGTTATTTCTATTTCATATTTTATGAAGCTTTGACATCTTCGGGGCCTCTCTGGCTTGGGAGAGACTGTCCCTCCAAAAGTTATCTAATTCCCAGAGATAGCAAATGTGCTCCCCCGCCGCAGCCCACCTACCCTGTGAACATGCCTTTTATTTGCAAACCAAGAATCCAAAGCTCCTATCTCCAACCTCCTCCTTTATGTAACTCTCAGACACCAAGCCAATATTTGTCCTGCCCTAAATTATCCCAGGGTCAGGTACTAAACAACTAGAGACCACCCCTGTAGCCCAGAGCCTGCTGAAATTATTCCAACTATCTAATCCTAAACTTGATCAAACTTGCCCACTTTGTCTCACCCATTTCTTCCCAGGGAAATCACAGTGAAGGCTCTGAGCCATGCTTTTCCCTTCTTCCTTCCTTCTGCTTCCTGAATGAACAGGCTACTTCTCTATGTGGCCCTGTGTCCCCTTCTCTTGGGAACTATGAGTAACAAAACTTTGTGTGTCATCATTTAGTCATTTCTATAAATTAAATCTAGGTACAATCAAGAAATGGTTTTGTATAGGTAAAACAAAAACTAGTAATGAATCTTTGAATAATATGATTAATTTTAATCATCGGTACTCTCCCTGCTCCTTTCCCTCAAGAATTGCATGTAATAGTAATCAAATGAGTAAAATCAAGACTTGCCTGTAATATTAATCATACTAGAATGCAGAGAGCTGTGAGGAAAAGAAATGAAAGAATTCCCTGGGAAACACTGCAATATGTGTTCACATCATTCTCTGGAACAATACTTCGGACAAAAATCCATTTAACTTGTTCTCAGCCATCATAGTTGTTTTCCTGAATCATAAAATTCACATTATGAAATAAACCCTGACATTAACTTGATTAGTATAATCATAAATCTCAGCAGCCACATGCATGCTTTAAACTGCAGTTTTTCTGCTACAATTATAGATTCTATTATTTTCCCTACCTACAGCAGTAATTAGATATTATTTCAATACACAGCCAATGGTTGGCAATATTTTTTAAAGTCATGTAAAAGACTCATTGGTGTAAAACCATTGACACAAAGTTTTTGTGAGTTCAGTGGCAATGTATTAATTTTATTGATGGATTGTAAAGTCTATTGAAAGTGATCCAAAAATATCCATAGCCTTTGTTATGAAGGTATATACTCCCATTTATACATAGCTTTTTTTGAATGTTTACATGTATGGGCACATCTGTTGTTGGGGCTCAGAAATGGATATCCCAAAATATGGTGCTTTGAACTGAAGAAATCTTAGTATCTCTTTGGCCTTCCCTACCCCTCCTGTCTCTCAATCCTCCGTGTCTTCCAATCCACCAGATGCAGTTGTTCTCCAAAGTTCCCTTATCTGCCTAAAGGTCAGACCTGCCAAAGAAGAAAACAATTACCTTTGGCCCCTTTCCTGTGTGTTCATTAACTGAATTCATACTGTTACAGGAAGGGGGGTACTGATCCAGACCCCAAGGGAGGGTTCTTGGATCTCATGCAAGAAGGAATTCAGGGTGAGTCCTTAAAGGGAAAGCAAGTTTATTAAGAAAGTAAAGGAATAAAGAATGGCTATTCCGTAGACAGAGCAGCCCCAAGGGCTCCTAGTTGTCCTTTTTTTTTTTTTTTTTCTTGAGACAGAGTCTCACTCTGTCACCCAGGCTGGAGTGCAGTGGCGTTATCTCAGCTCACTGCAAGCTCTGCCTCCCGGGTTCACGCCATTGTCCTGCCTCAGCCTCCCGAGCAGCTGGGACTACAGGCACCTGCCACCAGGCCAGGCTAATTTTTTAATATTTTTTTAGTAGAGATGGGGTTTCATCACCTTAGCCAGGATGGTCTCTATCTTCTGACCTCGGGATCTGCCCATCTGGCCCTCCCAAAGTGCTGGGATTACAAGCCTGAGCCACCGTGCCTGGCCTGGTTGTCCATTTTTACGGTTATTTGTTGATGATATGATAAACATGGGGTGGATTATTCATGCCTTCCCCCTTTAGACCATATAGGGTAACTTCCTGACATTGCCATGGCACTCACTTGTGAACCATCATGGTGCTGGTGGGAGTATAGCAGTGAGGACGACCAGAGGTCACTCTTGTGGACATCTTGGTTTTGGTGGGTGTTAGCAGGCTTCTTTCAGCAAGGTCTTTATGACCTGTATCTTGTGCTGACCTCCTATCTCACCCTGTGACTTATAATGCATTAACCGTCTGAGAATGCAGCCCAGTAGGTTTCAGCCTCATTTTACTCAGCTCATATTCAAGATGGAGTTGCTGTGGTTCAAATGCCTCTGACAATATTGCAGGAAGAAAGACTGAGGTCTGTCAACACACCTGGACAGACTTTTGTCACAAGCCATTGTCTGCTGTTTGAGTCCAACAGGCTTTGCCCCAGGTCATTGTATGTTCTTCAAGCCTGTTGAATTTCCCTAAAAATTATTTACTATCTCCTAAAATCATTCAAATTTTCCATTTCCCTTTCCCTGAGAAATGGGTTATATAATCATCTATACCCATAGTGTGGTGGCACTATCACTCTGCCCCATGCACACTAACAAATTTGTGTGCCATTTCTCCTATTAATCTGCCTTTTGTGTGTTGATTTTTCAGCAAACCATCAGTGGTGAAGGGGAAGTTTTCCCTTGGCCCCTATGCTATATATAGATAAGTAGTTATATTATTTAGATAAGACATTAAAGGGAACTTTCTATTCTAAAGTAAAAGCTTTGTAACAAAGATTTTTCTCTGAATCATATTTATATAAATTTCATAAAGTAAAAAAAAGGAAATGTTCGCCTGTAGATTGCTGTTTAATGGACAGCTGAAACGAGGTGCTCTGTGGACATTAGTTCAGACTTGGAGGCTTGGAATCAGTTCTTTGTAACTGGCTTGGTCTCATTCCTGAGGATGACGGAGCTTCTTCCCATGACCATGCACAGATGACATCAGCACTCAGAATCTCATTCACAATGAAACCCATCTGCAGGGAGCCACCTTTACCCCGAGTATGGATTTCAGCTTTGCTTCTATTTAATCGTGAGTGACCTTGAGTCCATTACTTGGCCTCTATCATTCTCAGTTTCATGATTTGAAAAAGGAGGGGTCAAAATGAAAAATCATAGGTCTTTTTAAAACTGAGGGCTAACCTGATTGGGCCCGCCAATGTTAACTTTTCTCCCTTGTTTTTTAGTCACTTGCTTTTAGTTTATTTTAAAACCCATAGACCTAAAAGTCATGAAGCTAAGCAATATATAACTAACCTTGCACTGGCTTCCTTATAGGTAATATCTCTGGTGTATAGGTCACCACAGTAACAGTTGCTTAAGTTGTTTTGTGGGAACTTAGAGTCCATTTTTGTTTAGCTCGAGCTGGCTGAGACCTTTTGACTGGCCTGCATTAATCTCTGATGGGTGACCCTTTGATGTCAGAGGGCAAAAATCTCCACCCTTAGATCATGCTAATGATGCCATTTTGTGAACATGCATCCCATGGAGAGCCATGAAACTTGACTGTGCTTGTGCAGATCACCAATTGACTCATTTTTCCTTACCCCCAAACACCTTTCACTATGCCTTGGACCACCTTGCTTCTGTATCCCATAAATATCCCTAAAACTCCATCTTCAGGGAGGTTGATTTGAGATCTTTTCTCCTATCTCCTTGCTTGGCTGCCTTGTAAATAACCCTTTCTCTGTACAAAACTCATCTTCTCAGTAATTGGCACACTTCACAACAGACAGAACGAGCCTGGCTCAGTAAATTTTCAATTGCTAATCTGACAGAAGTATAGACATTAAGGAATTGCATAATGTAAACACCTAGATCACACAGATACATAAGATAGAGAAAATAACTGGCTGGGCACAGTGGCTCACTCCTGTAATCCCAGCACTTTGGGAGGCTGAGCTGGGAGGGTCATTTGAGGTCAGGAGTTTGAGACCAGCCTGACC